>NC_000004.12:187103199-187406229 GCF_000001405.40 Homo sapiens | reverse complement strand
GTCTCTGATAAAACAGACTTTAAACCAACAAAGATCAAAAAAGACAAGGAAGGGCATTACATAATGGTAAAGGGATCAATGCAACAAGAAGGGCTAATTATCCTAAATATATATGCACCCAATACAGGAGCACCCAGATTCATAAAGCAAGTTCTTAGAGACCTACGAAGAGACTTAGACTCCCACACAATAATAGTGGGAGATTTTCAACACCCCACTGTCAATGTTAGACAGATAAATGAGACAGAAAATTAACAAGGATACTCAGGACTTGAACTCACCTCTGGACCAAGCGGAACTAATAGACATCTACAGAACTGTCCACCCCAAATCAACAGAATATACATTCTTCTCAGCTACACATCACACTTATTCTAAAATTGGCCACACGATTGGAAGTAAAACACTCCTAAGCAAATGCAAACAATCGTAAATCACAACAAACAATCTCTCAGACACAGTGCAATCAAATTGGAACTCAGGATTAAGAAACCCACTCAAAACCACACAAGTACATGGATACTGAACAAACTGCTCCTGAAAGACTGCTGGGTAAATAACTTAAATTTCAACCTTAGTAAAATTAAGGTAGAAATAAATACCTTCTTTGAAATCAATGAGAATAAAGACACAATGTACCAGAATCTCTGGGACACAGCTAAAGCAGCGTTTAGAGGGAAATGTATAGCACTAAATGCCCACAGGAGAAAGCAGGAAAGATCTAAAATCCACACCGTAACTTCACAATGAAAAAAACTAGAGAAGTAAGAGCAAACAAATTCAAAAGCTAGCAGAAGATAAGAAATAACTAAGATCAGAGCAGAACTGAAGGAGATAGACATGAACAACCCTTGAAAAAATCAATGAATCCAGGAGTTGGTTTTTTGAAAAGATTAACAAAATAGATAGACTGCTATCCAGATTAATAAAGAAGAAAAGAGAGAAGAATCAAATAGACACAATAAGAAATGATAAAGGGGATATCACCACTGATCCCACAGAAATACAAAGCTGCTGCCAGGGAATACTATAAACACCTCTATGCAAATAAACTAGAAAATCTAAAAGAAATGGATAAGTTCCTGGACCCATAAAAACTCCCAAGACTAAACTAGGAAGAAGTCGAATCCCTGAATAGACCAATAATAAGTTCTGAATTTAGACAGTAATTAATAGCCTACCAACCAAAAAAAGTCCAGGACCAGATGGATTCACAGTCGAAGTCTACCAGTGGTACAAAAAGGAGCTGGTACCATTCCTTCTGAAACTATTCCAAACAAAAGAAAAAGAGGGACTCCTCCCTAACTCATTTTATGAAGCCATCATCATCTTGATACCACAACCTGGCAGAGACACACACACAAAAAAGAAAATTTCAGGCCAATATCCCTGATGAATATTGATGTGAAAATCCTCAATAAAATACTGGCAAACCGAATCCAGCAGTACATCAAAAAGCTTATCCACCACGATCAAGTAGGCTTCATCCCTGGGATGCAAGACTGGTTCAACATATGCAAATCAATAAACGTAATCCATCACATAAACAGAACCAATGACAACAACCACATGATTATCTCAATAGATGCAGAAAACGCCCTTCATGAAATTCAACACCCCTTCATGGTAAAAATTCTCAATAAACTAGGTATTAATGGAATGTATCTCAAAATAATAAGAGCCATTTATGACAAACCCACAGCCAATATTATACTGAATGGCAAAAGCTGGAATCATTCACTTTGAAAACTGGTATAAACAAGGATGCCCTCTCTCACCACTCCTATTCAACATAGAATTGGAAGTTCTGGCCAGGGTAATCAGGCAAGATAAAGAAATAAAGGGGAATCAAGTAGAAAGAGAGAAAGTCAAATTTTCTGTTTGCAGATGACATGATTGTACATTTAGAAAACCCCATCGTCTCAGCCCAAAATCTCCTTAAGCTAATAAGCAACTTCAGCAAGGTCTTAGGATACAAAATCAATGTGCTAAAATCACAAGCATTCCTATACACCAGTAATAAACAGAGAGCCAAATCATGAGTGAATTCCCATTCACAATTGCTACAAAGAGAATAAAATAACTAGGAATACTGTCAATATTAGACAGATAAATGAGACAGAAAATTAACAAGCATACTCAGGACTTGAACTCACCTCTGGACCAAGCGGAACTAATAGACATCCACAGAACTGTCCGCCCCAAATCAACAGAATATACATTCTTCTCAGCTCCACATCACATTTATTCTAAAATTAGCCACATAATTGGAAGTAGAACACTCCTAAGCAAACGCAAACAATTGTAAATCACAACAATCTCTCAGACACAGTGCATATCCCTTACAAGGGATATGAAGGACCTCTTCAAGGAGAACTACAAACCACTGCTCAAGGAAATAAGAGAGGACACAAACAAATGGAAAAACCTTCCATGCTCATGGATAGGAAGAATGAATATCTTGAAAATGGCCGTACTGCCCAAGGTAATTTATAGATTCAATGATATCCCCAGCAAGCTAACATTGACTTTCTTCACAGAATTAGAAAAAACTACTTTAAATTTCATATGGAACTAAAAAAAGAGCCCGTATAGCCAAGACAATCCTAAGCAAATTGAAGAAAGCTGGAGGCATCATGCTACCTGACTTCAAACTATACTACAAGTCTACAGTAACCAAAACATCATAGTGTGGTACCAAAACAGATATATAGACCCAAGGAACACAACAGAGGCCTCAGAAATAAGGCCACACATCTACAACCATCTGATCTCCAGCAAACCTGGCAAAAACAAGAAATGGGGAAATGATTCCCTATTTAATAAATGGTGTTGGGAAAACTGGCTAGCCATATGCAGAAAACTGAAACTGGACCCCTTCCTTACACCTTATACAAAAATTAACTCAAGATGGATTAAAAACTTAAATGTAAGACCTAAAACCATAAACACCCTAGAAAAAAACCTAGGCAATACCATTCAGGACATAAGCATGGGCAAAGACTTCATGACTAAAACACCAAAAGCAATGGCAACAAAAGCCAAAATTGACAAAGGGGATCTAATTAAACTGAAGAGCATCTGCACAGCAAAAGAAACTATCATCAAAGTGAACAGGCAACCTAGAGAATGGGAGAAAATTTTTGCAATCTATCAATCTGACAAAGGGCTAATATCCAGAATCTAGAAAGAACTTAAAGTTACAAGAAAAAAACAACCCCATCAAAAAGTGGGTGAAGGATATGAACAGACACTTCTCAAAAGAAGACATTTATGCAGCCAACAAACATATGAAAAAAAAGCTCATCATCAGTGGTCATTAGAGAAATGCAAATCAAAACTACAATGAGATACCATCTCACGCCAGTTAGAATGGTGATCATTAAAATGTCAGGAAACAACAGATGCTGGATATGATGCGGAAAAATAGGAACAATTTTACACTGTTGGTGGGAATGTAAATTAGTTCAACCATTGTGGAAGACAGTGTGGTGATTCCTGCAGGATCTAGAACCAAAAATACCATTTGACCGAGGATTCCCATTACTGGGTATATACCCAAAGGATTATAAATCATTCTACTATAAAGTTACATGCACATGTGTGTTTATTGCAGCACTGTTCACAATAGCAAAGACTTGGAACCAACCCACATGGCCATCAGTGGTACAATGGATAAAGAAAATGTGGCACATATACACCATGGAATACTATGCAGCCATAAAGAAGGATGAGTTCATGTCCTTTGCAGGGACATGGATGTAGCTGGAAACCATCACTCTCAGCAAACTAACACAGGAACAGAAAATCAAACACTGCATGTTCTCACTCATAAGTGAGTGTTGAACAATGAGAACACATGGACACAGGGAGGGGAACATCACACACTGGGACCTGTCATGGGGTGAGGGTCTAGGGGAGGGATAGCAAAAATACCTAATATAGATGATGGGTTGATGGATGCAGCAAACCACCATGGCACGTGTATACCTATGTAAGAAACCCGCACATTCTGCACATGTATCCCAGAACTGAAAGTATAATAACAAAAATAATGTTAGAAAAACTAAAAGAAAATTTAGTCTTTGGCAGCATTCTGTTTGTGAGATGCATTTCATTAGAGATTTGCCACTTGCCTGAGGGCTCCATTATTGGACTCCCTGCTCCAGCTCACAGTGATCTCTCCCATTGCATTTGTTTCCCAGAGGTGCACTAACAAGTCCACACGAAGTTGGCACCATAATCAATGGAGCTTTATCATTTCACTATGCAGCAGGCCCAAAGTCTAAATTCCAGGGGTCAGCAGAGTTGATTGCCTCTGAAATTTGTGAGGGAGAACCTGTTGCTGCGTCTCTCCCAGGTGTCGGCATTGTCAGCAATCCTCGGTATGCATTGGCTGATTGACACATCACTCCAGTCTCTAACACCAACTTCACGTCACCTTTTCTTTGTCAGCTTCCTCCTCTCTTCTTATTTGGACCCCAATAATTGGACTTTGGGCTCACTCTAAATCCAGGATGAGGTCATCTGGAGATCCTTAAGCTAACCACATCGGAAAAGATCCTTGTTCCAAATAATGTCATCTTCACAGATTCTGGAGGCTAGAACTTGGGCATATCATTTTGAGGGGTGCTATTCAACCCTCTGAACTCACCTTTAAAATTGCATGGCTCTTTGTTCTACACTGTCCACCCAATCACACTTTCATTTTCATATGTGAAAATGTCCACCCAATCACCATTTTCATATGTGCCCTGCAGTAAGGAAGAGATAGAGCATAGTGAATAAAAGCATGGACACCGGAGCCACACAGCTTTGTTCAAATCCTGGCTACCTCATTAGCAGTGTAACATTAAATGAGTTACTTAAGCCATGCTGCCTTGGATCCTTATCTGTAACAACTGTGTATGGGAGTAGAACCTACCCCATAGAATGGTGGTATTAATAAGTTAGTATGGATAAGCATGTCCACGTGAGTGTTGCCAATTACCATTATGAAACAGTTCTCAAGAGTTGTTTTCTTTAGCACGTGGTGTCACTTTGAAGGGTGGACTTACAGGAATGGCCAGTGGAATTGCTAATTCTACAGAGTTGCGTGTAGCTAGGAGAGATCAATTTCAGGATCTTAGGTCAATAACTTGGCAAAATGGCAGAGATGGCTTAAGTATGGAGCAGGCTCAGGGAAAGAAGGCTTTTTATGTCAGTTCTGCCCCTAAATAGAACCTTCCTGTGTCTGGGGGCCACAGAGCATGAGGAGGTAAGTTATAAAAAAGGATGGGGAAGAAATAGTTGTTTTTGTTTAAGTGTGTTGACTTTGAAGTTACAGCAGCCATGTTATACTGGTGATTTGAAATGTGGGATGAATGCTTGGGAGCAAAGATTTTCTAGTTATTCACAGAGAAGTCAATGCAGGGACCAAGGGAGAAAACTTAGAAAGAGAAAAATAACCTCAGAGAACAACAAAGCTTAGAAAACATCCAGTTAAGGAGGATAGAAGATGAAAAGTTGCCACTAAGAAAAATAAAAACTGGGGTTTAAGTATAAAAGTGAAAAGATAGAAATATGCAGTCTCTTAGAAAGTATGGGAAGGAATTTCATGAAGGAGATCACAATTGTTGCAGGCTCTAGCAAGGTCAAGGGCACTTCCAAGAACAAAGGCCTTTTCTTGGTTTGTAAGCAGAAAATCAAGATTGAATTTCAGATGAACAGTATTTGTAGCATGCTGGGAAATCCACTCAGATTGCAAAAGGTTACTCACTGTATATGCTAAGGAATTGGAGCCAATCACGACTCAAGAGGTTTAGCAGTAAAAGAAATACAGAAAGAAAAGTTGGTAGCAGAGTTATTCTAGAAGGAGGATTTTTCAGCGTATTTGAAAGTGATGAAGATGGAGCTAACAGAGTGTAATAATGGAAATGATAGGGCCTTGTTTTCAGGAAGGCCTAGAAGACGCAGGAGGAATGAGGAGGAAGGGGAGGGGACCTCAGGACAGGGAATGATTTAGAGGAGCCACTAATGGCAATGCCCAAGGGGTCAGTCACAGACAGCACTTAATTCTTTATTTTAATTAATTTATTATACTTTAAGTTCTGGGATACATGTGCAGAACGTGCAGGTTTGTTACACAGGTATACACGTGCCATGGTGGTTTGCTGCATCCATCAACCCATCATCTACATTAGGTATTTCTCCTAATGCTCTCCCTCCTCTAGCCTCCCACCCCCTACAGGCCCCAGTGTGTGATGTTCCCCTCCCCATGTCCATGGACAGCACATATTTCTATAATCCAGTGAAGACGTATGCCTATACTTGCCATTGCTTCAGCTGATCCTTCTTGAGCACCCACTATGAGGCAGCCACTAAACAATAGAAACGAAAGAAGAAAGCAGATCCCAAATCCTCATAGAGCTCACATTCTTGCTTTTCTGTGAGCTTAGATCTAAGTTCTAGAACGACAAAGTAGCATTTGACATTTCATACCATTGTTTAGAAACCAAAGAAAGTCGAAGATGTGTCACCTGGGGTTCAAGAGTGAATTAAGCAGGTTAATAATCCTAAATTGTTAATCTAGAGTTCTGGCCGGAGCAGGGTTTCTCAACCTCTGCACTGTTGTTATTTTGGACTGGATAATTATTTGTTGGGCAGGGCTGTGCTGGGTGTTGTAGGCTGTTCAGCAGCATCCCTGGTCTCTACCACTGGACATTGGCCAACAGTACCCTACCCTCCCACATGAAGTTGTGACAACCAAAAATGTCTCCAGACATTGCCAAATGTCCCCTGGAAAGCAAAACTGCCCCAGGTGAGTTGCGCTGAGCTTACGAGACATCCACAGGTATGTTTAAAAGAGGTCAACCTGTGAAGCTGTGGAAAGAGGAAGAAGGTTGAGTGATGTGGGAGCAGAGAGCAGTCGCAGCAGGAGAGGCCATAATGATAGTGAGCGGCAGATTCAGTATGAATGAGAAATTAGGAGGGTTGACATGATAGGGGTGTTTTCAGTGGTACCAGACTGAACTTGAAATCGGAAGACCTGGGTTGAACTTAACTTCTGTGCATGACTGAGTAATACTTTTATGTGCTAAGCTTACCTTCTGTGCAATGAGGGTAATATTACAGGATTCTTTTTTTAGAGTTAAATTAAATACTGCATGTTAAATTATTTTATACAATGCAAAGTACTCTACAAAAAATACTTTTAAGGGTATAATAACAAAGAGCTTTAGCTATTTCACATGACCACTTTAGAACATATGCAACACTTCAAAGACGAATAGTTTATAAAACATCAAGTTTTTAGGTTTGTTCATCGGTTTCTGAAAACTTACCAATGCCTTCAACACTTTCTGTATAATCATAATGGAAGACAGACTTTGGACAAAATCAGGCTACAAGGTTTGGATAGTGGCCTAAAATTATGTGTTCTTTTTGTGTCCTGTGAATTTAGAAATAGGACATTTCTGTTTTACTTTAATGTGTTTAAATTTGTGTAAAGTACTGCTATATTTGGGCCTGAAAATCCTGTGTTTTTACCACCCTGTAGTCTACACAGCCTAAAAATATAACACTTTTCCAGAAAGGTTTCAATGCCTAGATTCTGCCTGAGTTTTACAGCCAACTTATGAGCTCCAGATAATATAGGTTTATGATGGAAATGCTGACAGGCTTCTTGGTCTACCAGTTAGAACGTTCTGGCACTGACTCGCAGGAAGCAACACTTAAAGGTTATTCATTATGTTCTTTCAACAAAGAAGGCTCTGAGAAGGTGAGTCTGGGTGAATTCACAGCATTAAAAGCAACATGCTTTGACGTTTAAATTAGTTTAATACAGTACTCTCTTGGTCTTAATTCTGGGTGGATGTCAGACTGTTTCTACTTTTAAAGAAGTCACCATCTGGAAATGAGTGCAAAAAAATCCTTAGGAATATCCTTTGTAAAATGTGTATAAAATATTGTAACTGTTCCTATGAGCTAAATCTGCCTGGAACACCTGCATATATTCTTTCCCAATGGCCCACTGGAATCATGATTGTCTGATGGCTCTGATAGGTTCTTGTTTGCTTCTCGTGGTAGAGAACAGCTTCATTCTGCCTTATACTGGTATTAGGGTCCATACTTCTCTATGTGTTATTACCCTGAACAGACTCCCATGAGTTAACAAAACTGCCAGAGTGGCAGGAAAGCCAAAATTTAACTAATTTCATGAGTTAATTTCAAAGTTGCTCTCTTACTAAAGGTTTTTTCACATGAAAACTAGCTATAGGTACCTACTGAAGTTTAACAAATAACTTCAATAAATTCTCAGTTTCACACCATTACCATTAATATGAGAATTTATTTGCCATTTGAACTTCAGAACTGGCATCAAACTACAGTGGATACCAATTTTAATGCTTTGGAGCTTTGAGTGCATGGCAGAAATGAGCATTAGAAGATAATAAATCAATACAGAATGGCTTGTAATATAATTTCCCAAACCGCTTATTAAGATCTCCTTTATAAAAAGGACATAATTTCTATATACCCATAAATGATGCTATGGTCATTATTCTAGTTTGCCTTTCTTGCCTGTAAAGTAATACACTTATTTGTTCATGAGATGACAGCAAAATCTTTATTACTGTAAGGTTTTACTGAAAAAATGCACATTAAAATAAACCAGAAACACTGAAGTAATCTTTTGTCAGTTGAATTCATATTCCTGCCCTTTTAAAATGATCACATGAAAGTAGAAAGATATTGCATATCCTTAGTGAGATATTTTTACTATTCAGAAGACAAACACAACTTCCATGTACTAAATCTTCTCTTATCAAACAAAATCTGCTATAGCCTCAATGTAGAGGTTTCTTTCCATTATTTTTTGAAGTCCTTACTTTAGGATTTTGGCACCCTAAATGGAAAAGTCTTTTTATACGTGCTATTCCTTTTTAAAATCTGCTGTATTATTCTCAACACTGTCTAGATTGCCCATTACTTGTTTGCAGACCTTCTGGGCATTTTCCCCAGTGCCACCCAAATTAGACCTCAAGAGACTTTTCTATTGAGTACCTCTTCCATTACTGTTTCTTCTGTTTATTTCCAAAAACATATTAATATTGGATAGTGCCAAAAGATTGAGTGGAAGCCATGATTATATGGCATAAAGACATTTTTCAAGAAAAAAGATTCACTGCAGTTTTTAAGGCATCTGTATGTAAGACAGGGTTGGAGAAGCAGCGAAATGGGGAGAGAATTACGATGGTACGATGACTTTGATTTTTATTAAAATTCTGTAATTTTTTTCACTTTGAGTGCATAGCCCTGCATTTACTGGACTTACTTGGAAAAGATCTGCTTTATTTGATGAGTTCCAAGACGTGTGTGTGTGTGTGTGTGTGTGTGTGTGTGTGTGTGTGTGTATACACATATGCATCTACATACAAAAATAAAGAGAAATTTATCCCTACCACTTAAATTCCAGCACTATGCAACAGTTTCAATCCATCACTATTGTTAACATTAATCATCCAAAGCATGGTTAAATATCACGTTGTATGTTGCAATCTATGCATTAGGCTGCTTTTAAAAATTTGACAATCATGTAGCTTTTTAAAACAATTCTAATCCAATTCCTTCTCAAGACATGCTTTTGGTTAAAAACTGTCATGTCTTTCACCCGCGTATTTGTCCTGACTCTCCTGTGATTGAATGTATCCCTTCTTCCTATTCTTTCCCTCTTAATTGATTCTATTTTTTCCAATTATTGTCAGCTCCACGTAGACTCCACTATTATTCAGTGAATCACTGAAAGTTATTTTAGTGGGAAGTGACAGAAATTCAGCTCAAAATTACTTATACAGAAAAGAGACTCCAATGACTTGTGCAACTAAAATGTCCTGGGGGCGATCTGCCTTCAGGTAAGAATTGATTCAGTAGCTCTAACTAGCAACACGCTGCGGGGGCAG
Source organism: Homo sapiens (assembly GCF_000001405.40). Lineage (NCBI taxonomy): Eukaryota > Metazoa > Chordata > Mammalia > Primates > Hominidae > Homo > Homo sapiens. The sequence goes on along the minus strand of NC_000004.12, from coordinate 187,396,288 downwards.
GGTCTTCCTAGCAGGGAGGAGCCGTTTACCACCTGCACTCTTCAGAGTCATTGGCACATGACGGTAGCACAAAGCACAACTTGATAGTTTTTAATTTTGTGGATTCTGTTTTTTGGATATGATCTTCTATTATGTAAAATACTTACATGGATTTGAAATACAGTATAAAGCAAGATGCAATCAGACAAGTGAAGTTTCCATCCTTCTGTATATCCTGATGCAGGTCTCTTGTTAGATGACCATTGTTTTATTTTTAAAATATACAAGTGAACATATATATTTACTGCGTATATATAATATGTACATAATCTATGTGTATAGATATGTATATATACAAACAGTAAATAAATATAAATGTATATTCACACAATGCATGGTACTACATGAGACTTTTCTGTGCAATGATAAATATGATAATATGTGTATTTACTGGTTATATATACATATGTACATAAAGGTATGTGTGTAGATATTTATGTATATATATAAACAGTAAATATATTCACACAATACATGGTACTACATGAGACTTTCCTGTGCAATGATAATTTATATAGCTAGGCCATTTGCTTTCAACTAGCCTCAATAATAATAAAATCTTTAATTCAAAAGCAACATTGGCTGGGCATGGTGGCTCATGCCTGTAATCCCAGCATTTTGGGAGGCCGAGGTAGGTGGATCACTTGAGGCCGGGAGTTCGAGACCAGCCTGGCTAACATGGTGAAATCCTGTCTCTACTAAAAATACAGAAATTAGCCAGGCATGGTGGTGGGCGCCTGTACTCCCAGATGCTCGGGAGGTTGAGGTGGAAGAATCGCTTGAACCCAGGAGGCAGAGGTTGCAGTGAGCCAAGATTGTGCCACTGCACTGCAGCCTGGGTGACAGAGTGAGCTCCTGTCTCAAAAAAAAAAAAGTAACTTTATTTTAAATATTATAGAAACATATATAAATCTGTATATTTAGCCCCACATCAACTCCATGTAGGTTCATATTTGAATAATATTTCTATTCAACTGCACTCAATATTAACTTGTTTAGTTTTTGTATGTTTTTAACAATTCTCTCTTACAGCATTTCCAATCTAAACAGAATGTAAAACAATTTGGGGAAGTGTCCCGTTCCTCCTACAGGCAAAGATTTTCCAATTAATTGTTGTTGATGTCTTTGTTCAAGAAAAATTAAGGCATATTTTCCTTTTTCAAAATCAGAAACCTTGCTGAAGGGCATATTCAGTTATTTGACAACTTCTGACTGTGTCTAAGAATCATGATGAATTACTGTTCAACTTCAGGGTTCGTTTTATCATATAAAATCATCTATGGTTCCCTGAACATTTTATAACCCTCTACCCTGAATAATCCCCTCCCTCTGCTTAAGTCATTCTTCAATACTTATGTTGTCCTCCTCTTAATAAGCTACTTTGATCTACCATCTCACAGACAAAATTGAGGGCTTCTTTTTTATACTCTCAAAACACTGAGTGCAAATCCCACTTTCAGTTGTCACTCTATGTGATCAGTTTGCCTGTTTCCCTCTTATTTGGTTGAAGTTCCCCTAGGACATGACTGCATTTTTCTTTCTCAATACTTCTAACACTTAACACAGTGTCTGGCACAGTAGATGCATTAAGAAGTTGTTGTATGTTCAGATGGTTAATTTTGCTGCATTTATTTTTATACTCTGATGTGCCCAACACAATGCCTAACCACAGATGGAATATGAGGCGTCTTTCTTGAACTGCAAAGTTGAACCACTAAAAGGGATATTAGCATCTATTTAGGTTCACTTAGCATTAATGCTTCTATTTTTACTTAATGTTATAAAAAGAAAACTTACCAAAATTGCCCAATTTTAGAAAATTGATATGGAACAGAGTCTATGGGTTTGGAAATATAATAATAACAGCACATTATCTGGAGATAATGAGATTTTGTTTATCTCTTTTTTTCTAGCCTGCAGTTGCAGTATTCTCTCTAGGTCTTTCTGTCATGCATTCTGAAGTGTTATCTCTCATTGAGTTGACTAGAATGCAGAACCTTCCCTCTGATTATAACAACAAAATTTTTTCTAAAAAAAAAACCACCCATAGTTAGATTATAGCAGGGTGACTGTGCTCTCAAATATTTAGAAAATAAATAACATTGAGAAAATAAATACAAATGATTGCTGGTAGACTGAATACTTCTGGAATTTGAACATTTTTTCATGTGACCTTCTTTAATGACTTTAATACGAATTTGTTATTCTCTTTTATTGTCTAAGTATTAATATTCCTCACTCTGAAATACTCTCATGAAGTTCCTAAAATTCTTGCATTCATTACTTGCACTTCAGAAAATAACATCTGGCCTGTAAACTATGAATAGGAAAAACATATTGTCGAGAGCAGAATGTAGACTTTTTCTATTTTAAAATTAACTTGAATCTGAATCTGCTATACGGGAAAGTATAATACTCCACAGACTAACTTTCTGATGGAAGTGAACTGTGTGCTTCCCTCTAGAAGGACTGAGACAAAGTCATTTGCCAGCATCCAACAAACACAGACCACATGTGCTGCCTCAGGGAACCCTTATCTCATTTGGGCCTATATACTTACAAACTCTTCATACATTTCCTATGAAGAATGACTCATCAAGTAAATTATTTGATCTTGAGAAAAGTCAGTCTAAATCTGGTATTTTTTAAGACTTTATAGATGGTAAAAGAATAATACTAACTTTTTGCCTTGAATGAGGAAATGACATTTGTTATAATCTTCTTTCTGAGACTGCTCCTAAGTTTTAGAGATAATTTATCTGCAGGAACCTCCAAAAGGGATGACATGTCATCATAAATATATTAGCATGTATTTATAATACTATTGATGGAAAACAATATTGGTTCAATTACTACATGTAATTTTTTATATGTTGTTCTTTTGCTGAGGGAGGTTCAGGTTCAAATTTCATTTCTGTACCATGGTGGATGGCTTCCATTTGCCCTTCCGTAGCCACCCTTCACCTTTCACCCAACTGTATCTGCTTTCTGCCCCGGAAAGTCCAGGTAACACAAACTAAATCAGTGGGCTCACTTCAGCTCTGATTTCCTGTTCAGCGTGGGCCAGGGAGGCATCGCTAGGAAGTCACGGTGGCTGAAGAGGGAAGTCGGTTCTTTATCCCTCTGGCTTTCTCCCTGCCAGGTATCCTCCAGCTGACTTATCAGTCCAGGGGAGGCCACAGCTCCTCTCCAGCAGCTCCTAACACAAGGATCTCTCCAGATTTTGATAAAAACTCCTGTCAGCTTAGTCCTGCAAACAGCTTCCTGTTACTAGCTCTGGAATATTGTACCTCCCATTTTGGTTTTTCTAAATCCTGTTTTCAGTTTTGTAAATAGTCATCTATAAAACTCTCCTAAAAATGCTAAATTTGAGTGAGTCATCTGTTTCCAGACAGGACCCCGACATATTTTAGAAAATGGATATGGAACAGAGTCTATGGGTTTGGAAATACAGTAATAACAACACATTATCTGGAGATAATGAGATTTTTGTATATTGTCCATAAACTTTGATATACAATCTTTTAATTTTTATGGAGATTTATTAGTGTTCATAAGTACGGTATCTGAATAGACACCTAATAGCAAATTTGCAGACATCCGTAATACAAGTAAAAATGAGAAATAGCCATACAACATAGACTATCTGTTCGTAGACTTTGTAGTCCATAAACTTAATTTAGAAGCAAAGGATCTCATTCAGAGTCACATTTCTCATTTTTAGAACACAATTATAATTAGCTTTTCTCCCTGTTTGCCCTCTCTAAGACATCTTATAAACTACAAATTGGAATGCAAAAGCCTAAAAGCACACTGACAACAAAAGTAAGTGACAGATGACAGCTAAGCAGCAAGAAAGGTAATAGAAAATATAAATAGCAGACCCAAGATTTAAAACACACAGCTGTCTAGAGCGAAAGTAAAAGTAAACATTTTCAGACACCTCAAAAGACCCCTGGAGCATCATCACACACTCCAACTCAAGGGATAAACTCATGTCTATATCTCAGGCTACATTTACCTAAGAACACAGGCATAAAAATATATTAGAAAAACCCTCTCAATGAAAATTGAATTTTGATAATTTTTTAACTTCAAGTGGCATAATTTAGTTACCTGGGGAAAGAGAAGGATTTACATTGGAATTTTTCACACACAGATACATATCATATAAAGAGTGAACAGTATGAATTTAAATCTATCACATTTTCATTTATCCTTCTACCTACTAATTCTATTTATTCTCTGTATCCATTTCTCTTAATTTTTGACAATTTTAATCTACCTGAAGGTGGTATTTCCAACTGTTTGCTTTCTCAATTTGACTTCTTCTTTTCCGATAATTTTGTCTTCCATCCGATCTCAGACATGAACTAGACCTTGTCATTACCGACATGTACTGGCCCACTATGATTTTGGTTTTATAAGTCAACATTTCCTGACCACTACCTCCTCTGTTTAGCTCACTTAATCTATGAAAACAACTTATCAAAGCTTAAATTTCATGGCCAATGATAGTAACCTCACTTTGAATATGTGCTCACTCCCTTTCCTTTTTTCAGTGTGCTGTGCTAGGTAAGGCCCCTACTAAAGATATTCATGTCCTGATCCCTGGACCTGCAAAGGTAACTTTATATGGCAAAAAAAAGAATTTTGGAAATGTGATTAAATTAAGAATCTTGAGATGGAGAGATTATTCTGGATTTTTGGTGTGGGCTTTAAGTGCAGTCATATGTATCCTTCTAAGAGAGAAGCAGAGGGAAAGTTGGCACATGGAAGAGAAGGCCCTGTGACCACGAGGGCAGAGCTCATTGTGATGCAGCCACAAGCCAAGAAATGCGGCAGCCACCAGAAGCTGGAAGAGGAAAGAAACGATTTTCCTCTGGAGCCTTAGAGGGAGTGCAGCTCTGTCAACCCGTCTATAGCCCTTGATACTGATTTTGACTTCTGGCCTCCAGAACAGTGAGAGAATAAATTCCTGTTGTTTTAAGTCACCACATTTGTGACAATTTGTTACAACTATGGGAAACAAATCAACTCAGTTTTTAGTACTTAAAATGAAAACACAACCTTAATTCCAACTCCTGCTTATTCCATACTTGCATCCATGTAACTGAACATAGTTGGGTAAAAACAATGACTGGTCCAGCTTTAAATTCACATGTTCAGTTTATGACCAAAATTATTAAGTGGGTCCTTGATGTTCCCAGCAACCCTGTTATGTTTGCTAATCTATCCGAGCATCTTGATGACAGTTGCATATCTTCTCTTCTTCCCTCCTCCATCTCCAATACTTCCTCCCTCATCTTCACTTTCATCTGATGATCTTGCTCCTTACTTCATTGAGAAAGCAGGAAACCAAAAGAAAGTTCTGCAGAATCCTATCATGCCATCTACCCACCAACTGTCTTTCTGCCTGAAACCACAAATTATTTATGATCCTATGTAAGTGCAGCCCCTCTATTTATGCAGGACAGCCTACTCTTTGTCTATTCTGAGATAATTGTCTCTCTGTCATACATCATCAGCCTTCCCTTCTCTACTGAATTATTGCCTTTACTACTGTTATTTCATGAATCTTTAAAATTCTTAATTCCCACTTTCTTATTATCCCTTGTAGTAAAACTCTTCTAAAGATTGTCTTTTTTCATAGTCTCAGATTCTCCTTTCCTTATTCTCTTAAGGCATTCAAATCTGGCTTTCAGTTCATCCATTCCTCTAAAATTGCTTTGTCAGAGATCACCAATAACCTCGAGATTGCTAAAACCAATAGTCAATGATCAGCTCTCATATTTCTTGACTTACCAGAAATATTTGATGTAGTTGTATACCCCTTTCTCCCTAAACATTTTTTTCCACACTTGGCTGCTAGAATATTACATTATCTTTGGTTTTTCTCCAACGTCACTCCTTTGTCTCTTTCTTAATGTTTGAATAACCTGAGTTCGGTCCTTGATCGTCTACTCTGCGTGCTTTCATTCCTTTGATAATCTCCAGCCAAGACCACTGTCCTGAACTGTGGTCTTAAGTATCCAGCTGTCCCCTTGATAGCTCCATTTGGGTGACAAATACACATGTCAAACTAAATGTTTCCAAAAACTGAACTCCCGATTTCCACCTCCCTCAAACGATCTGCTTACAGCTTCCCCTATCTTGGTTGGTGAAACTCCGTCTGTCTTCCCGTTCAGGTGAAAAGCATCGGAATCCCGTTTGATTTCCCTCATTCTTTAATATCCCAGCTCCACTATGTCAGGAAATCATTCTGACTTCACTTTCAGAATATACCGAAATCGAGATCCCTACTGCTTCCGGCTTCCTTTCTGCCTCTCTGCAGCCGCCATCTTCTCTTTCCTCTACCTCGATGCCCTGCTGAGCGGCTCCCTGTTTCTGTGCCTCTTCCTGTGCTGTCTATTCTTAACATATGAGCTGGAGCGCTCCTTCTGAGTATCGGTCAGAGCATGCCACTCTGCTCAGAACTCTTCTAATTTCACTTAGACGAAAATTCCCCAAACTTACAATGGACTACAAGTTTCCACCTGATGAAGCTCCTCTGTTACCTTTTGAGCACATTTCTAACTGTTCTTCCAACTCAATGGCCCTTTACTGTTCCTCAAACGTGCCAGGAACACTCAAGCTCTGGGGCCTTTTTGCCCTGGCCCTCCTTCTGCTGGTTACTCTTCTGAATTATCAGCACTGCTAATTTCCTCACCTCTTTTAAGTGGTTTCACTTAAAATCCTTCTCAACCAGACATACACTAACCATCTTATTTAAAATGGCACCACAATGGAACTCTTAATTCTCCTTATCTGTTGTACATACTAAACAGCTGACTTATTTTTGTGTGTATAGTTTATTGTCGGTCTCCCTCCTCAGAAAAGTAAACTTCCCCAAAGCAAGATCTTTGTTTTGTTCCCTGATACAGTCTAAGCACTTAAAAACTTCCTGGCACATAGTAGGTGTTGAAATATTTATTTTATTGCTAGAATGAACTCAGAGTTGCTTCAGAGGTTTAAAATTTTTATCATAAAAGATATAATGAGCGTAAATTAATATAATTTTAATAAGTCATGTCAGTCTTTGAAACTAATATTAAAACTCTCATCTCTTCAAATATTTTAATTTTGAACAAAAGCACATTATTATTATCATAGGAAATTTTATTATGATGGCCTGGAAATTCACTGGTTTTATAACAGGCTTTCTGTCTTAAAATTACACTGAAAGATGGAGCAAGCTGTCCTCTTCATCACAAACCAAGCAGGATAATATAAGATAGTTAATCTATACAGTTCATTAATGTGGTGCCATATATACATGGATTTATACAAATAATCTACACTCCATAGTTTTAGAAAGTTAAGGAAGCAGAATTTTAAAACTAATGTATATTGACTATCTAGCTTCTATATTTAAGACATTGTGCAACCTAAATTCTACTATTAAAAACTTTAGTGTTTTTGTCACTGTGTGAAGTAATTTACATGTGCTGCCTCAGTTAGTTTTCTCAACAGTTCTATCAAGTAGGTAAAAATTGTACACATTTTATATGTTAGGAGACTGAGGTGAGAAGAACTAAAGCCATCTTTTCCAAGTGGCACTAATTGAAGATGCCAGAACGGGAGCTAGATTTAGAATTCCAGACCCCAAAGCATATGTAATACCCACTACAGATTTATGTAGGAGTCTAGGTTCAAATGCCATTTTTAATTTAGGGACATTGCTTTCTGAAAATGCAAGTTCTCAAGAAACAGAAAGCAGCTCCATAATAATGTATATAGTAGCTGTTTGGGATATCCATTCTAGAAATCCATGCATTCTGAACATAACTTGTTCTCAGCTCTTAAGACACCTTAGGCGACTTGTCACCCAGAATTTTGGCTTAACTTTTATCACATGACATTATAAAGTACAAATGTAAAATAAATGTCCTTTATCAGTAGATCTGCAGAGATCAGTCACTGGTTGTTGATTCAAGAGAAATACACACACACAAATGTGTTCTGAAATGCACACACACAAAACAAGGATTTCCGGAAGGAGAGAAAAATTCCTGTTATCCACAATGGATATGAGGTTGAAATAGAATTCAGTGAAAAATAAAAAGTCTAGCAAAATTCATAGAGTTAGGCCTGATGAAAAGCTTAAGTAATAGGAATCTATAATTCACGCTCACAATTGTGAAATGTCACTGAGGAGGTCTCCAAACAAATATGCTTTGTGGTGGGCGAATCTTTATGGAAAGTATGAGGGGGATTCTTCCATTTTAAGATACTTAGAGCGGCAAAATATGTAACCACTGGCGGCAGTTCCAAAGCCTTTGAAGAACTACAGGATGACAGTCTGGCTCTGCTCAAATGTAGTTCCCGGATTTTATCTGCAATTATTTACATGTGAGTCATTCTTGATGTGTATTTACTCTGAAACAGTGAAAGATTACATTTCAAAATAAAGAAAGTGTCTTTTTCCAAGGTATTTATTGACCTTAAAAATCTATCTAAAATTATTCTTCAAAAAAATTTAGTGATTTTCAGCAATCAGTAGAGGGATAAATTAAAATTGAACAATTAATAAGCTAAATAATCATAAAAATGAGAAAAACAAGTTTATGTTTGGATATATATTTAGATTTAGGATTTATATTTAGTAATTAAAATGTAAATGAAAATCTGATGACCATGAATTTACAAATGTTTGATTTCTGTTGAGAAAATTGTTTTCCAGTACTGGTATAATCTGTTTTTAAAACAGCTTTGTTGAGATATAGTTCAAATACCATAAAACACACCCACTGCAAGTGTACGGTTTGATGGTCCTTAGTGTATTCAGAGTTGTGCATCTACCACCACAATACATTTTTATATATTGTCATCACCTCTAGAAGAAACCTTACAGCCATTAGCTATCACACCCAATCATCCCACCCTGGCCTCCCTAGGCAGCCACTCATCTACTTTCTGTCTATAGATTTGCTGATTCTGAGCATTGTATATAAATGGAATTATACAATATGTTGTCTTTTGCGACTGACTTTTGTCTTAGCATTATGTTTTCAAGGTTCATCCATGTTGTAACACATCAATATTGCATTATTTTCTATTGCCAAATAGTATTTTGTTGTAGGAATAAACTTCCTTTTGTTTATTCATTAATCAGTTAAAGGACCTTTGTATTATTCCTACTTCTTGTTCTGATGAATAATGCTACTATGAACATTAGTGTACATGTTTTTGTGGGGACATGTTTTTATTCCTCTTGGGTATATACCTAAGAGCGAGATTGCTGGCTCAGATAGTAACTCTGTATTTAGCCTTTTGAGGAAGAAGTGCCCGATGTTTTTCTAAGTTGCTGCATCATTTTACATTTTACCAGCGTCGTATGAGGGTTCCAATTTCTCTTTATCTTTTTCAACACTTAGATCTGTCGTTTTTATTATACCCATCCTAGTAGGCATGAATGACATTGTGACTTTTGCCTTGCATTTCCCTGGTGACTATTGATGTTGGACATCTTTTCATATGCTTTTGGTTATCTATGCATCTTTGGAGAAATTTCTATTCAGATTCTTTGCCCATATTTTAATTGGATTGGTTGCCTTTTCATTGTTAAATTGCAAGAGTTCTTTATATATTCTAGATACAAGTCGTGTGTGTGTGTGTGTGTGTGTGTGTGTGTGTATAAAGTTCTATATATAATTTGCAAATATTTTCTCCCATTTTGTGGGTTGTACTTTCATTTTCTGGATGGCCTCAAAGTACAAAAGTTTTTAATTTCAATGAAGTCCAATTTACCTATTTTTTTCTTTTGTCATTTATGCTTTCAGTAGACTTTGCCTAACCTGAAGTTATGAAGATTTACTTCTATGCTTACTTCTAAGAGCTTTATAGTTTTAGCTTGTACTTTTAGGTCTTTGGTCCATTTGGGATCCATCTTATGTATGATGTGAGGGAGGAGCCCAACTTTATTATTTTGCATGTAGATATCCAGGTGTTTATTGCTATTTGTTAAAAAGACAGTTGTTTCCCGTATAAATGGCCTTGAAACTCTTGATGAAAATCGGTTGACCCTAAGCATGAGCGTTTATTTTTGGACTCTAATTTCGATTCCATTGATCTGTATGTCTATTCTTATGCCAGCACCATATTATCTTTACTAGTGTGGTTTTATACTATGTTTTAAAATCAGGATGTGTAGGTCCTCCAATTTTATTTTTCTTTTTTGAAAATAGTTTTGGCTATTCTTTGTCCTGGCATTTTGTTGTGAATTTTAAGTTAAGCTTCTTAATGACCACATTGAATATGTACACCAATTTGGGGAATATGACCATGATAAAAATATTACATGTTCCGATCTATGAACATGGGATGTCTTTCTTTAATTTCTTTCAATCATGTTTTATAGTTTCAACATACAAATTTTGCACTTCTTTTAATATTTTTAAGCATTTTATTCTTTTGTATCCTATTGTAAATGAAATTGTTTTCTTAATTTCATTTCAAAATATTTATTGCTAGTGTGTGAAAATAGAATTGATTCTTCTATATTGATGTTGTATATCCAAACACTCTGAACTTATTAGTTTTAATAGTTTTCTTTCAGTGCATTCATTAGGATTTTCTATATGCAAGATCACGCCATCTACAAATGGAAATAATTTTACCTCTTCCTTTCCAATTCTGGCATTTTAAGTTTCATTTTCTTGCCTAATTTCCCTGGTTATAGTCTCCAGTACAATGTTGAATTAATGGAGCAAGGGTAGACATCACCATCTTGTTCCTTTCTCAGGGGGAAACATTCAGTCTTTTACCATTGTGTGTTTTTAGCTGGGGGATTTTGTAGATGCTCTTTATCAGGTACAGGAAGTTCCCTTGTGTTTCTAGTTGGTTGAGTGCTTTCATCATAAAGAAATTAGATTTTGTCAAAACTTGTTCTGCATCTATTGAGATAATTATGTGGTTTTTGCCCTTTATTTCCTTTGAAATGGTGTATTACATTAATTGATTTTCTAAGGTTAAACTGACTTTGCATCCCTGATGTAAACCCCTCTCATTTATGATGTATAATCATTTTTATGGGTTGCTGGATTTGGTTTCCTAGTATTTGGTTGAGAATTTTGTGTATGTATTCATAAGAGATATTGATGTGCCATTTTCTTTCCTTTTCTTAAAGACTTTTTTTTAGAGCAATTTTAGGTTCACAGGAAAATTGGGAGGATGGTACAGAGATTTCCCATATTTCCCCTGCTCTCACACATAGCCAGTCTCATTGTCAACATCCCCTAAAAGACTGGTATATTTGTTACAACTGATAATCCTACACTGACACATTATAAATCACTCAAAGTCCATAGTTCACATTAGGGTTCACTCTTGGTATTGTATGTTCTGTGGGTTTGGACCAATGTATAATGACTTGTATCCATTATTATAGTATCATACGAAGAATTTTTATGGCCCTAAAAATTCTCTGTGCTCCAAAATTCATCCCTACCCCCACCCCAACTCCCAGCAAGCACTGATATTTTTTACTGTCTCTATAGTTTTGCCTTTTCCAGAATGTCATATACAGTTGACCCTTGAACAACATGGGTTTGAACTGCAGAGGTCCACTAATGTGTGTATTTTTTCAACTAAACACAGATGGAAAATACAATATTCATGAGATGTGAAACCTGTGTATATAGAGGGTTGACTTTAGATACACAGGTTCTCCAGTGCTGACTGCAAGACTCAAGTGCACATGGATTTTGGTATACACAGGGCTCCTGGAACCAATCACCTGTAGGGCAAGAGGCAAAACTATACAGATAGTAAAACAAATCAGTGGTTGCCATAGTTTAGGGTCAGGGTAGGGATGAATTTTGAAGCACAGGCTGTAATTGGAATCATACAGTGTATAGTCTTCAGATGGCATTAGTTTTGGTAGTATGTATCTTTATAGGAATTTCTCCATTTCATGCAAGTTACCTAATTTGTTGGTGCTCCATTATCCAAAGTATTTCCTTATAATCCTTTTTGTTTTCTTTTAAAGTCAGTAATAATATCCTCTTTTATCCCTGGTTTTGATAATTTGGCTGTTTCTCATTTTTTCTTGCTGAGCTTAAAAGGTGTTTTTTTTTTTTTTCCCAATTTTGTTGATCTTTTCAAAGACCTTTTCAAAGCCAACTTTTGGCAGTGTGGATTTTCTCTGTTGTTTTTCTATCCTCCATGTCATTAATTTCCTCTCTGATCTTTCTTAGTCTCTTATTCTGCTTGTTTTTGGTTTCATTTGCTCTTCTACCAATGTCTTACAGTAAAATTGAGATTCTTGATTAATGATCTTTTTTTAAAAAAAGATATTTATATCCACAAATTTCTTCTAAGCAAGATTTTAGCAGTAGATCATAAATTTTGGTGTGTTGTGTATTTTAATTTATATTAATATTCATATTAATTTCTCTTGTGATTTTCTTGACCTATTAATTATTTAGAAACATGTTAATTTCTGCATATTTATGGCTTTCTCTCATTTCTTTCTGTTTTTAATGCCCAATTTCAAAATTAGAGAAAAAAATCATGGTTGGAGAAGAAACTATGGTTTCAAACCTTTTACATTTATTGAGGCTTATTTTATGGCATAGATCTATCCTAGCAAATGTTCCATGTGTGCTTGAGAACATGTATTCTGCTGTTGTTGGCTGGAATTCCTGTAGTTATCTCTTAGGTGTGATTGGTTTACAATCTTATTCAAGCATTCTGTTTCTTTGTTGTTCTTCTGCATTATTATTCATTCATTTTTCAAAGTGGGGTATTGATGTCTCCAGATATTACTCTCAACTAATAAGGACTCATTCCTTGACCAAACTTGAGTCACCCTCCTCTAGGCCCTTTTCCCAGCTAGGCCTCAAACTTAGTCTGCTACCTTCCTCTGGCTTGCCAAGAACAGTTTTAATAAGGAATCTTGCTAAGCAAGTTGAGCAAGAATCCCTGTACCCCTAATCAAGTTCCTTTTAATAATTTTCCATCCACAGACCCTCCTCACTCTCCTGGTTGGTGGTGGCAGCCCTCCTCACTCCCCTGGTTGGTCTTCTTGACTTGTCTCTCCCAATATGCAACCTCCACCCTATGATTGATCAGGGAGGTAGGCAGTTATGGTTCCAATATTCTGGGCCTGCCACACCTGGTGTAGAGCCTTTGTCCTACGAATAAGGGCTGGATGAAGCAAGGTAGCCCCCAACCTTTAGCCAAACTTGCTTGAAATTTACCTTCTGCAATAGAGGGCTGAAAGTAGGGAGGGAGATGGAGCTAAGAAATGCTGGCTCCTGACTCTCCCAGGAAGATACCATATCTCTTCCTATGGAGTTTGAAGGTAGAGGAGAGAGAAACTCTGTCTTTTTTCTTTCTTTTTTTTTTTTTTGATCACGTCTACCTGGAGTGGAGCTTCTGTCATGCTAAGCTGGGGGTGAGAAAGATAAGAGTAGGTTGTGGACCCAGTGTCAGACTCTTGCTATTCCTACCAAGATGAGTAGACATCCTTGAATAAATGTTTCTTCATTTGGCTGGGCCCAGTGGCTCATACCTGTAATCCCAGCACTTTGGGAGGCCAAGGTGGGCAGATCATCTGAGGTCAGGAGTTCGAGACCAGCCTGGCTAACATGGAAAAACCCCATCTCTACAAAAAAATACAAAAATTAGCTGGGTGTGACAACATGCACCTGTAATCCTAGGTACTCGAAAGACTGAGGCATGAGAATCGCTTGAACCTGGGAAGCAAAGGTTGCAGTGAGCCAAAATCTCCCCACTGCCCTCCATCCTGGGCTACAGAGTAAGACTCTGTCTCAAAACAAAATAAAATAAAATAAAAAAATAAAAAAAAGTTTCTCCATTTGCTATATATCTTTAGGACAATTTTCAAAAACTTTAAATTGTTGGTTTTCAAGTACCACATGTTTTCACTTATAAGTGGGAACTAAACATTGGGGACATGTGGCATAAAGATAGATAGCAACAATAGAAACTAAGAACTACTCGGGAGAAGCGAGGGGGCAAGGATTGAAAAACTAACCATTGGGTACTATGATCACTACCTGGTGACTGGATCAATTATATCCCAAACATCAGCATCACACAATATACTCACATAGCACATGTGATGGTTAATACTGAGTTACAACTTCAGTGGATTAAAGGATGCAATATTGGTCCTGGGTGTGTCTGTGAGGGTGTTGCCAAAGGAGATTAATAGTTGAGTCAATGGGCTGGGAAAGACAGACCCACCCTTAATCGGGTGGACACCATCTAATCAGCTGCCAGCAAATATAAAGCAGGCAGAAAAATATGAAGCAGCAAGACAGACCTAGCCTCCCAGCCTACATCTTTGTCCCATACTGGATGCTTCCTGCCCTCGAACATCGGACTCCAGGTTCTTCAGTTTTGGGACTCATATTGGCTCTTCTTGCTTCTCAGCTTGCAGATGGCCTATTGTGGGACCTTGTGATCATGTGAGTTAATACTTAATATTAACTCCCCTTTACATATATTATATATATATATATATATATATATATATATATATATATATATATCCTATTAGTTCTGTCCTTCTAAGAGAACCCTGACTAATACAGCACACCTATACATGGACCTTCTCAATCTAACATAAAAGTTGAAATTATTTTTAAAAAGAAAAAAGAAAAAACCAACAAACTTCTTTAAAAAAAAAAAGACTTTCACCAATTATGGCAAGACTAGTGGGTCTGTGGAGTCCTTCTTGCCACAATTCTGGAATTGGATCTCCAATCTGAATTTAACACTGACTTTATTGTTTTTATTTTTTATTTTTTTGTGACAGAGTTTCACTCTTGTTGCACAGGCTAGAGTGCAATTGCATGACCTTGGCTCACTGCAACCTCTGCCTCCTGGATTCAAGTGATTCTCCTGCCTCAGCCTCCCAAGTAGCTGGGATTACAGGCGTGCACCACCATGCCCTGCTAATTTTGTATTTTTAGTAGAGAGGAGGTTTCACCATGTTGGTCAGGCTGGTCTCGAACTCCTGACCTCGTGATCCGCCCGCCTCAGCTTTCCAAAGTGCTGGGCGTACAGGTGTGAGCTACCACACTTGGCCAATTCTGACTTTAAATAATGGTTGCCTGGATGTCAAAATATGATTTAATGTATCTTCAATATATAAATGTATTTGTTTAGGAATTATTACTTATATTAGGTTACTCAATCTTCTGAGAATATTTTATTTATCTCAATATGCATATAGATAGATAGCTAGATAGGAGCTTGTTAAATGAATAGGTACTCAGTGAGAGAAAAAAATATGTAGAGTTTTAAATGGCCTAATTCTCTTTTTGTTTGTTTTGTTTTTGAGACAGAGTCTCACTCTATTGTCCAGGCTGGAGTGCAGTGGCATGACCTCAGCTCACTGCAACCTCTGTCCCCTAATGTACAAGCAATTCTCATGCCTCAGCCTCCCGAGTAGCTGCGATTACAGGCGCACGCCACCATGCCAGGCTAACTTTTTGTATTTTTAGTAGAGACAAGGTTTCATCATATTGACCAGGCTGGTCTTGGACTCCTGACCTCAGGCGATCTGCCTGCCTCAGCCTCCCAAAGAACTGGGATTACAGGCATGAGCCACCGTGCCTGGCCCTGGTCTCCATTCTTTATCTTTCCCTATATTTAGGCCCTTTCACCATGTAACACTGGTCTGACCTGCCCTGTGACTATGGCCTCAGCCTTGTGATTTGCTGCAGCCAATTGAATATAAGCAAACATGACACACGGAAAACTTGAACAGTGTTTACTTGAATAGGCTGGCTTGCTCTTTCCCGTCTGCAGTCACCGCAAGAATAGGCTGGGCTGGGCTGCTGAAGAAGGAGACACATGGAATAGAATGGAGTTGCCCAGTCATACTGGTTGAGACCTTTCTATATCAGAGCAGTAAGCCAGCCCCTAGACATAAGGAAGCCCAGCAGAAGTCAGCAGAGCTCTTAGGCAATTCACAGCTGCCTGCAGGGTGAGCCACTGAGCTCAGCTGAGCTGAACCTGTACTGTATCAGCTGAACCCACAGACTCGTAAGCTTAGGTCTTTTTTGTTGTTTGCCACTGAGGTTTTGTAGTTGTGTGTTATAGTTGAAAATCATCAATTGTTAGAAGACTTTACTATACATGCTATGTTCAGTTTAAAACTCAATATTATTTTGACTGAGTGAATAATGAATACATGACCAAATTTTAAAAAAGGAAAAAATTTTAAAATTGTATAATTATAAAAATATAAGCCATTAAAGATTCTTGTAAATTTCTATGTAAAATTATAAAAATAATAATGGAATCACTTAAAAATATATTTGAATCTTATTCACTACCCATGGATAGATGATGAAATTATTTTATCTAATTGCTAAATTTTATTATTTATGCTTTTAAAATATAAATTTAAAGTTTTATATGTTTAAAAATACAGTTCTTTTGAAAAATTATTTATATTATTGTATCTATAGTCTGTGATATAGAATGGTCTAAACTGGTATTATAAATTGGTGGCATTCTGTTTTATAACCAAAATCATCTTGGTTATCTAGTTCTGCTTCTGTTTTTTAATAGGAATGTTTCTTATTTATCAGACTTTTGGGATGATTTCTGTTTTCTTTAATTCTTTATTTTCACTACTTTTTTGGTCTCCTAATGCTAAGTTCTCTCATATTTGAGAATGTCTGACTACTGCCTTTATGTCTGAACTATAATGAGGCTGCCTGTGTAAAGGAAGGTTACAAATCCTTCACTAGGGACATTAGCTATTGACTTAGAAGATTTTTCAGTATAAGTCAGTAAAAGAAAAAATTCCGTGTCAGTTGCTTACATATTATGCCTGGGTTTCTGTAAAGTTTTTTCTTTACTTTAATATTAAACTTTAAAAACTAGGTGAATGCATATCAGTTTCTATATCAGTTTTTCCTAGAAATCAATGTGATATATTTTTTGTTCTTCAGATTCAATCATCTCAAAGAAAACTACTCAAATATATCTTTACATTTTTTTAAAGTTTATGTGGTTATTGTCTTTACTTCGGGGCCACCAATTCCACTTCTATTTCCATGCCTCAGCCTGTGCCCTAATCCTCTCTATTAAATACTCTCTAATTGATTTAATTTGTGTTTTTATTTTGTATTCTCTAATCTATAAAATTCCTTTTACTTGATCACTTAGTCTTATCTATGCCCATTTTGCCTTTCATCCCAATTTATTTGGTAATAAAAATAGTTTTGTTCTTCCTTGTTTTATGATGATAGCTTTCCAATATTCCTCTTCATTTCATTGGGATTTTACCTTTCAGAACGTATTTGATTGAACTTGCATGCTTCTTATTTCCTTTAATTATTACACTGTCTTGCAGGATGCTCTTCTCTTCCCTGGTTATTCACTCTTCCAGACAGGAGTGTGTGTATTTTGCATACTCCATTCTTTTCTAATCTCCAAAAAAAATCTGCTTTGGTATATTTGAAAAATTGTCAAATAGTTTTTCTTTTTCTCACCTTTCTAATACAGAAAATCATAGTCAAGATCAGTTTACCTGCAGTGGAAGCCCCTGAAGCCATGACTGGCATGCACATTGAGAAGGTGATTGGGCAAATCGCTGGAGGCTGAGTGTGGACTGCATGAGACTTGAGAAACTCTCAGAACTGATAGTCTCAGGGATGCCCCTTCTGCCCCTGCCACGCTTTTGTGATTAGACCTCCAAGTAAACTCTCTCTACTCTCCCTTCCCAACCTAGGTTCTCAGAGTAAAAAGGAAAGAAAAATCCTCTCATGTTTCTAATCGGGGGAGAAGAAAAATATGTATTTTGAAATATGTCCAAAGCATTCTCTATAACGAGACCTACTCCTTAGGGAAAAACTTGACCATAGCCTTATCTGGCTTGTGAGAAGGGCAATGAAGCAACTCCAGCTACTCTAGTCTTCTTGTCTCATCTAAAAGAAGGTTGGGTGAAAAAGCTAAGAAATACTTTTAAGGTCAGAGACCTTAAAATTTGGCAGCTTGAGCCAGAAGTTCTACTTGCATTTATATACTGGGTGAATCCTTATTGATACTCTTTTTTTTTCTGTGTTTATCTTAGTTATCCTAGTCAGAGGTTTATGAATTTTATTGATCTTGTCAAAGATCAATTTTTGGGTTACTGATTTTCTGGGTTTTGTTTTCTATTTTAAGTTTCATTATCTCTGCTCTAATTTTATTTACATTGCTTGATTTAGAATTAAACTATTCTTTATCTAGTTTGCTAACATGGAAGCTCAAATTATTAATGTTACATTCTGTCTTTCTTAATATATGTACTTAATGTTTTAAATTTCCCTGTAAGCTCTGCTTTTTCTGCATCTCACAGATTTTGACAAGCTGTATTTTCATTTTCATTTACTTCAAAATATTTGTAATTTCTTTTGAAATTCTTTCCTCTGTGGGTAATTTAGACATATATTTTAAAATATTTTTAATGTTTCATTCCCTGGCCTTTTTCATTTTTGATTTTGTGATTTATTTTGTATCATGTGAATATAATATGCCCAATAGAATTTTAAATATATATTTATTCCCCTCAGTATTTTCTGAGATTCTTGGCTTTGTAGCTGGTTGTTTCTGTCATTAACTTTGGGAAATTCTCAGCCACTATTACTTCATATATTTCTTCTGATCTGTTTTCTCTTGCTTCTATTTCTGATATTCCAACTATACATGTTATACATTTGAAATTGTTCCACAATTTTGTTCTTTTTAAAAATCTTTTCTGTTTGTATTTCAGCTTGAATAGTTTCTGTTGACATATCTTCAAGCTCATTAATTTTTCCTGGGCCAAATCCAGTTTATTGATAATCTCGTCAAATGAATTTTTCATCTTTATTGGATAATTTTTTATTTCTAACAGGTTATTTTTGGTAGTTTCACAGGGGTTCCATCTCTCTGTTTATACTTCCCATTTGTTTTTTGTCTACTTTTTTTATTAGAACTATTAACATGTTGATCACAGTTAATTTCCTATCTGACAATTCCACAGTGTGTGTTATATCTGAGCCTAGTTCTTACATTTGCTTTGTCTTTTCAGGCTGTGTTTTTTTCCTGCCTTTTTAACATGTCATAAAATTTTTTGTGAAAAGCTGGACTTAATGTATTGGAGAATTGAAACTGAGGTAAGTAGACCTTCAGTGTGAAGTTTTGTTGTTCTGCCTAGGAATCCTGCTTATGTTTACTGTTTACTTTAGCTTCAGGTTCCAGAGGCTTCAAATATGTCTAATGTTTTTATTTTTGTCTCTCCTGATGTCTTTGGGCTTCTTTAGACCCTGCTTCCCTCCTTAACTGGAGTCTGCATCTTGCCTCTCTTTCAGTTACAGCCCACTGTTATTACTTGGAAGCCCTGCTGAGGTGGTGATAAGGTTCGGGACTACAGAAGCATTCTGTACTCTACAATTATATCTTAGTCTTGTTCCCTAATCTGTTCCCTGGTCTCTGACTTAAAAGTATTTCTTAGCTTTTTCGCCCAACCTTCCTTTAGAAGAGACAAGAAGGCTAGAGTAGCTGGAGTTGCTTAGTTGCCCTTTTCACAAGTCAGATAAGGCTATGGTCAAGTTTTCCTCTATGGAGTAGGTGTTGTTATACAGAACGCTTTGGACGTATTTCAAAATACATACTTTTCCTCTCCTCCTGTCAGAAACATGAAAGGATTTTTGTTTCGTTTTTACTTTAAGAACCTAGGTTGGGAAGAGAGAGGAGAGAGAGTTTTTTTGGAGGTCTAATCACAAAAGCGTGGCAGGGGCAGTGGGGTGTCCCTGAGACTATGAGTTCCGAGAGTTTTTCAGTCTCATGCAGTCCACACTCAGCCTCCAGCAATTTGCCCGGTCACTTCTCAATGTGCATGCCAGGCATGGCTTCAGGGGCTTCCACTCCGGGTAAACTGATCTTGACTATGATTTTCTGTATTTACCTGTCTTCTAGATTTCGGGGTGGAGTTTCGCCATGCAACCTCAATTTTATGATGGGTCAAAGAAGTCATTTATTTTCAGTTAATTCTGTGTTTTATTGTTGTAAGAACAGGAATAATGACTTCCAGGTTATTTACATGTCTGAGATGAAACTGGAAACCCCAACATCTTTATCTTCTTATCTGGACCTGTTTACCTTTTCTTCTGAGCCATAGATTTCTATATAGTGAGGCTATGAAAGGCACAAGTAAGAAGGGGAAAGCTAAACTAAGAGTAGATCTTTACTGAACCTGTTTTTTACTCTTTTCTGCGATTTTGTTGAATATTCTCTACCATGAATTACTCTATTCCCCTGGTGATAATTCATCTTCAACTTGAATACTTATTTAGTGTAAAGTCTTGGATGTTCCTTCTTAATTCTGTTGATATCCTCAGTACCACCTGTCAAAGAGTGGAGACTAGGTTACGAGATTCCCAGAGCTAAGCCTCAATCTTCTACTTCTTTCCTTGCCTTTTTAAAAAATTATTATTATTTTCTCCTCTCATTCCCCTGCCCTTCTGAAATTTATGGCAAGGAATTGTTTCATTTTGTTTATTTAATTACTGGTAGTGGGGTTTATTTTTTTCACTGAGTTTAAAAAATTTTGTCAATTTTCTATTGCAGTTGGAAGATTCTGTGCCTGTTGTCAAGGTGACACTCCCCGGAATTTTAAAGAGAAGTTTTAAAGTAGGATGCTTTGGCTAGTATTTGCAGAAACATATACACTTTTTTTACATGATAAGGAAAACAACAGATATTTATTCTTCATCCCAGGGGGAAAAAAACCCTTGGAGGAATAATTCAGAGGCAACATCCTTAACGGGTGATCAGTAGACACAAGACTCATCCCAGTGAGCCACTGGTTCTGGCAGCTGTGTGACTTTGGACAGAGATATCTACAATCTTTCAATATTGTTTGTGCACCAACTGCATTCTCCACGTTGTATTACTGCAGATTTATTGATGAGTAAAACAAATTCCTACCCTCAAGGAGTTTGCAAGCAAAAGAGTGAAATGAAGATGAAAGTGCAATGCTCCACTGTCTTTTCGTGTGCTCAGAGATTACTTTCTTAATCTTTAAAATGAAAGGCTTTTGCCTAAATGACTGAGTGATGTTGCACCTATAACCCTAATATTCTTTGATTCCCAAGGACAAGAATCAGAACTAACAAGGTATATAATGACAAAAGAATTTTCATTATGAGGAACTTATCAAGAAATCATAGAGTGGAGAGACTTGCACTAAAAACACTTAAAATGAATGGGAAGCCCGTCAGCATATTGTATGTCCATATTTTCCAAAAAGAGTTAAGTTTGTAAGCTACTGCATAGGACCATGGGAATTCTGGATGTCCTTGGACTGTATCACATGTGGTTTCTTGGCATCTTAGATGATGCAATTTTTTATTGCTTTGTCCGTGCAATAAACGCTGATAAATTTTTCGGTTTAAAATTTACCAAGTCTGCTACTGTATCCCAGAATTCTCAATGAAAGAAAATATTTACAGTTTTTAACATTACAGGTAGAAAAAGGATCAAAGTGATTTTCTTAAATTTCCTTCTAATTCATGGAAAAAAGAACACAGTCAGTGAGGGTCTTTGCTCCTGTTCCCCAATTTTCTTTGTCCAAATGGCTCAGCCTTGAATTCAAGAGGAGTGGTGCAGGATTTAATTGCTCCCACTTGTCTTCCTTGTGCAAAACTGCAGCTAGAAGAGCAAATGATAAGTTGAGAATATTTAACACTCAGCAACAATACCAGGAACTTGTTCAAACTTTGTTTTTGAAGCTTCTTGACCTTCCAATGATTTATTTCTTCCACACATGGTTTCATTAGAACTTCACTTGGAGAAGAAGAGAAATAGCAAATAACAGCATCTTTCATCTATAACCAGAATATTCCAAGCCTTTCAAAAGTTGTTGCAAAAAGAATAAAGTATGAGCTACCTAGGCCTTGTTTGTCTGAGTCTTGCATCCTGCTCATAAAAGTAACACAAAATTTTTTCAACAAGGACTAAGAATGAGCTTATTATTTTTTAACATACATACAATTTATTCATGATAATATTGCTAGTAGAAGCCTGGAAATAACTGAGATGCCAATAAACAGGAAAATTACTAATTATATCTATACAATGAAATCTATGCAACTGATTTAAAATTAAGGATGCACCCTCTTATTTTTAGTGTGTATGTATAAATGGATACGTGGTATGTTGTCAAAGAAGGTTTAGAAGTTCAATTTAAATAATACTGAAGATACCTGCTATTGTATAAGCAATGAAAATGCTATACAGATGTTCTGAAATAAAACAAACACACCCATACTCTGACCACTGAACTTTGGACCAGTATTGCTCTTCATTAGTATCCTAAAATGTATGGACATTTTATGGGTCATTGTTCCAAACCTGTCTTTGGAGCTATTTGGAGTAGCACAGAACCAACCTGTCTTTAGAGCTTCCTTGAGCAGCACAGAAAAGGGACTTTCAGAGCTTCAGGAGACAGTATTTCATCCAAGTGCAGCTTCTGGAAGTGAAATGTATTTAGAAGGTTTGCTCTGCTATTGTAATTTCCCAAGTAGGCCCATGTGACTCTGCAAACCCTAGGCCTGAGCCAGATTTGTTTGAAATGTCAGCCAAACTACCAGCACCTTACATCATGATATGGTCTGACTCTGTGTTCCCATCCAAATCTCATATCAAATTGTAATTCCCAGTGTTGCAGGAGGGGCCCAGTGGGAGGTGATCGAATCATGGGGGTGGACCTCCCCCTTGCTGTTCTTGTGATAGAATTTTCCTTATATCTGCTTGTTTAAAAGTGTGTTTAAAGGCACCTTCCCCACACTTCCTGCCAGCCATATGAAGATGGGCTTGCTTCCCTTTCAACTTCTGCCATGATTGTAAGTTTCCTGAGGCCTACCCAGAAACAGAAGCCTGTACAGCCTGCAGAACTATGAGCTGATTAAACCTCTTTTCTTTATAAATTACCCAGTCTCCAGTATGTCTTTATAGCAATGTTGAGAACAGACTAACTCCATGAGCATCTCAAATGTCATCATCACAGGTAATATCTATTGAGCTCTCACTTCAGTGATTTCTAATAATGACTCCATGAGACAGGTGCTGTTATTGTCCTGTTTTTACAGGTGATATTTGCATAAAGTTGGTGACTTATTCTGGAGTCTCCAGCCAGAACTGAAATGTTAGGCAGTCTGACTTTAGAGACCTTGCTATTCTTCACTCTCTTTTAGGCTCCCTCCAAGGCTCAGTTTCAGCCCAGGATGCAACACATACTATGCAAAGATATAATAACTGGTTTAAAGAAAGCTAGATTCATATTGGCCCAGATCCTAGCCCCAGCACAATGTAGCAATATGGCAAATTGGCCCAGGAGTCTAGTTTGGAAATGCCTCTCAAACTAGGTAGGATTATCTGGCTTACGCTGAACGATTTTATGCGGGGCTACTTTGAAATGTTCCACTAAAGCATTATTAAATGACGCCACACAGTCATATACTCTGGGCACCAAACAGCAATAGATACAGCTACCTGCAAACATCCCCAAAGGCTTCAGGTTTACTTTTCCTGCCTCCTACCCACTAGCCAAATAAGTAATTCACTGCTTTTCACAACAGGCTCCTGCTCTTCTTGGCTCTCTACTGAGACTCATACCTATGCCTGTGTAAATGTTAGCCATCCTTCATGGCTCCAAAGCTAAGGAAGCTTTCTCAGTTTCCCTAGGTGAAGTGACAGTACCTTCTATATATTAATTGTGACATTTGTCATTCATCATCCTCCTCATCTTAAGATCCATTTTATTCCTCGCTTATTTTTCTTAGCCATAAGAGCATGTTTTTTGTTTGTTTGTTTTACCAAATTTGGTCTTTTGTACCAAACAATGTCTTGCTCATAGTGTGAATTCAGTAAACATTTTTAAAATAAATAAATAAATAAGTAAAGAGTAAATGGATTGTGTTAGGGACCCATGACACAGGGCAATATAGGTTTAGCATTCCTAATCCAAAAATCTGAAATGTGAAGTGCTCCAAGATATGAAATTTTTGAGCACCAACATGATAACACAAGTGGACAATTCCACACCTGATTTCACATGACGGATCACAGTCAACATACAGTCAAAACTTTGTTTTATGCACAATATTATTTAAAATATTTTATAAAATTACTTTGAGGCTATATGTATAGGATACATATGAAACAGTAATGAATTTTGCGTTTAGACTTGGGTCCCATCCCTAAGAGTTCTCATTATGTCTATGCAAATATTCCAAAATCTGAAAAAATTCAAAACACTCCCGGTTCCAAGCATTTTGGTTAAGAGACACTTAATGCGTATCAGCAAATTTTCAGAGAGAGGTTAATGGGAGGAAATATTCATAAAGCAATTGAATAATTCGGCATTGCCTCTGTAGAGCAATGCAGTTCCCTGGAAAACACGAGGCTTATCTTCATGCAGCTTTGCCAGATGGATGTGAAACTCCTCCAGCTGATCCTTGTGGAAACCCATCCATCTCATGTCACTTAAGTGGGGATATATGGAAACGTGACTAATAAGACAAAAGGAAAACAAAGTTGCATTCAGTATTTGGGATAAAATAGCTTTCTTCCTGTATAGATGTGTTTTTGTCATTGCAAAGGAATCTAACACTGACAAATAAGATTCTTCCACCTGCCTCACTTTCTATTCCAATAGATAGTTGGCAGACTCTCTTTCCTATGAAAGGCATGGGTAAATGCTACTTAGGTAGCAGGTGTTGGAATAATTTACCTAACTATGATTTAAGGAGTATCACAATATTCCTACCCATTCCTTGGGTTCCTTCATGTGGGAGATGCAGACTGGGCTATGTTTGGGACATTGGTCTCTGGGTTTCATTCATCACACTCCAGTATTTCAATCTCAGCTTCCTTTTCTGTACACTTCAACATTATGTAGCTGTAGATGAAAGATCTTTTGACATCATGAAAAGGTATGTATAGAAGATAATATAGACATGCATATGCACAATAGGGCTTGTCTCCTTCTCACCCCACCCACAACATGTGCTTCCTGATGTTCAGGTAACTGAAAGGTCAAACACTGTGTCACTGACTGTGTATTAGCTTTTTATAGCAAGAGGGGAAAAGTGATGAGTGTGAATGTCATCAAGGTGGTGTTGGGTAAGCTCACTGCAACAATCCTGCTGTACTGAAAGAATTCTGCTTTAGGGAGGCCTCTGGGTTCACTTCTGCTCAGATGGTGCTGAACTCCCACCAACTTTACTTCTGCTTTTCCAGGCTGACCATTCCCCTCCAGCTGACACATTATTTCAATGAACAGTGTTGACACTATTTCCACACCCCAGTTCCCGTGGACCTGGGAGATACCCTGTGTCTTCCCCTGATGAACTACTTTAAATAACCTCACCCTCACAGGCAAGAACACCAGCTTCTGCATACTGTGGAGTTCACCCACCCTAGATTGTCCAATTTCCTCCTGCTCTTTTGCCTCTTCAGGTAATGGAATCACACTCTTATTCTGAATTTCAACTCTTTTCCTCCCTTCCTTCATACATTTCTCTAGAGCTGAAGTGAATCATTATTCTTTGTTTGCAAAGAAGCTTCCTTTTCCTTTATGGAGAGGTCTCAGAATCTCCTGCCTTTCATAAACTTTCCTGATTAAATAAAAGAGCGATTTCTCTTTTCTTCCTTGTCCTAGAAACCGATTTCCATATTATAAATAAGCACTCAGGTTAGAAATATATATGCAAAACTTCTATTCTAATTTATGCCTTTTCTATGACATCCATATTTCTATATTGACAGATAAGAAATATTAGAAGATTTCAAATATACAATTTTTTTGCATAGCATTGTTAATGGTATTTCTGCTGTATTATTTATGTTGGTTCACTCAGTCTCCCTTGCATCTTTTCTCTCTTTGGGAAGATTGGAAAGTTCAGTTACACTTCCTAGATTCTTTTGATGCTAGAATTCTGTATTGATGAACTCATGAGATATTTGGAATGCAGGAGTGAGCAGAGTCCGTCTCTGTGAAAGTTTTGGAGGGTGCCGTTTATAAGAAAGTCCATGGAAATATGATGTTCCTCCAGCAGCCAGCCAGCGTCTGTTACATAGGCTCCTGAATATTGACAGGTGGTGGTGGCAGAGATGCCAGTTTTAACCCCTTATTTCCAGCATAGTTCCAGTGTGGTGGCCTCAGAGAGAATAGCTCTATTACTCCAGTCTGTGTTGTTTGAAGTGTAATGCGATTCCAAGAGGCTAATCTCAGACCTACTCCTTAGACCTTCTACAGATCCTGAAAATATTTTACTTTGTGTGTTACATGTCTTTCCACTTAAAATGACTGGAATTGTTTGTGATTCTTGTAGAAAACCCTGACTGGGCCAGGTGCGGTGGCTCACGCCTGTAATCCCAGCACTTTGGGAGGCCAAGGCGGGCGGATCACAAGGTCAGGAGATCGAGACCATCCTGGCCAACATGGTGAAACCCCATCTCTACTAAAACTACAAAAATTAGCTGGGCGTGGTGGCGCGCACCTGTAGTCCCAGCTACTCGGGAGGCTGAGGCAGGAGAATCACTTAATCCTGGGAGGCATAGATTGCAGTGAGCTGAGATGCTACTATTGCACTGCAGCCTGGGTGATGAGCAAGACTCTGAAAAAAAAAAAAATCTGACTGATACACTTCCCCATTGCTTATACAGAAAATTGGCCTTCCAGGGACCTCCATCACCAGTCTCTGTATATGGATTCCGTCAGCCCGGCAGTCTTATCTCGCAGTCCTCTTGCCAACAGTTTGCTCTTATTACACTGTCTAGAATCTATCAAGGTCTTCCGTATTTCTGTGCTTCGGACAGGCCATTTACTCCTAAAAAGTGTCCCACCCCCTTTTCCTTACCCTCTCCCTGCCCTCCCTGACTCCTTTTCTTCTATGTCCAACTAAAATGTCTGCTTTGGTGACCGTAAGTAGTTAAGGCAAAGCTAACGAGTTCTACTGTGTCTGGTAGAGAATTCTGTAATTGAACTCATCACACCCTGTTGCCGGCGTGCATTCAGATTTCTTTTATTTATTTTTATTTATTTTGCATTCAGATTTCTATCTCCTCTTCTGTACTGCTAGTTTCTTACGCTCAGGCACGTTATGCACGGTTTGCTCTCAAACATCTAAGAAATTAATGATGACTACTTAATAAAATTTTAAATAAGTACATTGAAATTATTTATGGCTTCTTATTTTCTTTATATTATTTCTGTTTCTTTTATATTTGATATACTTTGAAGCTACCTGTAAAAATAGTGGCCTCTTGGATGGAAAGGTTGTCTAGCAATGAATCAAGTAAAGCATTAAAACTTTCCACCCTCATAAACAAGATTTACCCATGTTGGGTTGGCTGTTCTCTTGCTGACCCACCCCACTTAAAGCCTATACATTTGAGTATGGCCTGAACAAATTCTTGGAGGAAAGAAATTGAATCTGTTTAGCTTGTTTGATATAGATACTGTGCATGGAGGTGAAAAGTATAGCTGGAGGATAATAATTTAAAAATTCATGCTAAGCGAGACTTTCTTATCAGGGGCTTTTCCATTCTGGGTTTGAACAGGGAAGTGGCCATATTTACAGCTTTGTGTGTATCAAGAACAGGGAGTCAAAACTGTCTCCCACTAAGGAGGGCCCAATTACAGCAGAGGGCTGTTATACTGCTTCTGAAAACTGGTATTTCTTTTTATTGGTATTAATATTGAAATATGGCATGGTAATTCTATTACAGGACTTCTGTTAATACTGAAATGTGCAGCTACACTTCTGTATAAAATTTTACTTTCTACTAACTTTCTTGTGCTCTCTGATCATTTTTCTTTAAAACAGCAAGTATGCATTTGTGGGAATGCTAAAGCAAGGAATGTATAAAAGTTTATTTGTCTTTGCTTAATATAATTTGAGAGAATTTAGTTTTTCTGGCAGTATGTGCTTTTAACTTTTTCTAAAAAATATGAACTTGTTGACTATTTCTTTTCATGAGGAGACATGTTTTTCCAAAGAAACATTAAGATGACTTTTTAAAACTGAAAATTGTAACCACCATTTCATGCTTTTATGTTTTCTTTATATTACACCCAAAGTCAAAAGTCAGTAATGAATGCAAAATATTTATTAGGAATGAAGGTATAAATAGGGCCATAATAGAATACGGACAGGTTTTATATTGTTTTCATAAGCAATTCTAAGCTCCATAAAGAAATATATATTCCCTTCAGAAGAAATGCACACCAAGTGTGTTTTCGTAAATGTGTTATTTTCACAGAAAGAACATTCCAAGCTGCTTTTACAAACCAGAAATCTTTGCATCTTTGAGAATGAAAGTTGAAATGTGCCTAGTTACTGGACGGTGTGCGAGGTATTAGCATCAACGTGTACCGTGAATTTTGGAGCATTTATGTCAACTAAATGCTAACTTTAAGCTCCATATGAGAGACAAGTTATATTCTATGGCCTGAAGATTAACTGAATTGAAAATACAGATTTCTTTATATTTAAACATTTCAGTGGTTCATCCTTTTGTGGCCACTCTGAAGAAGTACAAGAGACTCCCCACACAAAATTTGATTGAGAGGTCAAGACTGGTGATTCCACACATACACCAAGAGAACAGGAAAAGCTTTATTTCTCACATAATGAGAGCTTTTGGGGAGATCAGGGAGCAATTCCCAGGCAGATCCAAAAATGTCTTGAACGAGCCAGGAAAGGAGACTGGTGTGGTGGCTTGAAGGTGGGGCTGGGGTGAGGGTTCCCTGGTGGGGCAGAGCCTTCCTGTGGGTGCCAAAAGACAGCAGCCCACACATTCTCATCAGCTTGCGCAGATGTGAGCAAAGAGGAGGAGGGAGAGGTCAGGCTTCAAAACTGTCGGCAATCAGGTATCAAAAATTAAGTAAAGCTCTAATATGATCAGCCTTGGAATTTTCTCCACTGATAATTATCGAGCTCCTTAGCTCAATAATTATGACAGTTGGTAGCACACAAAGCGCTCACTGGTGCAGGCCAGCCTGACGAGCTGAGCAGAATGATACATCCCGTGATGTGCCACGCTGGGTCCGCAGTCTCCGCCACCGTGTACTAGCCCTATCACCAAGCCACTTGGCCTGTGCACGGTGTTGCTGTTGTTTTCTTTTTGCAGGGCTGTGATGAGGAATGGGTGGGAGTAAAGGAAAGCACAATGTCTGGGTCACAGCAGATGCACAATTCACAGGAGCTATGATTACATTTTGCTTGAGATTTTCTGAAATGTGAAATCCTGCAGCACTATGGCTAATGTGGATGCCCTAGTGACAGAGCAAATAAAAATAAAATGTACTCTTTGCCAAAGCTGGACATGAGTTAACGTTAGGCTCCTACCCTCACACAGAGGCTGGGAAGCAGGGGCTCCAGCTTCAGGTGTGGGCTGGAACAAACAGTAAATTCTTTTGGCAGCCTTGAGTTTGCTCAGGCAGGCACTTATGGGGGACTGGGGTCACCTGAGGGTTGCGGCCTTCAGCTGTGGGAAACTGTGCTAGTGTTTGTTCAAGTCTTGATAGGCCAAGGTCGGGCCCTAGTGGAGAAGAGAGCTCAGAGGAGGCTGGCTGGATTTCAGTCAAGGAGAGAATCTCTGCCATCCTAAAATGGAATATTAAATAAATGGGTCTTGGAAATTTTATACTAAATTTAAAATTTACTAATTTTTTTTACTAACATAAATGTGAAAAATCTTAGTCCTGTTTAGAGGTAAAAGTCTCAGTACACGAAGTTATTCACATCAATATGAGGTTAACAAAATAAATTTTCCTTTGTATGGGGGAGTTAGAAAAGTATTTTTAAAAAACCCAAACCTTCATTTTCAAGTAATTATAGATTCACAGGAAGTTGCAAAGAAATGTCTAGGAGGTCCTGTGTACCCTTCACCCAGTATCCCCCAATGGTAACAGCTTATGTAATTATGGCACAATATCAAAACCAGGAAATTGACATTGGTACAACCTTCAGAGCCCATTCTGATTTTGTGAGTTTTATTTTCATGTAGAAAAGTTAGTACAGTAAAATGCTGCATCTAAATGCAGAAAAGAGAGAGCCGTTAGTCTTTATTTTTCCATGTCAAGTTTGGGCATGTACCCACGACTTGATACATACTATTTCTGGTACCTTTAATTCTGTCATCATTTTACCCTAGGATCAACCCTTTTCCCCATCCTTTTGTCTTGTTTTACTTTAATTTTTATTTTGACATAATTTCAGAATCACATAAAAGTTGCAAGAATTATACAAGAAATTCCCACACATATCATTTACCCAGATTCCTCAAATATTTGCATTTTGCCACATTTGCTCTATCCACACTTCTTCCTCTTTATCCATCTGCACACACACACACAGTGATGTTGTGGTACAATACAAAATAAATATTTGGTCTCTGTCCTCTGTTTTCTGGCACAGAGATCCTAAAACCCTTTGATTTTTTTGAGCCATGGGGGTGGTAGGTGCATTTTGTTTTCTAATCATTGTTCTTTGACCCAGGTTTCTGATGCAGAGTTTCTCATCCCTTGCAATTTCCTGAGTAACAGGAGCACTTTTATTTGAATGCAACAAATCTTGGGGGGTTTCTGGGGGTGAGGTGCACTGGCCCCTAGAAAGAACAAGCCAGAATTAGAAGTTTAGAACTTTAAGCCCCATCACCCATCCTCCAGGAAGTGGGGAGAGGGGCTGGAGATGGCGTTGATGACCCATCACTCCTATGTGATGAAGCCTTAATAAAAACCCCTGCACTGTGGGGTTGGGATTCAGCTTCTGGATTGCTGAACACGCGGAGGTGCCTGGAGGTTGCTGCACCCGGAGACACATGGAAGCTCTGCCCCTTCCCACGTCTTGTCCTGTGCATCTCTTCCGTCTGGCTGTTCATCTGTATCCTTCATAATAAGTAGGTAAATATAAGTTAAATATTTTCCTGAGTTCTATGAGCTGTTCTCACAAACTATTAAACCTGAGGAGAGGGTCCAGAAAACCCTGTGGATAGCTGGGCAGTCAGAAGCACAGGTCACAAGGTCGCCACGTGGGACTTGCGATGGGCTGCTGAAGTGAGGGCATCTTACAAGACTGGGCTCTTCCCCTGTGGGTTCTGCACTGACTCCGGCGAGTGTCAGGATCCAGATAACTTGCAGGACACCCAGTTGGTGTCTGCTGGACAATGAGTTGTTGGCTTGGAGAAATCCACCACACTTTGGTCACAGAACGTTCTGTTGTGTTGACTGTGCAAGGGAAGAAGAAGTGTTGGTTTTTCTGATACATACACGCAGATTTTTCCCCTTTACTCCTAAATACTTCAGTGTTTATTTCAAAACAAGAATATTCTGTTTCTTAACCATAGTACAAATATCAAAATTAGAAAATCAACATTTATATAATACTATTATACACCCTATAGATTTTATTCATATTTTGCCAATTGTCCCAATGACGTCCTATGCTGCAAACTCATTAAGATATCGTGCTGTTAAGTCTCCTCTAATGCGGAACAGTTCCACCGTGTTCCTTTGTCTTCCATGACACTGACATTTTAAAAGGGTACAGGCCAGTTATTTTGTAGAATGTCTGTCAATTCAGATTTGTCAGCTACTTCCTCACGATTAGATTCAGGTTATGCATTTTTAGCAAAAAGCACTGCATAAGTAATACTGTGTTCTCAGTGCTTCGGATCAGGAGGTAGAAGACGTTCATTTGTCTCACTATTAGTTAAATTAACCTTGATTATTTGGTTAAAATTGTTTAAACAGATTGTCTAGTGTCAAGTTATTTTTTTTCTAATTGTACTTATTAAGCTTATGAGAATATAAGTTTGTATGTCCTCCCCTCCTCCAGTCCTCTAAGGCTTAACTCAAATATTGCTTTCCCTGCCTAAAATATTCTCCACTGTCTGCCTACACTACCAAGAACTTAGCTTCATTATCGTGTTCATTGTATTGAAAAGTAGCCATTCCTTTTGCTATGTCACCGAATAGATTAGAAGCCTGTGTCATTAAGGGCTTTATCTTATTCCATGGTATATCCTAGGAAAATAAGAGGTTCTCAACAGCTAATAATTGAATAAGCTAGTAAATGAACAAATGAATTCCAAGGGGTGGAATGAAAAGGTATTATCTTCTCTGTTTTGTAAAGAAGAATCCTGATGATCAGTATAGTGTGATTAAATTATGATGGCACATTCTTAGCGTGGCTATTTGTTATGTAACAATGAATATTATTGAGCTCACTTTATTTGGATCCAAGAGGCTACTTTACTATACCCTAAGAATAGAAAAGAAAAAGAGCTTTTTTGCATGAGGATTCACAATCATGTATGAATTAGAACATATTTCATGGCTGCTGATAGTACATAATACGTAGGATATTAGCTAGTGTAACAATAGTGCCAGGAAACAAACAACCCACAACTTAGCATCTTAAAACCACACTTGGCACTCTTTCCATGTGTCTGGGGTCATCTGGGAGCCAGCTGACCTGGACTGAGTCAGCCAGGCTGGCTCCAAGCTTCATATTAGATGTAGTTACGCTCCACTTGTCTTTCATTCTCCTTGGACCAGCAGGCTACCCAAGACCAGAAGAATAGGGACAGCTCTGTGGCTTGCAATGCCTCCCAGCGCTGATGCTCAGAGCTGGCACACTGTGACTAACACCCATCCACTGACCATGTGCCGAGCCAAACACACGGCCATGCCCAGCCGCACCAAAGCAGGCAAGTCTGCTCTGTCACTAGTCAAATGGCAAAGGGTACGCATCCAAGAAGGGTAAAGAATTGAGAAGAGTAATGGGAAAAAGATAAAGTCTATCATGGGATTACAAACATAAGTATGGATATATGCAAACTCCAAACTGAGAACAGACACAGCCAGATTGCAAATTACATGCGAAATCTCTTGGGCGTTTGTGTGTCTGGGCGTCAGGGTTTGTGTGGGCCTGGGCGTCAGTGCGTGTGTGCGCCTGGGCGTCAGTGCATGTGTGCCTGGGCGTCAGTGCGTGTGCACGCCTGGGCGTCAGTGTGTGTGTGCGCCTGGGCGTCCGTGTGTGTGTGGGCCTGGGCGTCAGTGTGTGTTTGCCTGGGCATCAGTGTGTATGCGCGCCCGGGCGTCAGCGTGTGTGTAGGCCTGGGTGTCAGCGTGTGTGCGGGCCTGGGCGTCTGTGTGTGTGTGTGTGCCTGGGTGTCAGTGTGTATGTGCGCCTGGTGTATATCAGCTTTCCTTTGTTTTTCCCTGAGCCTTAGCTGAGTACATATTCCCATTTAAATACAAAATCCTGGATTCCATAGTGACTACATATGTGTGCAAGCTCAGGCATTTAAACACTTTGATTTTCACTGTACACCCAAGTTAATTTACACCACTGTTGTGAGAATTAAAAGTCACACAAGAAAAAACTGTGAAAAGTTAAAAGTGGTATACAACATCTTATTTGTATCACCACTATTTTTTTTCTGTTCAGGACAGGTATGAGTTACTCTCCAGATAGCACGATGAAGCGTAAATACCTAGAACACTGCTACTTAACTTCCTGAGTGGAGTCAAGATTTACATTAGCTTGTATTGAACGGAAATAATTCAATTCTGTAATTTATGTAATTCTAAGAAAAAACACTAGAAAGTGTTCTGTCAGTCAGGTAATTTCCTAGCAATTAAAAAATAGAAAGTGAGAGAAAATTTCAAAAACAAAACATCCTTCCCTATAGTGTTAGCTTTCAACAAATATTATAGAACTGAATGTTTGTTTGTTGTTTTTGTTTTTGTTTTTTTGAGATGGAGTCTCGCTCTGTCGCCCAGGCTGGAGTGCAATGGTGTGATCTCGGCTCACTGCAACCTCCGCCTGCTGGATTCAAGTGATTCTCCTGCCTCAGCCTCCCGAGTAGCTGGGACTACAGGTGCCCACCACCATGCCCAACTAATTTTTGTATTATTAGTAGACACAGGGTTTCACCATGTTCACTAGGCTGGTCTCGATCTCTTGACCTCGTGATCCGCCCGCTTTGGCCTCCCAAAGTGCTGGGATTGCAGGTGTGAGACATCACCCCAGGCCAGAACTGAATGTTTAACATACATTTGCTGAGTGCTATTTGAAATACAAATTATATCTTCAAATACAGTGCAATCAAGTAAAAAGCATAATAATTCAGGCAAAGTTCACTAAAAGAGTTAACCTGCATCATAAAGATAAGATAAAAAATATATTTTCCTCAGATATAGCCACACCCCTTCCATTATTAAAGCCCGTAACTACGAAAGTTATGATCTGCTTTTAAGTCTGTATGGGTGTTTTTGGCAACAGAAAACAACTGCTTAAGTCTTTCATAGGAGAATGTGAAATTGCTGCTCTGTTTTGTCATCTAGTCATGACGAGTCTTTATATCAAAACAGCAAACACATCCAAACTATCATTTGACAGATTTCTTCCATCAGGAAAGAAAAGAACAACTATTCTTGGTTTTAAAAGGAGAAAGTATAATGAAACTATTTTCTTTAATAGATTAAAAGACAATAGAGTACAGAGAGGCAAAGAGATATTCAAACTCACAAACTCAAGAAAGGCATTTGCTTTCCCCACAGTCTCACTCACCTCAATCTAAAAATGTGCACATTCATAGTCTTCCAATTCTAGATTTGTTTTCTGTGGGTGCCAACATTCCATTCTATTTATTATCAACCATCTTTTTTCTCAGCCATTTTCTTTGTTGTCTTTCTCAGTGAAATGACCATGTAAAGGATAATCACTTCTTGGTCACTGGTAGAATGAAACATGCCTAAATATGTCCTTCTGATATTCACAGTCATTATTCTTGGAGTAGCTCTCGCTTTTTTTTTTTTTTTTTGAGACGGAGTCTCGCTGTGTCTCCCAGGCTGGAGTGCTGCAGTGGCGAGATCTTGGCTCACTGCAAGCCCTGCCTCCCAGATTCACGCCATTCTCCTGCCTCAGCCTCCCGAGTAACTGGGACTACAGGCGCCCTCCACCACACCCAGCTAATTTTTTTTTTGTATTTTCAGTAGAGATGGGGTTTCACCATGTTAGCCAGGATGGTCTCGAACTCCTGACCTTGTGATCCGCCTGTCTCGGCCTCCCAAAATGCTGGGATTCCAGGCGTGAGCCACCGCGCCCAGCAGAGTAGCTCTCTTAAGCCCTTCTCATTCTCAGTCTAAAATGTTTTAACTGGTACCATAAGCATATGCTCAAGATTGCCTCGAAACACTTGCCCAGATTTCACTTGGTAATCTGCATTTTGCAATAAACATATCTCACACAAATATGATAGCAAATAGAATAATGCCTACGTGTGTGAAGCTTGCCAGTCCTTCCCTGTTACATCTCAAACGTTTTGGCTGTCTGAAAGTCAACATTAATACCAATCATTTTAAGCATATAGTATAGGTCTCCTCTGGAGCCAAATAAATCTCTAGGGAAAAATGCGGAATGAATAAAAACACTCTGGTTTTCATTTGCAGAGAATGAAATACGTGGGCCTCTAGAACTACACTTTAGATCTCAGAAAGTTTGTTTCCTTCTTTGTAAGTTCCACGTCATTTGCAATATGTGTCTTTCCAATGGCAGGTTCTGTAGGAATAATGAGAATGTCATAAAGCTTTCTTTAAGAATTAGGTTTTGCATCCAGGCTTCATTTCCTACCTTTTTTCCTTCTTTCTGCCCTCTATTCTCTACCCCTCCTCTCTTTATTTTCTTTCTTTCCTTCCTTCCTTCCCTCCCTCCCCCTTCCATCCCTTCCTTCCTTCCTTCCTCCCTCCTTTCTTTCCTTCCTTCCTTCCCTGTCTTCCTCCCTCCTTTCCTTCCTTCTCTTCCTCTTTCCTTTCTTTTCTTCCTTCTTTCCCTCCCTCCCTTCTTCCCTCCCCAAATACAATTATGAGATCTGATTTTCCAAACAACAGATCTGTTATATGCAATGGTGAGCTTATATTTCCTTTTTAAGGGTATTTCAATTTTGTTATCAGATAAGTGAGAAAGAGGGAACCTTATGAGTTCATCTAAATCATTTTCCAGGTCAGGATTAAATCATCATATTTGGTCTATTTTCACTGCCTTTTCTGCAGGCCCTCTGTTAAAGTTGCGTGACAGAAATGTGTGCCATGCACTGCTTACTTGGTACTATATTTCTTCGAGCCTACATCTATATATATAGTGGATTTCAATAGTCAAGATTTCTGACATAGTAATGTTTTAAAATGTGAAAACAGTAGACTATCTCTTTGTTGAAAAAGCACATAACACAATTTACTATCTTAACTATTTTTAAGTATATAGTTTAGTAGTGTCAAATGTATTCATATTGTTGTGAAACAGATCTCCAGAACCTTTTCATCTAGTAAATCTGATGCTCTGTACCTATTAAACAACAATTTATCTTTTCCTCCTCCCCTAGCCCCTGGTAACCAGCGTTCTACTTTCTGTTTCTATGAATTTGACTATTTTAGATAGTTTACATAAGTGAAATGTACAGTATTTGTCAACTTGTGACTGGCTTATTTCACTTAGCATAATGTTCTCAAGGTACACTCATGCTGCAGCATGGGACAGGATTTTCTATGATGTCAAGGCTGAGTAATATTCCCTTGTAAGTGTATATCACATGTTGTTGCTCCATTCCTCTGTCAATCAACATTTGTGTTGCTTCCACTTCTTGCCTATTGTGAATATTGCTGCTATTAACATAGGTGTGTGTGCACTGGCTCTCTCATGCAAAGAACAGAACTCACGGGATAGGAACTTCAAATGTTAAATCATCTGAATTAAATCTAGGGCATTAACCTTCTCCGTTTTTCTAATACACAATAGAGTAAAATCTGTGGGATTAAATATCCCACCCTACAACTTGTAATGGAGAATAACATACATTTTTTAGATTAAAAATTTATAAATTAAAATATTTTCTACGTAGACTTTCTTTACATGCTGCAGGGCCATTCTTGCACCTAGAAATGGAAATACACATAACTGGGGTGCAGGTGAAGGGTTGCGCCAGCACCTCCCTTCTCCACAGAGGCCAAAAACTAACCTCACTTTCTAGACTCACTCCTCTTCAAGATCTGCTTGTTCTAGGTGGCTTCATCATAGAGACTGTTACTTAATCATGGTGCTTTTCTGATTGCAGAAGAGTCAAGAATGACTTTAGGAGCTAATTCTCTGCTATGGCTCCTAAAGTCATCCATAAAAACTCTTTTCCAATTATGCAGGTAACCAGTGACTGAACTTAAGGAGTTCCCAGTAAAATGACCAAGTATCTAGGAGGTGCTGGCCTAAAGGTCACTCAAAGAGACACTCCCAGCTGGGGCACTATCAGGACGCATGTTCATACATGGCTTGCACCGCTGGTCACATTGTGTTGCAAATGGTCTAGCTTCTTGTTGGTTTCCCCTTTTAGATCCTAAGATCTTGGGAACAGATTCCGTGCTTAGTTCAAGTAGACATCCCACATGTAATGTTACTGCTATTTAGCCATAAATTTTATTGATAACAATAAGGTACAAAATTTGAATTGAATTTCTAAACCAATGAAGTTTTTCAAGGGTAATGACCTCCAGCTTGTCATTGTTTGATTATTTGTTGATAGCAAACCACTTACAAGGAGGCTCTGATACACAAAATACTCAAAAAATAGCAACAGATTCCATTGTAAACGAATTTGACTTTGTAAGACCAAGGAAGCAAATTCTAGATATTAAGTGAAAATTGTACAGTATTAGTAAAAACAAATGGCCCTTGGGCCCTTCCAATATTATGTTGACCTTCATAAGTAACATGCCTGCCTAATTGTAACAAATCATGTAGCTTATAAAGCGACTTAGATACTATAGAAAAGTGATATTAACAGGAAGCATTTCTTTTAATGTCTCATGATTAATATTCTGTATATTGAACTATAAATCATATAAATTAACCTATTAATTGAGAATTTTCATTGCTATGTGCGGTTAATAGAAAGAAAATAAAAGTTATTTCCTTGACCCTGCCTTTAGTGATAATCTGGAACTATTAGAATCTCATTTACTCTCCCAGGGCGGTATCCTAGGGAGCCACATTTTCTGACAGGAGAAAATCCTGTCTTGATTGGGAAAGCTACAACTACTGTATCATAAATCAAGAAGCTCTAATGGGCTGGGGGAGGGAAGCTGCTATAAGGAAACAAAATTAAACTGCTGTTTGAAGGTAGCTCGTGAAGGTAACTAAATCCGTTTATCCCTTCCATGAACTTCACTCACGTGTGTTTGCTGAGGCTGGATCAGAAAACCAATTACAGATGTAGCTTGTGCAGTTTACTTGCTATCACTGAGGAGCAGCCAGTGTCCTAGGAACACTGCTCTGTTATCTCATTAGTGGAAGAAACACAACTCAAATGGGAAGTGTGTTTACTTTTAAAGTAATTAAAAGTAATGCCTAAAAAGATGTGGACTTGATATCCACCTGCCTGCCCTTCAGAAACACTG
This sequence comes from Homo sapiens, assembly GCF_000001405.40. Classification (NCBI taxonomy): domain Eukaryota; kingdom Metazoa; phylum Chordata; class Mammalia; order Primates; family Hominidae; genus Homo; species Homo sapiens. Next base: position 187,357,734 of record NC_000004.12, on the reverse strand, counting down.
AATGACCCCAGACTTTTAGGGCTCAGGTGTATAAATTCTCACTGGGGACCTCTGAAGGGATTGAGTTAAATATGCTAGGTAGGCTATTTGCTCTTCTAAGATATATAATTAAAAGAAATACTGTCTCAAAACAAATGTTTACATCCTTAGACATAGGAACTTCAACAGCTAAGGAAAGTACAAGCAGTCTTGCAATTGTTTTCTGAAGGTAGAAATGAAGCTTCTTGAGCATTTCAGGAACAAACAGGGTAAGGGAAAGGGAACTCTTCCTTATTTCCAGTTAGCTGGGAAATGCTTTCCGCCAGGTGCAATTTCAAGAGCTCTTAGGGTGACAAGAGTATTTGAACTGGTGGCTTTAGTGCATGGTATCTTTTATTCTAGAAAAATAGAGATACTAAAATTTTAGATTATAGGTACAGAGGTCCTTAGAAAACAAAAATTCAAGAACACTCCACCAAATTTTCTTAAAGAATAAACTGTTCCCTGAGGTATTGCAGCAATAAGCTGCCTGAATGGTCTGAAATAGTGAATGTGTTTCCCAAAGTACTTGAACTGCAAGTGAAAAGAAAATAGATTACTTATACATCAAAGCACCTTTGGCATAAATTACCAAAAGTCAACTGTTCAGTAAATTACCAACAGCCAAAATATAGTATTTGATTACAGCTCCCTTGACATTCTTTCCAGTGTCTGCATTAGAATCCACCATCTCCATATGAAGGACCTTCTGGGTCAATTTACTTTAGAATCCCAACTGTTTCCATTTAAAGGACCTTCTGGGTCAATTTACTTTAAAAATCTCTTAAGGATGCTTTAAATGTAAAAGTCTACCTTAATTTTCTCAAATCATTTGTAATGAGTTACTTACAAAAGCAAAGAACTAATGTATTTAACCTGTTCGTATATATCATATTATATACAAGAATACCAAAGAACAATAAAATACTGAGAGCTGTTAATGGACAATTTGGAATGGGTGTTTACTCTGTGTTTAACTCTTAACAGTGAATACCTGTAACATCTTTTTCAAATACTTTAGCAAATTTAAAGTATCATGCTCATGTATTCAAAGTACATAGTACATAAATATCAAGATTTTAAACACAAATTTGTGATAATCAAAAAGGGTGCACAGCATTCCTATAGGGTTGATAAAGGAGTATTTTCAAGAATATATCCTGTCAGTAGCCCCCTTGGCAGAATGACTCAACCTAGCTTGCAAGATTATGTTTTAGAATGTCTTGACTTCACTGAGTGGGAATAAGAGCTGCTTAAATAATTCTTTACAATAAAATAGCTTTAGTCAACCCTTGGGCATGATTCTTTAAATTCGCTTAAGTATTTGAAAAAGATGTTAGATGTTCCCTGTTGGAGTTACACATAGAGCGAACACCCACCCCAAATTGTTCATTTGCAGGTTCTCAGCATTGTATTGCTCATAACCTTGGAGTTATGCAAAAAGTAAGCAGAGTAGGGAGCGATGTAGATTTGCCTTATTTTCTATGATTTAATCTTTCTTTCTTTGCTCTCTTGCTTTATCTCAGAAAAATTTCATGGAAAATGAACCTTGGATCATTTTCAATTAAGTCTGGTTTTAGGCCCACTTGGTAGAAAATATCCTAACAAATTATGTACTGCATGCTTTTTGTAATTAATATCTTAAGTGACATAAGAAAAAATAAATGAGAGGGAAATCAAGTGTTTAAATGTGGGAGACAGGGATCCAGCTGAGTTTCTGGAATGAGACCTCACCCTTTGAATTGTTCCTCTATTGTGAATGTACTAGGCTGTTTCCAGTTCCTCTTCTACACATAAACCCTCCTGGGATTGGGATACACGTTAGTACATGAAACCCTTCCATTCTGCACAGCATTTCCATGAAGACGGCCTTACCTCATTTCACAGATGTGGAGACCTAAGCCTCTACTGAATACTGAAATTTACACCTTTTTCTTCTGGCTCCAAAGACTGGATTTTTACCACTATACTTGCCTTAATGCCTTAATTAGAATTAGTTAAGGAAATGGGAACTTTAATGAAGAGATTGACATGATGGATTTGGACTTTTCGTTATCCTTATCTGGCAAAGCAAAAAACGACAGTCTTTGTCAATTTAACTCAACTAAAATGTATAGGGCATTTTCCTTGCTCAGGGCAGTGTGCTCAGTGCTGAAAGTTATGGACAGATGAGAAGATTCAATCCCTACCCTCAAATAATTTATGTCTAGTATGTGGGAAAAGCACGATTAGATTTGACCAATCTTGAGGATACGATATGTGTAAGGCAAGCACTGTATCTTGTCCTAGATATGTTTCTCAGTAGAGAAACATGAAGTGCTGTGGGGCCAGGCACAAGGAAAACTTCATGACCCTGTGAGGGAGGCAGCAAGGAAGGAGTCTGATGGGTCTATGGTGCCTGAGAGAGATGAGAATAAGAATGAGAACGGAAAAGGTGGAAGGGAGATAAAACTAGACCTTCTTTGCTTCTACAACGTCGCTTAAAAAAATAAAACTCTTCTTTCATTGTATCCATTTCCTTTGTAAAGAGCTTTTGTATAGTGAAGTCTCTGCCCAAAGTCAAGGTTAACAATGATGACAAACAAGGGAAAGAATGGGGAAAGCATGGGATGGTTGAACCAGTACTGTCACCAGCCAGAGCTGAAGAAACTGGCATCATGATGTTTAACGTACACAGGGAGGTGAGAAGCCAAGACATGGTGCTCCCTCGCTCCCTGCCCTCTTGCTCTGTGTGCTTCTGAAATCTCCCTGGCAAATCTTCCTTCTCCCCTGTCCCTGCCAGCAGCACTGGTAAACCTGAAGTTCAACATATTTTAGAACTGACTGTTTGGATGAAGGATGGAGTGTATGGAAATAAAAGTGAGTATTGTTCTTGGACTCCCTGGCCCTTATGAGGTGTGTTGAAAGGTTCCCCTAAGGCACCAGGACAAATAAGACAGGACAAGAATATAACCGAAGGGAAAAAGTGAGAGATATTAGTTTGGAAAGGCACATGTACCTCAGGGAGAGAGAGTGCAGAATGGGCTCTAGTTTGCGAAGGAAAAAAGAAAAAAATTGGCAGCCTAGGAACAGTAGGAGAAGTTTCCACTTGTGAGCAAGAAGAAAGAATATCATACTAGTTTGTAATGCTTTTCAAGATACATAGAAAATGACCATCAGCTTCTCAATCAGTCCTTGAATTGCTTCTTTCTAACATTTGCCTATATATTAATTTTGTCATTTGAAGATCAGTTTATCTTGACACGGTTTACCATAGGTTAACTGTTTTCTCTTCCTCCTGGTGCTTTGAAAAATTTGACTATCATATTATCCCATGAAATCACATATGTAGCATCACTGTGCGTTTGCAATGTTGCATGCAGTTTGGAGACGGTTCCATTACGAGCAGAGAACATAGGAGAATGCACAAAACTGATTCTTCTCCAGAATGAATCTCCATGCTTTAACTGCTGTAACTTTGTAAAAGAATAGAATAAGGGACACAAAAAGAGAAAGGGCAAGGAAGTTGTGGTTGCGAAGACAAAATAAGAAGTGAGCTACTTGAAAATATCAAGAAAGTTTAACTCAATTATTTCCGTTCAATCTGGAGTTTATTAGCAATTATACTTGCTAAGTAAAGTAACATTTTGAGTATTCACTAAATGACAAACATTTGTCACTGGTGATTAGGAAGTTTTCTCAAAATCTATATAAACTGAACAATATTATTCTCATGTGATTAATGAAGACATGAATCTCTGAGAGGTTACAGAACTAATAATTAGAAGAGTTAAGATTTGAATCCAGGCTGGGCACAGTGCCTCATGCCTGTAATCCCAGTACTTTGGGAGGCCGAGGCGGGTGGATCACCTGAGGTCAGGAGTTTGAGACCAGCCTGACCAAGATGGCAAAACCTCATCTCTATTAAAAGTACAAACATTAGCCAGGTGATGGTGGGTGCCTGTAGTCCCAGCTACTCAGGAGCCTGAGGCAGGAGAATCGCTTGAACCCGGAAGGTGGAGGTTGAAGTGAGTAGAGATTGCACCACTGTACTGCACTCAAGCCTGGGTGACAGAGAAATCATCAGTTTCAAAAAAGAAAAAAGAAAAGCTGAATCCAGTCCAGCATTGTGCGACGCATACGTCTCTGCACTTCTCTGTTCCTGAGCGTCGCTAACTCAAAGACCTGGCGGCCCAGGGAGCACATGTGAAGGGAATTTCTGAGGTGGACCCTCCAGTTGGCAGGAAGGGGGCTTTCACAGGGCTTTACCTATCTAACAGTAGTACCAAAAAAATTTTTTTTAATATTAAGTTTACCCAAAAAGGGCAGTAGGGAACCAATTTTTCCTGAAAATCACCAGCTTGTAACTGCATCATGATATACTACTTCGTTAGTTTAATTGCTCTAATATAAACATGCTCTTAAAATAATTTTCACATGGGTTTAAAATTTGTCCTTCAAATAAAAGTTTGTCTTTATCTCCTCTGATAATAAAAAATGAATGCTTTTATCCTTAGTAGAAAAGAAGCTTTACAAGCAGGCATATACATGAGTGGTGTTCAGATTCTGCCCCCACTAATATTTTTGCTAATATGTCCTAAAGAAACAGTAGATCTGTTGGGGTTTGGCAGGATGCCACAAGGAAGTAAGATTCCAAGTGCCTGAAGTTTAAAACTTCTGCATGGAACCTTTACTACAACCGCCATGAAGAACTAGAAGCCAGCTAAGACCCATCAGTTTGAAACCTATGTGTGCTGACATCACCACTGGGCTGGGACACTGTAGATTTCAAACAGAGCATAAATAATTTTCACTACATTGGAAATATGCAAGTGTTAGTTCAAAACTGGGGAAAAAGATTTGGATGGGGAGATAAATGTATGATAAGAACAGTACACAGATTTTTTGTGCACTGAATTAGCTTTGAAAGAGCAGTTTTTGTTTTTTGTACAAAACATGGCCTGCCCCTTAAGGTAAGATTAACACTTTCTTTACACATTTGGCAAGATCATTGAATTTCCATAAAATATGTAATTTGATGAATGCTGGACTGGTCAGAATGTGCATGTGAATCAAATATGCCCTTTTGTTCTTATCTTCTCATCTGATTTGTTACTACATCTAGAGTCAAATACATTTTCAGTTGATTGAAGCAACATAATATAGAGATATGACAAAAAAGGAATATTCCACTCAATTTACTATCTTAATTACACCAAGAAAGGGAAGGCAATAAGATTTGTCTGCTGACAACAAAGTCCCATAATGAAAAGGGAAAACAGATTGAGGAGAATATGCTTATGTACTTAAACATCATTATTGTTATCATTAAAACCATATTTCCCCCTTGGTTGTTCTTTAGGGTGGGCAGATTTGTTTTAAATAATAAAGGATCTTCACAAGCACCTCAAACTTAACATTTCAGGTCAAGCTTTCATTTATTTTTTCATAGTGCACTGCAGCTGCCTCCTAAGTCATCCTGCCACCCCTCTTCTCACCTCCAAAGTATCCTCTATACTGCTTCTAGAGTGTTCTTCCTAAAATGAAAAGCCCAGCATGGCACTGCCCTACTCAATTGGGGAAGTTACCAAAGCCCCTTTAACTCATTAATATGACACACAAGTGCCTTCTTAGCCGCTCTGCCTCACATCCCCAATTCTTACTGTATGTACCTCTTCTTTCCTGGCCCCTCCCATCTCTCTGGTCATCTCATATTATTGCAAAATGTAAACATACTATGCTCTACACACTTTCCTCTACTACATTGCCCCTTCTGTCAAGACATCCCATCCTCGTGTTTCTACACCATCTCGACCTGGAGAACCATTGTCACCCTGGGGAAGTCCTACTCATCCCTCAAGACACAATTCAAATATCCCCATCTCTCTAAAGCCTTCCCTGGCCTCTAGCATTCCTTCCTCTTGGGTTCCCGTAGAACTTTTACTAAAATAATGATCCTGTTAGATGTCTTCCTGTTTCTCCCTACTAAGATATGAAGACTACCATAGAACATATTTATGATTTATCTAGTGGTCTGCTAAAGCTGGCTAATACAAGCTTGTGAGAGATGATCATTAAATATTTGAGGATTTTGTGAGCTGGTGGTTACATTGTGGTTATTTGAAATCAACTGCAGTAGGAGTATTTATACCACAAAATTTGCAGACACCACATATAAGAACATTTTTTTTCTTCAAAGAGGTGGCTTATGAGCATAGCTGGTTTTATCCCCACAGTCTAGCAGGGTCCCTAAGTGTTCAGAGGAATTGCTTGAGTAATTAATGTGATTTCTGTTAACTGAAAATTATTTGAGTTTAAATGAAACAAAGTTAACTATAAAAATAATGGTGGAATTTCATATTTTGTTTTAATTTGAATTATAATCCATTTATAATAAACAAGTATGGATTTCAAATTTGTAAGAACTGGAGATTTTATTCCAAGATGGCATGGTCAGTAGGGCCAGGTGATGAGTGGCTCAAGTGTAGGAATGTTGTCTTATTTAGCCTCGTGTCATTGACATTACACAGTATGTGGCTTGTAGTTGATCCTCATTACATTGTTACTAAGCACATTAGCACATGAAAAACCATGGAGTATAATTCTTTATCCAAAGGGTTGGCTATTTTAATCCACTCGTAGAGAATCACTGCTGGAAACAGGCAGCACCCACATGGTAAAATTCTTGTTCAGAAACAAAAAATTAAGCTAGTGTAAAGCAAATAAGAGATTTTCTGGAAGCAGAATTTCAAAAAATAATTTATTTCTCCAAAGTTGTTGAAGTTTTTTGTTTGTTTGTTTTTGTTTTTGATTTTTCGAAGTCTCGCTCCGTCTCCCAGGCGAGAGTGCAGTGGCGCGATCTCAGCTCACTGCAACCTCTGCCTCCCGAGTTCAAGTCATTCTTCTGGCTCAGCCTCCTGAGTAGATGAGACTACAGGCGCATGCCACCACATCTGGGTAATTTTTTGTATTTTTAGTAGAGACGGGGTTTCACCATGTTGGCCACGCTAGTCTCGAACTCCTGACCTCGTAATCCATCCGCCTTGGCCTCCCAAAGTGCTGGGATTACAGGCATGAGCCACCGTGCCCGGCCCAAAGTCGTTGAGTTTTAAGAATAACTATATATTGAGCTATCTGTTTGCTTATTTTTATAGTAAACATATATTTTACATATAGTAACTCTATTACATACAACATATATATTTATATGTGGTAACTCTATTATATACAACCATACTTATATATCTTCTCATAGTAACAATTTATAATGTGCATAATATTATATGTTATATAATTACATATTATATATGATTTCTAGATATAAAAACATTAGTAATTACCATATTATAAGTAATGATAGTTACTCATATTTATTAGAAAAATTTATATACATATATGATAACCAAAACTTTTTAACTTACATTTATGTTTATGTTTATATCCATTTCAAAAGTCTTTTGTTGTAAATTTTCCCATCAGCATCACGAGAATAGCTGTATGAACACCTTTGGCCCCACTGCAGATGAGGAAATACACAGAGCCATATGCACACCAGCCCGGGGCTAAGACTACCGTTTTAGATGAACTTTTTCAGCAAACTTGTATTACAGATAGGGAATGCCAAGAGAGGCTGATTCTATTTATTCATCTTCATATAGCTGGCTAAGGGCATAGCAAGGATTTTAATTTAGGTCATTGATTTAGGGGTTGGCATTTTTTACGGTACATAAATTTGGGGTCTGTGCGCATGTGTTGGCTAGAGAGGATCTAAGCAGGCTATTCAGAAATCATTAAAGACTAAAGAACAAAAGAAGGCCAGGTGTAATGGCTCATGCCTATAATCCCAGCACTTTGGGAGGCCGAGGTGGAAGGATTGATTTAGGGCAGGATTTCAAGAACAGCCTGGACAAAACAGCAAGACCATATCTCTGCAAAAATTTTTATACAATTTAGCCAGTTGTGGTGGTGCGTGCCTGTTCTTAGCTACTTAAGAGGCTGAGGAGGGAGAATCAGCCTGGGGTGACAGAGCAAGACTCCATCTCTTAAAAAAAAAAAAAGAAACATTTTAAACTTGGGGTATCTAATTAGCATTCAGTCATGAAATGGATGCCAGGGAAGGGTTATCATTGCTTGAATGAAAATCCAGTTACAGACTGAAACCCACAGCTCTTATACTTGGATGTCCAAACTTTCTCACATTTGAAGGAGCCATTCCTATCTGGTTATCTTTTTAGTGTAGTTTATACATATTTCATTACTGTTATGTCCTTAATACAGCTACTTTGTTTTATTAATTTTGAACTTCCTACTATAAACATAGCAAGATCACATTCTGTATTGTTTTATTTATAATTTTACATTTTATGATTTTGCAGTGTAGAGGGAGCTTACTAATAAACAAGTTTACCATATTATCACTGATCCATAGTAAGAATTTGAAAAATGGTTTTCAAAATATAAGTGATTTTATCATACTTGAAGTTGCTTCCTTGTGGCTGCTCCATTTCCTCTATCTCTAACAGAGAAAATTTTGGAAGCCCATTTCAGCTAAATTTATCTAATGATTGAAAACTCATAGATGAGTGTCTTTTTCACCTATCATATTTCAGGCAAAAAAATTACTCAAATATTTGCTCTTGATTTGTCAGAAAGATTAAGCTATTTCTTATAACTTAGGCTAAATATGTCTCACAGGTCAAATGTAAATTTCTGGCCAAAGAATATGGATCACTCAAGGAAAACCCATTAGTTTATGCTCAAGGAGAAGTAGTGCAAACCCTCAAAATCCCTTGTCTGAAGTAAACTTTTCATCACATTTTTTTTTCAGTGAGGTTAATTTCATAACTTGAGAGAAGTATCTTTAAGTTCTTATTGAGGGGAGAGACTACGTCGTCTTTATCTTGTCAGCACTTAACGTAATGCCATGGATGAACACATTGTTCCATAAATGTATATCAAATCGAATTAGATTTTTAAAAAACAAGTGATCCAAAACCAAAATATCTCAGTGCTCCTACAAGATTCATATTTTAATCAAAATGTCTTTTAATTTATACCTCACATGGTTACATTTTTAGTGAATATTCTATATTATTATTTATGTTCAGAAAGGTATATTTACCCATTAGTGTTTTAGGCTATATAAAGTTAAAAATAGATTAGGGAAAATAAAGGTGGGTTTTGTTTTGTTTTGTTTTTTAACCACAGGGACAATTTCAGGATCTTTTCCCAGTTACCTAATGTTAAGTGATCCCTGAAAATATTTTGGAACTCAAAGCAATTTTCTTCAACTAAAATCTCCAGGAAAATATATTAGGCACAATTAGTCATTAATTTCAGTACTAAATTGTAACCGACTACCATAACAAGGCACACAAGTACTGTTGTCCAGTGCTCAACAGGAGGGAAGATGTGGTGCGATTCTGGCTTCATTTACCTCTCACTTTCCCTGCTGCTCTCCTGAGACTCTTGTGAAGTAATCAAGAGTGAGAATAAAGAGGCATCATGAAAAACGTACTTATTTTAATAGTTGTGAATTGTTTCTATGACTCAGTGATAATTAAATAAAAATTAATGACTGAAAAAGTAAAAGGTATGAAAAAATTGATCAGTAACACAAAAATTTTCTTCAATTTATTAAAAAAAATCTCATTGGATACATGAAACCATTAACACATTTAGTTCCTAGAAAAGACTAAGAAAACTTTTATATGATTTTGTGAAATTTATCATCTTTTATTAATTATGTAATTCAATTCTGCAATCAACATATTCAGTGATAATGAACATTTTAGAACTTGACTCTGGAAATGTTCATAATAAAACACTTTGAATACTCAATTATACAAATACGATACATACTTTACATTATATTTATCTCCTATTTTTTTCTATTGTTCCATTAGATTCAGTGCCATATTTGGTATTACTTTGAGGTGTATTTTCAAGATACAAAATACTCAGATACAGGTTTATACTGATTTACAGACACTAATGAATATTTAATTCCCAGATATTTAGATGCATTATAATATCATGTAATTTACATCACAATAAGACAACAAAATGCAATTAAGTTGAATATAAGAATCAACTGCCTATCTCTATCCCAGGCAGATGATAACATTTTTTAAAATGCTTATAAAGATGAGAATTTTAAATGTAAACTAATGAAACAGAATTTTCTCATAGGAGTATTATAAACACCTAAGCAAGAATTAATTTCACTACCTAAGTAGGAAATGTCTGTATGTAAACTAAAATAATTGTATTTGAAACTACTTACATGCAAATATACGGATGGAGGCATGGATGGATGGGTGAATAGATAGATGATGGTTTTGTTCATCAGCTTTACAGAATCAGAGGTAGAAATTTAGAAATACATTATTGTTCTTATTTCCCGAAAATTATTTTTGTTTTGTATTTGTATTTCTATTAAGCTTCCATGATGATAATACTGGTAAATTGTGTGTGATGATACTTCAGAAAAATGATAATGCCACATTCAATATTTATTATGCACCAAACCGTGGTCAAGCACTGACTCTGGAATAAAGTCCTAGGGCAGACAGACAATAAACAAAATAGTTGATATCTATAACACGTGCTGTGGCAGTGGGGGAAGGAAGTAGGGGTGGGGGGCAACTGTAATTTTTGTGGTCATGGAGTCCTCACTAAGAAGTTGAGATTTTGATACCACTATAAAGGCTCTAGTCGTGCAGATGTGAATATATTGGCAAGGACTGTAACAGGCAGAGAGCACCACGACAGTGCCAAGGCCCCAAGGAGTGTACCCAGCGTGGTAAGGCAGTGGCTGTGGTCGGATCAGGAGTGAGGGGACGGGTAGCAGGAAGCTCGGGCCGGGCACAGAGGCAGAATGGGATCAGACCATGGTGGCCTTTCACTGGAGACCTGAAGCCCCTGCAGGGCTTTGGGCAGAGAAGCGATGTGACCTGGCCAGTGTAACAGGGGACACTCTGGCTGTCGGTGATGGGAATAGACCATAGAGAGGCAAGCGTGGGTAGAAACGGGCATATTAAAATAGCTGGGTGTGTTTTGAAGACAGAGCTAGCAGGTTTGCTAACGGATTGAATATATGAGAGAATTAGAAGACTCAAGGAGACTACAATTTTGGATTAAAGCAACTAGAAGGAAGGAATTGCTATCAACTGAGACAGGGAAGACCGAAGAGATCAGTTTATTTTTTCCTATTTTTGAGGATTAGGGTAACATGGGAGCTCATTTTCGGACCTGTTGAATTTGAGATACGTATTGGTGGCAAGGACAAGAACGCAATTAAATAAATGACTTTGGAGTCTTATGAGAGGACAAGGTTGGAGTTACCAGTTTGAGAGAGATCAGTATGTAGATGATTTTAAAGCCATGCGGCTGAATAAGATCTTCACAGAGGAAAACACAGGAAAGAAATTCAAGGACCGGACTAGAGACACTCAAAACATATAAAGTCTGAGAAACACAGAGGAACCAGCAAAGGAGACAGAAAGAGTGGCCAGTGAGGCAGGAAGAAAGCTAGAGGAGGTTGGGACCATAGACACTGAGTGAGGAAGGGAAGACCTGCCCACCTATGTCATGGAGACTGCAAACGACATAGATGACATGCAGACTGCAGAATAACCACAGGAGTCAGCAATGGCGCGGCCATTTGTGAGCTTCACAGTTTTTGTGGTGTAGTGGGGGTATAAGCCTGATTGGACTGGGTTAAAGAGAAAAGGAAGTCAAGGAAGTGGAAAGTGGACGGACAGCTTTCAAGGATTTTGCTGAGCAGAGGGGCAGATAATTGGAACCAAGAGAAGAAAGTGGGGTCCATAGCGGGTTTGTTTCCACATGGGAGAAATGACAACACATTTGCACGCTGAGGGGAATGACCTGGGCCAGAGCTGGGAAAGGCGATGGGAAGGGTGGGAAGGGCTGCAGGGAGCAGTGCTTTTGCCATATTTTGGTGTTCCTGCGTAGTGGGTGGCTGTAAACGGCAGCATGAGTAGTTCAGAAATAGGGGACAAGCATAGTATTGGAAAGCAGGTGCTGGGGATGCAAGTATGTGGTGGAGGGAGCTTGTGGAAGGCTTCTCCTGATGGCTTCTGTTTTATCAGTGGCATAGGTCATCAGATGGATGTAGGATGGGGAAGGGTACAGAAGATTTGATGAGCAAATGGAGGGCATGAAACAGCCATCTCGTGAGTATGAAAAGGAATGTATCAGGAAAATGTGATATGATTTCTGAGCATCATTAACCTGCTTGAGATTAGCCTTTATGACTTTAAAGTGGGCATATTAGCATGGCAGCCTCTTGCTACTATAGTACATGGTGTGTTTAATTTATAGGTCAGATGCCCAGCCCTAGGGAGGAAGCCAATAGCTAATCTGGCCATATGGGTTCCTTAGGCCTAATGCTGGTAAAAAGATTGCCTTTTACTATGGGTGGTATCACCAAGACTGAGGGAAATTCCAGTGTGTTGTGGGATGTGGGGATGTGGAGAGATTCTCATTATTCCAGTGACTTGAGCACCGACTCTCTCTTATTTATTGAGGGCTATAGGCATGCAGAATACAGGAGTGAAAAAATAATGTGAGAGGGTTTACAACCAACATACCTTTAGAAACCCTAAAGATTGTATATCTAGAAGGTGGACTGTGGTCCCAGAAGGAAGGTCTAAAGAAAAGAAGGACCAAAAAGAAGAAATGGTGAACAAAGACACTGGTAAACTTGCACCACAAAAACTCCCAAAACGTTCATATGAAATAGTTACAAAAAGGTTTAATTTGTGATGGGGAACAAAAACAGAACTAAAACTATGCACAACAATGGAACATTAATTGAGAGGAGGCTGATCAGTGTTAATTGCTCTAAGTTCTTAGCACTGTTTGGGAGGGGTTAAGATACCAACTTTGATTTATTTAGTTAAGTATGTAGGAAAATTTTCAGGTAAAACCACAGAAATAAAGATGAGTATTATTTCCAAACCAGTAGACAAAAGGAAATAAAAAGGTAGAAAAAAAACCCTAAAAACAAATGAGTAATTTGAGAATCTACCTCCTTCTTCTAAATAGGTTACAAAAGAGAAAAAAAGAAGCACAGAAAACGTGAAACAAGTGGAAGATAAAAAGAAAGCTTGTATTAAACAAATTCAGATATAGCGATGATCACACAAATTGAGAGTGGACTAAGCAAATTGAACAATCTGAGGTTTTTTAGATAGGATTAAATAAGAACCACTATACACTATTGTCAAGACATGGCTAAACAGCTGAAGAGAATGGACACAAACAGATGCTTCCATAATAGACAAAACAAAGCTGAGCAGCAATATTATTATTAATAATAAGTAAAATATCATAATCTTGAAGGTGAAAAGCATTATTACATGTAGGAATATGAAGAATTTAAATGACCAGGAGGAATTTTCCACTCAAAGACCCCTAAGAAAACAAGCTCTGCAGATATGCAGCAGATATTGGAAGATGGACAAAGAGAAATGGACACATTTGCCATCTTGCTGGGAAACTCTGACATACCTCTCTTAGCCATAGATAACAGAAAAATATTAGTAAACACATAGCAGATTTGAATCACACAATTCCAAAATTTGGTTGAACAGAAATGTATCATACCCTGAAACTGACTACTAGAAAATATGTGTTATTTCAGGTGTACATTAACAAAATGCGACCATTAATTAAATCACAAAGTAAACTTCAATACATTTCAAAAAATGCGTAACACAGAGACTACATTATGTGATTGCAGTTAAATTTGAAATTGTCATAAAAGATAAGGAAAACATTTCATATGATTGTAAATGTCAGAACAATTCTGCTTAATTTATGGATCAAAGAATAAATCAAAATGAGAATTAAAATGTATGAAACATTGAAAGATAATTCAAATACTATGAATTAAAACTGGTAGTCTCCATACAGGAAAGCAAAAAGAAAATTATTCTTTTTCAACCCTGTCTGACAACCCATACCCTTTAATTGTAAGGCTTAGTCACCTTATACTTAATGTAACTCTTGTTATGGTTGGATTTAAGTTCACTATATTACTGTTCGGTTTCTGTTTGTCCCACATGTTTCTTGTTTTTGTTTTGTGGTCTTTTAGCTACAATTCTTTGCATTGTTATTATATATTTTTGGAAATTATTCCAGAGATTACCATATGCACCCTTAAATTATTATAGTTTATGCAGTTAATATTGTGCTGTAGCATGTAATATATGAAAATTTTGCATCTGTATACATGCATTTATCTGGTATTTGTATTCTTGTTACTATATATGATATATTCAGGCACACCTCATTTTATTGTGCTTTGCTTTATTGAGCTTCACAGACACTGCATTTTTTACAAATTGAAGGTTTGTGGCAACCCTGCATCAAGCAACTCATTTGGTTACATTTTTCCAACATTTTGTGCCCACTTCATGTCTCTGTGTCCTACTTTAATAATTCTCATAGCATTTCAAACTTTTAAATTATCATCTGTTATGGGGATCTTTGATCAGTGATCTTTGGTGTTACTATTGTAACTGTTTTGGGTCACCACAAACTGCATCCATATAAGACAGCAAATGGTCAATAAATGATGTGTGTGTGTTCTGACTGCTCTGATGACAGTCTGTTCCCCCATCTCTCTCTCTCTCTCTTCCTCTCTTCAGGCCTCCCTATTCCCTGAAACAGAACAATATTGAAATCAGGCCAATTGATAACCCCACAATGGCCTCTAAGTGTTCACGTGAGAAGAAGAGTTGCATGTCTCTCATTTTAAATCAAAAGCTAGACATGATTAAGCTTAATGAGGAGGGCACGTCAAAAGCCAAAATAGGATGAAAACTGGCCCTCTTGCACCAAGCAGTTAGTGAAGTTGTGAATGCAAAGGAAAAGTTCCTGAGGGAAAAGTTCAACTCCAAGGAACACAGAAATGATGAGAAAGAGACACAGCTTCATTAATGTTAGAAGTTTTAGTGGTCCGGACAGAAGATCAAACCAGGCACAACATTCCTTTAATCCAAAGCCTAATCCATAGTAAAGTCCTAACTGTCTTCGATTCTATGAAGGCTGAGAGAGGTGAGGAAGCTGCAGAAGAAAAGTCTGAAGCTAGCAGAGGTCAGTTCATGAGATAAGGAAATAAGCCATCTCCATAACATAACAGTGCAAGGTAAAGCAGCAAGTGCTAGTGGAGAAGCTGTAGCAAGTTATCCAGAAGATCTTGTAATGATCATTGATGAAGGTGGCCACACTAAACAACAAATTCACAGTGTAGACAAAACAACCTCCTATTGAAAGAAGATGCCATCTAGGACTTTCTTAGTGAAGAGGAGAAACGAATGCCTGGCTTCAAAGCTTCAAGGAACAGGCTAACTCTCTTGGTAGGGGCAAATGTAGTGGAAGCCAGTGTTCACTTACCATTCTGAAAATCCTAGGGCCCTTTAGAATCATGCTACAGCTACTCTTCCTGTGCTTTATAAATGGAACAGCATAGTCTGGATGACAGCACATCTCTTTACAGCCTGGTTTACTGAATATTTTCAGCCCACTGTTGAGACCTACTGCTCAGGAAAAAAAATTTCTTTCAAAATATTTCTGCTCACAGACAAAGCACCTAGTAACTTGAGTTCTTTTTTCCAGTATATTTTATTTATCTTTTTAATTTTAGATTTAATGAATACATGTACATATTCATTATATAGGTATATTGTGTAATGCTGGGGATTGGGCATCTGGTGTAACTGTCACTCAAATACTGAACATTGTATTCAATAGGTAATCTTTCAAACCTCACCCCTCTACCCCTCTATTCCATCCCTCCTTTTGGAGTTCCGACTGTCTGTTATTTCCATTGCTATATCCATGTGTACCCATTGTTTAGCTCCCACTTATAAGTAAGAACATGCAATATTTGATTTTTTGCTTCTCAGTCAGTTCTCAGAAGGGCTCCATCCTTGTTGCTGCAAAAGACATATTTCATTTTTTACTGCTATGTAGTATTCCATGGTGTGTGTGTGTGTGTGTGTGTGTGTGTGTGTGTATATATATATATAAAACTTATCTAGTCATCTGTTGATGGGACACTTAGGTTGGTTCTGTGACTTGGCTATTGTGAATAGTGCTTCAATAAACAAACAAGTATAGCTGTCTTTTTATATAAATATTTTTTTTTCATTTGGGTAGATACCCACTGGTGGGACTGCTGGGTTGAATGGAAGCTCTATTTTTAGTTCCTTGAGATATTTCCATGGTGTTTTCCACGGAGATTGAACCAATCTACATTCTCACTAAGAGTGTACAAGTTTTCCCTTTGTCTGCATCTGGTTAATAGTAGCCATTCTGACTGGTGTAAAGTGATACCTCAGTGTGGTTTTAATTTGCATTTCCCTGATGATTAGTGATGTTGAGCATTTTTTCATGTGTTTGTTAGCTGCTTGTATATCTTCTTTTGAGAAATGTCTGTTTATGTCCTTTGCCCACCTTTTAATGGGATTGTTTTTTCTGGTTGAGTTGTTTGAGTTTCCTGTAGATTCTGGATGTTAGTCTTTTGTTGAAGACATAATTTGCAATTATTTTCTCCTATACTGTATATTAGTTTACTCTGTTGATTATTTTGTTGCTGTACAGAAGCTTTTTAGTTTAATTAATTCTGATCTATCTTTTTTATTTTTGTTATATTTGCTTTGGTGTCTTTGTCATAAATTTTTTGTTTAGACCCACATCTAGAGGAGTTTTTCCTAGGTTTTCTTCTAGGAATTTTATAGTTTTAAGTTTTACATTTATGTCTTTAATTTATCTTGAGTTAATTATTGTATATGGTGAGAGATAGTGGTCCAGTTTTATTTATCTGCATGTGGTTAGCCAATTTTCCCAGTACCATTTACTGTCTTTTTTTATTGTTTATTTTTTCAACTCTGTCAAAGACCACTTAATTGTAGGTATGTGGCTTTATTTCTGCATTTTCTATTCCATTCCATTGCTCTATGTATCTATTTTATGCAAAAATCATGCTGTTTTAGTTACTATAGGCTAGTATTATAATTTGATGTCAGACAGTGTGATGCCACTAGATTTGTTCTTTTTGTTTAGGACTGTTTTGGTTATTATGACTCTTTTTTGTTCCATATGAACTTTAGGATCTGTTTCTAAATTCTGTGAAAAATGACATTGGTAATTTGATACGAATTGAATTGGATTTATATATTGCTTTGGGCCATCTGGGCACTTTAATGATCTGAGAGTTCTGATAGCGATGTACAAGGAGATTAATGTGTTTTCTTGCCTGCTAATACAATATCCATTCTGTAGCCCATGGATCAAGGAGTAATTTGACTTTCAAGTCTTATTATTTGAGAACTACATTTCATAAGGCTATAGCTGCCATAGATAGTGATTCCGCTGATGGATCTGGGAAAAGTAAATTGAAAACCTTCTGGAAAGGATTCACCATTCTAAATGCCACTAAGAGCATTCATGATTCATGGGAGGAGGTCAATTTATCAACATTAATAGCAGTTTGGAAGAAGTTGATTCCTAAACTCATGGATGATATTGAAGTTCAAGACTAAAGTGGAGAAAGTATCTGCAGATGTGGTGGGAATAGCAAGGGAACTAGAATTAGAAGTCGATGTGACTGAATTGCTACAATGTGATGATAAAACTTGAAGTTGTTTGTTATGCGCAAGCCAAGAAAGTGGTTTCCTGAGATGGAAATGACTCCTGGTGATGATGCTGTGAATATTGTTGAAATGACAGCAAAGGGTTTAGAATATTACATAAACTTAATTGACACAGCAGTAGCAGTGTATGAGATTATTGATGCCAATTTTGAAAGAAGTTCTACTCTAGGTTAAATGCTGTTAAACAGCATCAAATGCTACAAAGAAATCTTTCATGAAAGGAAGAATTGCTGTGGCAAACTTCATTGTTGTCTTGTTTCTTAAAATTGCCACTGCCACCGCAACCTTCAGCAATCGCCACCCTGATCAGTCAGCAGCCATCGACATTGAGACAAGACCCTTCACAAGCAAAGTGATTACAACTCTCTGAAGGCTCAGATGATTATTAGCATTTTTTAGCAATTAAGTATTTTTAAATTAATACATATTGATTGGGTTTTTTAGACATAATGCTCTCACACACATAATAGACAGCAGTATAGTGTAAAGATAACTTTTATATGCACCAGGAAACCAAAAATTATTTGGCTCACTTTATTGTGATACTCTTATTGAGGTGGGCTGGAACTGAACCTGCAATATCTCTAAAGTATGCCTGTATTGGTTACAAACTCCACCAAACACTACTGTAATTTTTGTTTAAAAAGTCATGTATATTTTATTCTTATTATTAGTAGTATTACGTAGAGACAGCATCCAGCCTGAGTGCAGTGACAATCATGGCTCACTGCAACCTCGACCTCCTAGGCTCAAATGATCCTTCCACTTCAGACTCATGAGTAGTTGGGACTATAGGCATGTACAATATAGTATTGTTAATGATAGTCACCATGCTGTGCATAAACATAGTTGAGAGAGCAGCCAAAGAAAAGTTTAGATGAAGTTCACATGTATATTTGAGGGGCTCCCACCTTTGCTGCTCCTCTCTTCTGGAATTTTATACCTTATTTTCAGGCTCCTATAACAGCCCCAAAGTCAGACCTCTAACTGCTGTCTGATTTTTCAAGCTTGTAAACTGTGGCTATCTTCTTCAATCCTGGTTGTCCCATATGATGTGGACAAGGTGGTGCCCTGAGGCAAAAAAAAAAAAACCACACAAATGCAAATATCACCCAGTATAGTCCACCTCTTTCAAGGGTTGTTTTCCCTCCGTTGTCTACCCAACATTGGCCATTTGCCAGTGGCTTCAAATATTTTAAAAATAGTATTAAAATAGTTTTTTTTTCCTTACGGCAGGTTATTCTGATAGTAGTTACTCTGACATCATTCTATACTTTATAATAGCACATATTAGGTGCTCAAAATTGCAATGAGTAGGTACGTGACTCTTTAAATGGTTTATATATTGTTAAATATTGACAGCTACCTTAAGTACTTCTTAAAAATAATAGCTGACTACTATTTTAAGTTTTCAGATAAGGCCATAGTTTGAAATACATCAAAAAGTCAAAGTAGAGGTATATTTTGTATAACTTTGAAACTGAGGTGTGTTTAATAGAAAAATGTTCTAGCTTGATGAAGTAAATAGCCATACTATAAACATTTCAGTGTGTTGGGAGAAAAACTGACACTCTAGATGCTCATAAAATTCCACCCAAGGAGGAAAGGTGAATTTAATAAAAAATGAGGAAATGAGTTTATCTCCCTTTATCTCCCTATTTATGATTATGGATAAGAAAAACACATTCTTAAGACCTGAAATGAGGTAGAATAGAATAGATAATTTAATAAAAATTTGCATAATATTCTCTAGTGGGGCTTTTCTTTTTATTTCATTTTGAAATTACTTATGATTATCGATTATTAAATTTATAGCTCCTATTTATAAATTAAGTTTTCGGTCTGTAATTTATGTTGCTTTTGTATCTGTTTACACAAACCCCAAAGTGCTTGTGATTTATTTGTTTATCTTAAGAATGGAATAAAAAGGCTTACTGTACCTTTGAAGACTATAAATAATCTTGACATTGTTCTGTAGGACAGTGTGGAGAGTAGTGCTGCCTGAGGCTTTCACACTGTGAAGAGTTTCATCCTATTCATAAAGCACTGGGCTGCTTGGTGGCAGTATCAGATCCCTGACACCAGACAGCAGAGCTAGTATGATGAAGAGCCACAGCCCTCATTTTGAGGGCTATTATTCTTATTATTCTTAGTCTGAAACCATGCCCAAGAATATGGCAGCTCCAAAACTGTTATAGGCGGACTTCTCAATTCCCCGCAACAGCCGCCCACCAACTGCCAATGGTTTCTTCTACTTTGCTGTGCAAAGGTGGCACGGGCCCACCTCTTCGGCATGGATTTGCCTGACTCTGCTCAAAGATCCCCACGGTGTCCCTCTCCAATAGGAGAAAAGGGCAGACATCTTTCCTAAGGAGATGGAGGAGACAAAAATTATTCTAAATGCCCCAAATCTCAACCCTCAGACTATTTGTCACTGATTATATAAAACGGAACAGAGGGCGGGCTGCGGTGGCTCGCGCCTGTAATCCCAGCACTTTGGGGGGCTGAGGCGGGTGGATTACTAGGTCAGGAGATGGAGACGGTCCTGGCTAACACAGTGAAACCCTGTCTCTACTAAAAATACAAAAAATTAGCCAGGCGTGGTCGTGGGTGCCTGTAATTCCAGCTACATGGGAGGCTGAGGCAGGAGAATCACTTGAACTCAGGAGGCAGAGGTTGCAGTGAGCAGAGATCGTGCCACTGAACTCCAGCCTGGGTGACAGAGTGAGACTCCATCTTAAAAAAAAAAAAAAAAAGTAAAGAAAGAAAAAGTAAAAAAGAAACAGAGACACAGACACCCTGGGCATAGGAATAATGAACTTTCACAATAACAAAAAATGAAAGAAAACACCTCCCCGAGGGAGCATCCACAACACAGCAAAGCATTTCACTTTGGGCACAAAATTATTGAAACCTTATCATGTTATTTTTGACATATCTGAAATCTCCTTGGATAACCACAACTCCGTCAATCCTATTCTGTTATGCTTTGATTGCATTGATTTTTCTGAAGGTTGGGTTTTTATTGTGATGGCAGTAGGGAGAGAAAGAAGCTATTGATAGCAAAGGTATAGTGTAATCTGTAGCACTAAACCAAAATGAGGACATATCATTCAGTAAAGAATGTGTATGCCACTTCTAAGTATAAAAATAAATCTTGGCAGATGAGGCTTGAGTATCAAAATATTGGAATTTCCAAGATAATATCATAGTTTTTGGGGCCAATAATATAAAAAAGTATTTCAGAAAACTCAGGGTCACGTCGGTGTATTCAGAGCACAGAGTCACCGTGGGTGTAGTGTACAGGGCAACAGTTTATTGAAGAACTGCTTCCAGGTTTATTGAAGAACTGCTTCCAGGTTTATTGAAGAACTGCTTCCAGGTTTATTGAAGAACTGCTTCCAGGTTTATTGAAGAACTGCTTCCAGGTTTATTTGAAGAACTGCTTGCAGGTTTATTGAAGAACCGCTTCCAGGTTTTCTCTGAATGGCTTACAAAGAGCATGGAGCCAAAAAGACGAGGTGAGACTGCTGTGATTGTGACAATGGACAAGGCCCACGGAAACTCTTTTATAGTCACTGTCGCTGTATATAACTACCCAGTGCGACTTGCCTGGGAAAACATTGGTTCAAAACCAATGAAGCAAAGATTCTGTTGTATTATATTCTATGAAAATGAAATAAATCAACAAAATAAAATCATAGTGTACATCTAATGTGTGTTTTCTCCGTATACTCAGTTCTGTCCCCAAATTGTGGGATTAAATGGCATGGAAGAGAAAAACGGAAAAGACTTCCACGAACTGAACCAGTGTTCTCAAGGGCCTGCAGCGTCGAGGTGATTGGAAGGCCCCTTCTTACCGTGTCGGGGTGCCAAGTGACGCCTTGTAAGTAATAAATCTCTGATTTTGATTTTAAAGTCCTACCGGGCAGGATAATTCTTTTTGTATGGTTCCTAGAGCGGCGCTATGAGCATTTGAACATTTAATCAGTGCTACTTGATAATGAAGATAAGGTTTAACAGCACAGAATCAAATTGGTCCTGAGAGAAAAATATCTGACTCTCAGAACTAAGTGCTTTCTTCTGAGTTGCTGCAGAGCGTCTTCCCCAGCTCATCAGTGTGAAACATCCTCAGGTGAAGAGCCAGTTTCACACACCTTGAACCACCCCCAAGGTCAGGCCCAGGGACGGCTAAGAATAGAACACAGATTACATGGTCCACTTCACCGATAAACCTAGAAAACCAACAGTGATTCTTAAAGGGTCACTCGTGCATAAGGCCATTTTGCAGGAAGGTCATGCTGCCCCCAAACTGCCAGAAACCGAGAAGCACTCAAGGCCCAGAGGTCCTTAAAATGACTTGAGAGACTGATGAAAAGATAATTCACCTCTACTATCTAGGACACAGCTCCTTTCCTACGTGAGCGAATACAGTAAGCGCTGCCTCTTCACTCATCAGCATCGCATTTCCAAGTGCAGGCAAGGTCCTGACAAGCGGTCAGGGCCCAGGGCAGTCGCACGGGCTGGGAGGCAGGGCTGCGAGGTCCCGGGCAGGATTCCTAGGGCCGGTTCCAACTCTGGCTTTGTCTTCGTTGTTTCCTGCCTCAACCTGTTTTCAAATTCGACTAATTCTATGAGCTACCCAATATCCTAACAGTGTTTTTCTTGTTACTGTAACTGGAATCAATTTCTTGTTTTTCTTTTTTTTTTTAATGGAAGAACCTTAAGATATGAGTGATTCATAAACGTCTTCACTATCAAGGTATATTGACAGATAGAATAGTTCAACTTGGAACAGAATTTATTAAATGATACCATTTTGTTTAAATATATTAATATACGCATGGCAAAATAGAAAAATGGATACTAAACATTTCATAAGGTATGTATGACACCTTTGGAGAATAGAATTATAGGTTTCTTTCTTTTACCTCCTTATATATTTCTGTGTTTTCATTTTTTAACCAAACTATATTACTACGAAATAAGAAATTGAAATACTCATTACTAGAAAAGTTCATCAAAGAATCTGTATTTTCACAACCCTTCTAATCCACATGCTCTTGTCGCTTCAGCTATTAGATACGGTTGTGTTTACATGCAGAGCAGTAGCTCATTAAAGACCAGCGCCCAACCGCAGATGAGGGAGAGCAGGAGCAGAGCTCCTTATGATCAGGAGGTCACAGGTAACAATAGAGGTTGTGCATGGCTATTTACTAAAGAGAATTAGAAGTAGAAATTTAGCATGTTTTGTAGAGGGGTTGGGGAATGGGGGGGGTGGAGGGGGAGAGAGAGAGAGAGATTGAGAGAGAGAGAGATCAGCCTAAGACCAATAATTGAAATTCACCTAAAAAACTAACTAGCAGACATTGAGCTCTACTAACTGTCAGGTACTGCAATAGATAGTTTTACTTCCTTGTTTTTCCATTAACTCTTCTTTTAAAATTTTTTTGGTTGGTTAATTAATTTTTGTGTGTGTCAGTGAAAAAATATATTGAATTTCACCAGCTCTTAAGTGCAGAACTAAGACTTAAGCCCATGATCTCTGACTCTAAGTTCATTGCTTCTTTCGCTCAATCCACACACGCAAGGATTTAGTGAACTATATGTGAAATTTACAAGGCACCCTCAGTTTTGGGATCAAATACAAATTCTCTAACATCTGGGCTGTTGCATCCAGGAGAGATTTTGGCAGTAGATAACTTGGCAGCTGTCAGGCAGCTCCCATCTTCAGCTAAAGCAACTCACAGCCTCCTGCTCAGTGCTGTCTTGAATGTCCAGCCTTGTGAGGTTTACGGGCTCTCCTACAACAGATAGATGTGTTCTCCCATTATCCAAACCCTTTAGGAAAGAGTGGTTCACAGTTTGGGTGAAAGAAGGAGCTCAGGGTTTCAATTTCATAGATCTCATACCTCGGGCTCTGGAATTCCTCATATTGTTCTCATCCTTCCACATTAGGAAGAAGCCTCAGTATGAGGTGGAATTATTGGTGGTTGATTAAATACTCCTGTTGTTAGTAGGGCACATTATTTAAGTATGTTGTGTTTGATGTTTTGTTTTTAGGTTCAATGACAGATGGGCAATTCCATTCCTATCTAGTCTTGTTTATGACCAGGACATACCATTTACAAGATGACTTAGCTCAAGCTACAGCCATCTCTGCCACTAAAGAGAGCTAGCTGGTGTCCATGGACGGATTTCACTACATGAGCTTAGTGACTGTACTCTCTCAGTTCTGAGGGACAAGAGAGAACTCAAGTAGAGCACCCGAGTCCCACACGCCATCCTCCCTGCCCCTTTGTGGAACAGAAGCCCTACTTTCTCTTGATGATAGTGTCAGTTACATTTGCCGAGTTGGTGATTTTTTTGCTTGGCTGCTACTTCCTAGTGAACCCAAAGTGGCTTGGAACCCAAAGTGGCCAAGCAGCAATCACAACTTATTGCTGAATAGGACTCTTGTGTCTTCTGATGAAAGTGCTACCCTTTGAGGACTAGGATCTCTAACCCTGTAGAGCCTAGAGTCGCCAGAATGGAAAGCCCAAAGTCTCCTAGTGCCTACAGAGAATGATGGTAAGCAAGTTCACTTCTGATTTCGCTCCTGGCTTATCTGACCTATGTATTGTTCCTATTTGGGACACAGTGCTATTTAAAGTCTTTGCTGCAATGTGGATGCTGCATTCTGGAGGATTGTGACTCATCTTTATAAAACGTCACCACTGAGCTGGTGCTTCCGCTTTACTGTTAGCAGGCCTTCTAATGTTCTACTGTACCTGCAGCTTTCAGGGGCATATTGTGTAATATGAAAGATGGATCCCATGCCATCCTGCTTTCAAATGCCCTTTGCTATGAAGTGGATCCACTTATCTGATATAATGCTGTGTGGAATCCTGTGACAGTGGATCAAACAGTCTGTAAGCCCTTGGAGTAGGAAAGGCAAACCCAAACATGGAATATATGTCTACTTCTGTGAGAATGCATTGTTTCTCTTTCCATAGTAAAACAGATCCTTTTCTCTAAGTGGCCATTTGGTCATCTTCAGAGATGGTGCCATCTTGGGTACCTTGTGTGGGCCTCTGTTGCTAGCAAGTTGGACGTTTGGTGAAGAAATAGCTTGACCAGACTTGCTGAGCAGAAGCCCATACATCGCCTCCGTTTATTTCACTGTGATCACTTTGTAGTTGTGCTCTTTGTGCCAGGGCTGGAGTGGCCACTGACGGAGGCTCACTGACGTCCATTAACCAAGTTATTCTGTCTACTTGGGGTCTAGTGTCGTTTGTATGTGGATGTTCTCTTGTAGGTGTTAATGTGTGATCTTTATACTTAGTGTTCATGCCCATTTGGCCACCTACATGCCTCTATCTCAGACATCTTCGTCTTTGATAATTTAGATGTCTTCTTCCAGGTGTCTGAACAGCTTGGCCAGGCCATCCGCCACTGTTCATGAATCTGTATATAATCTACCATTGGGCCACTTTTCTGCCTGAAACTCTGCCCACTGTGGGAATATTTCCTCACCACAGTGTTTTAAGGCTATGCCTAAGTCATGCTGTAATGGGTAGCTCTTCTCTAATTTTGGGTTGCATCCACGCTCCCAGTCAACTCATCTATAATTCAACCTTGGATTTTCTTTTTCCTCCCGTCAGATATTTACAAGAAATTTCCCTCTCCCGCCACAGGGACATAAGTATGACATGAGAGAGAGGTGCTGCGTGATGAGGGAAACATGGAAATCTGGGATGCCTGGTTGTGCAATTTGCTTGTACTCGCTGGTTCTGCTCATATTCGATCCTGAATGTATCACTTTCATCAGATGATGGCGTTTTTTCTGGGTCCACCTGATCCAGTTGACATGCTGCACTTGATGTACCATGGTCAGGTTCTCTTACTGTAGCAGGGCCCAGTAATATGCCAGGAATTGTTTCTTCAGTGGTTTCCTTCTCCACTGCAGACGGCTTGGCAATGCTTCACACCTCTGGGGGCCTGTGCTGTGATTTCCTCACGGGGCTTGCCATATATTCCACATGGCATATTTTCCTACTGCAGAAAACTCTAATATCATAGGGTCTCCTGAGCTGAGTGGCCCAAGTGGCAGGGCTGCATGCACCGAAGTCTGGATGTGATGCAGAGGTTTCTTGCCTGTGTCTACTTTAAGCTGGCAGCCCTTCTTGTCAGTAATAAATGGGC
The DNA here is from genome assembly GCF_000001405.40 of Homo sapiens. NCBI lineage: Eukaryota > Metazoa > Chordata > Mammalia > Primates > Hominidae > Homo > Homo sapiens. The sequence continues at coordinate 187,331,866 of NC_000004.12, read as the reverse complement.
CCGATCAGTATTCTCAGGTGTGGATTATGTGACCTCCAAAACCCAAAGAGACTGAAATTTCTTCATGGGGTGTAAGATGAAATAATTTATCTTTTAATTTTCATGGCATGCCTGTGACTATGCTTAAAATTTTTACTGATGTCAAAAGAATTCTGAATATTCACATGGTTCATCTCTCACCCTCTGAAGCCCATATGTCCAAACAAGGCATCCAACATACTAGCCACTTGCATATCCGCTCTGACTAACGTGATATGGTGGATAAATGTGATAATCTGCGGGTTATCCTGACAGTTCAGATCACTGCAGATTATGTTATGACAGGGGGAGGGGAATTAACATTGTCCCAGGCAAAACTGTAGATAGACACTTTTGTACGTTACATGTGAATGCAAACTGTTTAGGATTCTCTTTTCTGATAGAAATAGAAAAACAATCATTGGCTAAATCAAGGTCACATAGCATGTACTTCAGGTCCTATTCGTCAGTTCTATTAAAGATGTAAGCATGGAGGCTGCAATTCAGACGATGATGTGTCATCCTCGGGATCCTCTGGTTTCTGGAGGAGCCAGACTGTTGAGTTAAACAGAGATATGAGAATTATCCTTCAGATCTCATGGGGGGGCACTAATTTCTGTTCTCCCCCTCCTCACCCTGAGGTGCAATACTAATTTACTATTTTGGCTGTATAGGAGACTAGTTTCAGGGACATTCGCCTAGTCTTCCCACAATCATTGTTCTTTTTCTGTAGGCAAAGGATCCAATGTGGGACTGTAACTAATACCAAATATGTCTATTCCAATTATATATTTGAGGGCTGGAAAAATTACTCTTGAGTGGGTTAGCAGACCATGTGGACCCACTATGAGGCTGGTGTTGAACAGAATATCATTTTCTCCCTGCCCCTCATATTGCCTCACACTAGCAAAGGGACTCTAATGCTGTTTCAGGTCTCCAGGTATTAATATCAAGTCAGGCTTTGTTACCAGCATTCCCCATTTTTAACGTCCATTCTCCAGTGTGAGGTAAGCTGAGTTAATGGCCCTAGGTTCTTCTGGGGAAGGACAGAGAGAATCATTCCTTATAACCACTTGCCATGGTGTTACAGGGTCCTTCCTCCTGGAGACCTCATTCTTCTTCAATCAAGGGGTTCTAAGTCTGAAAACTGGCTCTGGTCCAGAAGTAAGACACAGGAAGCTGTCTATCCCTGTAGATGGCGGAGAGCTGGAGACTATCTCTCAAATCAGCACCTCAGCAGGGAAGGCATTACAGCCTTCCTTGAAGGGCGATCTGGTGGTGGATTGTTTTGCTACTACACACTCTCATTTATTTTAAAAACAAAATTCTCTTCGGGAAAACACATTAGTCTAAAGAAACCTCAATCAGTACTAGTTTTAGATAATTATAGGAGGAGCCTGTCAGATTTAGTGAAAAAGGAGACAGAGATTGCACACACCTTAGTGATTATGCCTGAGAGTGTGGCCTCACTATTGCAAGTGTTAGACATCATTATCAAAAGACCTTGAAAGATAACCCTTAAAAGCAATAACAAAAGTGGTTACATTGTGAGATCAAAATTAGATACACACAAAATTAAAAAAAAAAAAAGAAAACCAAAACCGTTTTAGTGCTATAGGAATTGACAGTCAACGATTATAACCAAATATTCAGTGGCAACATCCTACACTGACTCAAAAATTTCAATATCTCAAGAAACTGAAATGTAAGTGAAGATCTTGGACTGTAGGGAAAGGGTGAGACGATTCAAGAAGTGAACCTAGCAACAATCAAGTCTCCGATGTTAGAGGTGCAGATGAACAAGATGGCTAAGTGGTTTCTCCCTCCCTTGGTCCCGAGTGTGTCAGGCTCATGGTGTGGGGCTCTCCTGATCCCATGATCCATGGAAAGGCCTACGGTTTTCCTGGTGATCTTCTTGTGGCACTAAGCTTGGAACCATGTGACAGCTTTTCCAGAAATAGCCAATGCTGCTCTTCACTATAGCTAATCCGATCTATGCAGAATCACATTTTAACTCAAATAGGGAGAGTCACAAAGGAGAAAATATGGTATAGGAGAAATACTCAGAAACATGGAGAAGACAAAGAGGAGAATGGAGCGGCAGAAAACTTGACTTTAGAATTAGCAAAAATGTAGAAGAATGAAAATTCTGTGTGTGTGTGTGCGTGTATAATATTGCTTAGAGATAAATGCATTTGTTATTTTTGGCATTTTATTTTATTGTATGCTTTGGAGCTTTGTAGACAGCTTTAGGAAATCTCATTTGGTGGACAGTTGGCCTATTTCCTACAGTTTATCAGAGTCCTATTATACTTCAGTTCTCTCCTAAAGCATTTACTCTTGGCTGTGGATTGTCCGCAAATTCAATTAGCACACTCTCAACTCAATTTACCAAGTATTTAATAGCAAGACTGAGCAGAATGAGATTGAAAAGGGATTCCTCTAACACGCAAGGTGTAGTTAGGCTACTGAGAATAACTGCAATTCATATTCTAAAATTTTCCCCTTAAGATTGGGTTAAAATCAAAACTATTATTGTAACAGAAATAACAATAACCGACATTAGTATAGTACACATATTTCTACAAAACTGGTTCACAGCCATCATTTTTGTTATTCTTTTCAATAACCCTTTGAGGGCAACTAAGCATTACCGAATACATTCTTGATACAATATTGATCTGACTGGGGAAAATGTGAAAACAACCATTTATCTTTGTAATACTGATAAGAAAGCCTAAAATGGCTTGGGCAGTTTGTAATGCACTAAAGTTTACATTTTGCTCAATATTTTAGCATAGCCTTTTAACCCAGTTCCATAATAACAAACCATGCTTTTCTTGTCTCAAAGTATCCTCATCTATCTGTCATCTAACAAACTACTGGCTATTGTTTTCACAAATATGAAGGGGAAAATAGCAATCATCATTTACATTTTCTAATAGTAGATATCTATCCATGCATGCAACGGAGGAGTGCGGAATCACGCTGCCCTACACCTGCTAGTTTGGCATCTACTTTAGGAGGCTGCTGTATCTGATCATCCTCAGCTGACTTCTTCATTCCACTTCTCCTGCAGAAACCTTTGTGCAAAGTATTTGCACTGACTGCAGAATGAATGAAGAGGCTACATGGAAAACTTCATTGAGCTTCCTTTGACTCCCTGGAATTCAAAACCATCAAATACTTTTTTTTTTTTTGAAACTTCAGAATGTTACTCTAAGAACTAAGCCTACTCTGGACAGATAGCACATTTTCCTGCATTCCCAGCAGCAAGGAGTCACAAGGAATTGTTTTAGAAACCTTTGGCCCCAACCTTCTCTGACCGTGATCATGTATTTTAAAGTTACCATGATGCCAACACAGATTTATACTGCTCTTCCTGGAGGAAAAACCGTAGTATCTCTGTGCCTTAAGACATAGTTATGGTTTTAAATTCCAGCCATTATTTCTCAAGGAATCTACCGTGGACTCTGTGGTGGCTTTTATAATAGACATAGCACATGCCTATGGGCCACCTGGCCTTGTGGACTGCTTGGCTCAAGCCGCCCCCTGGGTTCATGATGCTCTCCCTTGCCTGGCTCACTCGTCTCTTTCCTAACAGAAGCTGCTGATGGAGACAGTGCAAGCCTTCATCTTTCGCAAATTTCTGACCCTCTCTGGATGTGTATGGAGATCCCCAAGGCCCCAGAGCAGTGCTCTATAGTTAGGGGTTTCTCCTCTGCACCCAAATTTTCCACCTCTAACCTAAAAAGGCTGAAGGCTTTATAGGAGCCTGCTCTGATTCCATGGAAATGAGTCTATATTTGTAAAAGGCTTTGCTGAAATCCTTGATATTTTTCATGACACTGAGATTTTATGAGAATATTATTTCTCAATCAATCCCATCTCTCTTTTTCTCTTTCAAAACTTCATGTCATCTTTGTTACTCTCTAAGGTGCTTTTATTCCCTTTTGCAATCAAGGCTGGGCAAGCCACCAGGCAGATGTTATAAATGTCTCCATCTCTGTGAGAAGATATATGCAGTTTTAACATGACCCATAAGACTGCAGTTATGATGCAGCTTTACCATGACCCAGATAAGAAAGTCTTCAGTAACACAGAGGAGAGTTTAATTATCACATCAAAATTTTGCTATGTTTTTTTCAATGCACTTTGGCTGTGAACCCAAGTGCAAGGTGCAAAATAAATTTTAGTGCCATTGTCTTAATTTGGGTCCCCATAAAGCAAAGGTTGTGTTGGCATATGCTACTCTTTTGTTAGGGAGTGTAAACTTAGGGAGACAGGAGTGGAGGGAAAAGAGTAGTGATATAGGAAAGGAGGGAGAGTTACCCACTTCTAGTTACCAGTTACTCTTGCCTAGTCAGCCTCCCAGGCAGTCCCATGTCCATGGCAATCCTTGCTCACCTAATGGCAGTGATCAATGGAAGACAGTTATATATTTTCCAAAATAGAAATTCACATCACTCTTTAAATTGTATCCGGAAATAGACTTAATATCCAAGCAATGCCATCATAACTTTAGTAATAACATGGCATGACTTATTTACTGACAACTTTGAAATGATTCATTTTTTTCAGAGTTGATGAAATCCATAAATTTAAATTAGTGTAAGATTTAAAGCCTAATTGATAATCTCCTCTCTCTTCGCACCCTTCTCCCTGTGCCACAAACACACACGTGTACTAGAAAGGCCCCCTAGAAAACAAGAGGTATTTATGGTTAGAGGGAAAAAAATGAGATAAAAAGAGCCACACGCCATGTTTGTAGAGACAATGTAGGGTCTCTTGTTTGCAATGACCCCTGAAAACTCTTAAAGAGGAAAAAGGACATCTTCCCATGTCTTGTATGCACACACTAAGGAACTGATTTAACTGATGGGTTCAATATATTTCTGAATGTAATGATTGATATGGTTCGGCTGTGTCCCCCCCAATCTCATCTTAAATTGTAGCTCTCATAATTCCCATGTGTTGTGGGAGGGACCCAGTGGGAGACGATTGACTCATGGGGGCAGTTTCCCCCATACTGTTCTCATGGTAGCGAATAAATCTTACAAGATCTGATGGTTTTAAAAGGTGAAACCCCTTTCGCTTCGTTCTCATTCCCTCTTGTCTGCTGCCGTGTAAGACGTGGCTTGTGCCTTTCGCCTTCTGCCATGATTATGAGGCCTCTCCAACCATGTGGAACTGAGTCCATTAAGCCTCTTTTTCTTTATAAATTACCCAGTCTCAGGTATGTCTTTATCAGCAGCGTGAAAACCGAGTAATACAACGATTGAATTAGAATCAAGTGAATGGCCACAACTAAATGCTACAAAAATCCCAGGCTTTTCTCACACTGTGATTTTATCTCAGCTTAGAAGTTCTGACTAGTTATTTCATTATTCACACATGTAATATAGTCATCCTATCTATAAGCTCAGTAGTTAACATTTGACCTCATTTGTTGTGTTTGTTTTTCAAATAATGAAGCACCTGTGAGCCATACATCGTCACTATTTTTCCTGATTTGCAAAATTCACTTCCACCCTTTTAAGGCCGAGATACCTTTAGCTAGATCAAATTTAATGAGATGACCTCTCTTGCATAATTCCCATCAAAGATGTACAGAGAGATGCTCTTTTACTACATGGATAATTATCAACCAATTTTCCAAAATGCTCAGCAACATGCCTGGAAGAAAACTCACATAGATTGATGTATGTGATGAGAAATTATTTCCACAATTTCTTATTACTTCACTCAATCTGCTCGTGGCCATGGAAAACACAAACATGGAGGAATGTGTTTTAAAACAGTAGCAACTGGATGAATGGGTCATTTGCCTGAAACGCAATAAAACAGGAGATTTTGGTTTCTATTATAATAAATATCTGCAGGATGGTGATGTGTGACGTAGCTCAAGGAATCTTACCCTGGGCTCGATGAGCAGCAAGAGGCTCCGCAGACCCATCCCTATATTTATTCCAGGTGCATTTTCACATGTACCAGTGCCCTATTCATGTGAATCCCTGCTGTATTACTACTAGGTAAGCAGAGGTGGGTAGGTGTTGTGGGATGCAGGAAGATGGATATTTGAATGGGAACAGGAACATAGCAAGCAAGTATGGCAAAGTTCAAGGGCAATTAGCTCTGAAGGCAGATAGGACTCACAATGTGGTCCTCATGATGAAACAATTGCTTCCCTCTGTTCTGCTGTATGTGCTTATTGGTTGATAGCCTAGAGGAATAATCCTTGAAATTTCTGACTTATAAACTCAGCATATCTAACTGAGAAAAATCCTGGGGGTGTAAGAAAGGGGGGAAATCAACACAAAATCAGTGTGTGAAACACTTCAAGGAGAATACAGTACCAGGTCAGAAGCAGAATACTTTATAGAGGTAGAGTTGGTTCCTAAAAGACTGCAAAATCTTTGTTCAAAGGAACAGATAAAAGAAACTTGAGTGCAGTTTTGAACGTAGTAAAGACTTTGTATTTGATAACATTACCTTATTGTTACCCACGTACCTCTGATATAGCTGTATTATTTTTTAGGGCTATCAGAAGTCAAAGTTAGTACTAAGTTTTCTATTAGTGTAGAATATCTGAGTTGCTAGGTTTTGAAAAGGGACATCTTCTCAACTTCTACTAAAATCGAAAATGGATTAGAATGCTGATTCATTTGAGAATTTTATTCTCTCTTTCTTTCTTTCTTTCTTTCTTTCTTTCTTTCTTTCTTTCTTTCTTTCTTTCTTTCTTTCCTTCTTTCATTTATTTTGAGACAGAGTCTTACTCTCTCACCTAGGCTAGAGTGCAGTGGCGTAATCTCGGCTTGCTGCAACCTCCGCCTCCTGGGTTCAAGCAATTTTCCTGCCTCAGCATCCCCAGTAGCTGGCACTACAGGCACGTGCCACCACGTCCAGCTAATTTTATTTTTAGTAGAGATGGGGTTTCACCCTGTTAGCCAGGATGATCTTGATCTCCTGACCTCATGGTCTTCCCGCCTCAGCCTCCCAAAGTACTGGGATTACTGGCGTGAGCCACCGCACCTGCTGAGGATTGTATTTTATTTCTGTACTTGTCATTCATTTTTTTCTCCAGAAGAGCTTGAAATACTAAGAATTTAAGAATTTTAAAAGGTGATTCGATACCCAATTAAATAGAATGATGAAAGTTTAATGTAACAAAATTAACAACGTATGAAGGATAATATTTTAGATATTTGATATTTGACAATTTTTGTTTGTTTTCCACACAGGATGCCCTGTTTGCGTTGTAAGCACGGCGTTATTCCTCAGCTTTACTGACACTCTCTGAACAGCACTGTGACATCAGTGATCGTTTTTATGCCTGAAACTGGGTTTCAGCCCCTCTAATTAGAAGACCAGGCAGATGTGTGTGTATACAAATATATACGTATATAAATGTGTGCATCTGTATGTATATATGTATACACACACAACCTATGTTGTACAGGCTATATGTTAAGCAGATTAAAAATGTCCTTATAAATAAGTATAAAGCAACGTTTCCTTGGCTGTGCTTCTATCTCAGATATCTGTAACAAAACTCAGAAAGAGGCCAATGTAGCCAACGGTATCTTTTTCAGAGGTAATGCAAGTGACAAAAATAATATCTTTTTCTAATTTGATTATGATGCGGCTGATGTGCCTCACGGTTCAGGAGTCCCACTCCTGTTTCAGATATTAGCTTGATCAAAGGTTATCGTTTTATGACACCCAATCCCTGGGCCGCATTTCATTATATTATACAACCCAGCATGCTTACCCGGTATAGGCTGCCCTGAACTTCTGCAAAATCTCACAGAGCCTTTAGTGAAACAGTTTTTCTATATATTTTACTGTCGTCTACCCTTTTAAGAGCTCCAACACAAGCCTCTGGTATGGGTCAGGCAGGGACAAAGTGGAGAAAGAAAGGCACATAAGCAAGGTCTTTCACGGCAACTTATTATCCTGGGACCCAATTTGAACACCTAGAAACTCTCTCTCCTGCCGTGAACTCTTCCTGAGTCACTTGTACATGACCAAACACATCTGAATCCTTTGGAGAACAAAGTGTAAGCTCAAAACTTTTCCTACTATACGACAGCGAGAAAGGAAGATATGTCCACATTAATTCAAATTTTACAACAATACAATGCATTCTACCCAAGATTCACATGCACACCATAATGCCAAATGCCAACCCCTAGCTGATTAAAGAAATCAGTTAACATCATGAGAAACTAATCCTTAATTTCTCCATAGTAATTTAAGAGAGATGATGTCCCACTCGTGAAACATCCTAAAGTTCTGGAGAAGGGTGCTGTCATTAATACATGCCTGTGTGTACACCTAATTTATCACCTACGTTTACTTTATGCTTCTAAAAATGCTTTTTAAGGAAAAATATCATGGCTCAGTAGCTCAAAAAATTAGTTGAAAAGGTTAGATACCCTATAATGCAGGGAAATTTAATTTTTTCTACTATTCAAAGTATTGCCTTTTAGTTCATATGGATAAAATATATTATTGTGATTTATCAAAAAGTATGTGTATTAAACTATTGAAATAAAATATATTATAAAACCACTCACTTATTTTTGCTCACTTATCATTTCAAGTGTTAGTACATGTAATTACCATTTATATAGGGTCATTCACATACATATCAAAAAAGACTTTTTTCCAAGAAAAAGTTTCATATCATCCAAATCTCACTGTGTCTTTTACCAAACAGTTCACATTCAGTTTAATTTTATTGTCCATATCTGGATTGGAAATTGTTTCATATTTTTAAAAAACTATTCTTATTACAAAGTATCCTTCATATCTCATAAATTAATTAACTTTAGTAAGGACATCTAATTAATTAAATATTCCTAAGTATAGATCTTGTTGACTTAGTTTAAAGATATCTGACAAATAGTAGCAGTGCCTGAAGTTCGTAGGGTAGGAAAAAAGAGTTGTCATGCCAACTGCATGGTCATTGTGTGACCACAGGGGGAAAGACACATGCCTCACTGAACCTCCAGCTGGTTAGACTGTACTCTACCACATGAACCCTCCGATTATCATCCCCACTTATACATTTCCATTGTTGTGGGATGCTCCAACTGTTCAGCTATGTAATGGAAATTCATGGCTTCCTATGATGATGAATGATTCATATGATTTAAAGACATGAGATTTACTCTTGAGAACACATTATTTTATTATTAATAATTTTGACTATCCAGTTTTTACATAAACCAAAGTCCCAACATAATGTAAACTAATGCACTAAATCTAAAAGATAAAATTCATCAAGCCTTCCAAAAATTATTTTCACATTTTTATTTGTACTTTTATGGCTCAGAAGCCTTTTTATTTATTTTTTTCTCTTAGCTATAACCATTTGACTTTCTTCTGTCGATTAATGTTGTTCAAAAAAAGGCCAAAAAGAAAGGAAAAGGCACTATGGCATATTTGTTGCTGCACGGTATTCAATTTGAATTTGTATTGATCACTGGAGTCAAACTACATCTGAAAAAAATGGAGTCAAAATAGGAAAAACTTTCTGGATCAGGAAAAGACAGTGACCTTCCTCTGTCTGCTATTAAATAGCATCAGGCCTTTGAGTAATTATTGATAATGCCCATTTTGAAGCCACATTGTAAGGTTCTGAAAATGCATTTGAGAATTTTATCCACTCTAGGAGTAGTAGCTTGTGTTTTTTGGTTAAAAAACTTTTCCTTAAGAACAAGAAAACAGAACTTTATATAATATATGTTTTCAAAGCCCTCAGCTATCCGTTGCATTATCTATCTTGCTCTGTTTTCTAGCTTTTCATCCTTTTGCCAATAATATTTTATTTTAATAACTTGTCTTATCTTGAGCAGTTTCTCAAAATAAGGAGCCTAACCACAGCTCACATAGTTTCAAAATAGAATCATGAAGAAGGAAAGCCAAGGTAAAGACGGGGAGTATGTTTTATCCACTCATGAATGATTTTCCATTTGTTTGTGTCATCTCTGATTTCTTTGAGCAGTGGTTTGTAATTCTCATTGTAGAGATCTTTCACCACCCTGGTTAGTTGTATTCCTAGGTATGTTATTCTTTTTGTGGCTATTGTGAATGGGGTTGTGTTCTTGATTTGGCTCTAAGTGTGGAAGCTGTTGGTGTAGAGAAATGTTATGGATTTTTGTACATTGATTTTATATCCTGAAACTTTGCTGAAGTTGTTTATCAGATCTAGGGGCTTTTGGGCAGAGACTATGGGGTTTTCTAGGTATAGAATTATATCATCTGAAAACAGAGATAGTTTGATTTCCTCTCTTCCTATTTGGATGCCTTTTATTTCTTTCTCTTGCCTGATTGCTCCGGCTAGGACTTTCTAGTACTGTGTTGAATAGGAGTGGTGAGAGAGGGTGTCCTTGTCTTGTTGTGATTTTCAAGGGAAATGCTTCCAGCTTTTGCCCATTCCGTATGATGTTGGCTGTGGGTTTGTCATAGATGGCTCTTATTATTTTGAGGTAAGTTCCTTCAGTGCCTAATTTGTTGAGAATTTTTAACATGAAGGGATGCTGAATTTTATCAAAAGTCTTTTCTGCATCTATTGAGATGATCGAGTGGTTTTTGTTTTTATTACTGTTTATATGATGAGTCATATTTACTGATTTGCATATGTTGAACCAACCTTGCAACCCTGGAATAAAACCTACTTGATCATGGTAGATTAGCTTTTTGATGTGCTGCTGGATTCAGTTTGCTAGTATTTTATTGAGGATTTTTGCACTGATATTCATCAAAGTTATTGGCTTTATGTTTTCTTTTGTTGTGTTTCTGCCAGGTTTTGATATCAGGATGATGCTGGCCTCATAGAATGAGTTAAGGAGAAGTCTCTTCTCCATTTTTAGGAATAGTTTTAGTGTAAATGGTACCAGCTCTTCTTTATACATCTGGTAAAATTCAGCTGTGAATCTGTCTGGTCCCGGGCTTTTTCTTGTTAGTAAGCTTTTTATTACAGATTCTATTTTAGAACCAATCATTGGTCTGTTCAGGGACTTAATTTCCCTCTGGTTCAATCTTGGGAGGCCGTATGTTTCCAGAAATTTATCCATTTCATCTAGGTTTTCTAGCTTCTGTGCATAGAGGTATTTGTAGTAGTAGTCTGAGAGTTTTTTGTATTTCTGTAAGTTTGGTGATACTGTCCCCTTTGTCATTTCTGACTGTGTTTATTTAGATCTTCTCCTTTTTTCTCTATTAGCCTATCTAGTGGTCTATCAATCTTTTTTGTTCTTTGAAATTACCAACTTCTTGATTTGTTGACCTTTGATATGTTTTTTCTGTCTCAATCTCTTTCAGTTCCGCTCTTGATTTTGGTTATTTCTTGTCTTCTGATAGCTTTGAGGTTGGCTTACTCTTGTTTTTCTAGTTCTCCCAGGTGTAATGTTAGGTCATTACTTTGATCTTTTTAACTTTTGAATGTGGGCATTTAGTGCTATAAACCTTCCTCTCAACACTGCTTTAGCTGTGTCCTAGAGATTATCATATGTTATATCTTTGTTCTCATTAGTTTCAAAGAATTTCTTGATTTCTGCCCTAATATTGTTGTTTACCCCAAAGTCATTCAGGAGCAGGTTGTTTAATTTCCATGTAATTGTATGGTTTTGAGTGATTTCGTTAGTGTTGATTTTTGTTTATATTGTGCTGTGTTCTTGAGTGTGGTTGGTATGATTTCAATTATTTTTTTTAATTTTCTGAAAATTATGTGATGGCCCATTGTGTGGCTGATATATGGTATGTGCCATGTACAAATGAGAAGAATGTATATTCTGTTGGTTTTGAGTGGAAAGTTCTGTAGATGTCCATTACTTCCTTTATTTGTTCAAGTGTCAAGTTCAGGTACTGAATATCTTTGTTAATTTTCTGTCTCAATGATCTGTCTAATACTGTCAGTGGTGTTTTGATGTCTTGCACTATTATTGTGTGGTTATCTAGGTCTCTTTGTAGGTCTCTAAGAACCTGCTTTGTGAATGTGGGTATTCCTGTGTTGGCTGCATATGTATTTAGGATAGTTAGGTCTTCTTGTTGAATTGAACGCTTTATCCTTATGTAATGCTCTTATTTGTATTTTTGATCATTGTTGGTTTAAAGTCTGTTTTGACTGAAATTAGAATAGCAACCCCTGCTTTTTTCTGTTTTCCATTTGCTTGGTAGATTTTTCTCCACCCTTTTACTTCGAGCCTATAGGTGTCAGTGCATGTGAAATGGGTCTCTTGAAAATAGCATACCTTTGGGTCTTGCTTCTTTATCCAACTTGCCACTCTCTGCCTTTTAATTGGGGCATTTCACCCAATTACAAAGTTAATATTGATATGTGCAGATCTGATTCTGTCATGTTGTTAGCTAGTTATTATGCAGACTTGATTGTGCAGTTGCTTTGCAGTGTTGATGGTCTATGTACTTAAGTGTGCTTTTGTGGTGGCCAGTAATTTTTCCATATTAAGTACTTCCTTAAGGGCCTCCTATAAGGCAGATCTGGTGGTAATGAGTTCCCTTAGTATTTGCTTCTCTGGAAAGAATCTTATTTATCTTTTGCTTATGATGCTTAATTTGGCTATCTATAAAAATCTTGGTTAGAATTTCTTTTCTTTAAGATGCTAAATATAGGCTCCCAATCTCTTCTGGTTTGTAGGGTTCTGCTTAAAGGTCCACTGTTAGCCTAATGGGGTTCCTTTTGCAGGTGATCTGCTCCTTCTCTCTGGCTGCCTTTAACATTTTTTCTTTCATTTTGACCTTGGGGACTCTAATGACTATTGTATTGATGATGGTAAGCTTGTATAGTATCTTGCAAGGATTCTCTGCATTTCCTGAACTTGAATGTTGGCCTCAATAGTGAGGTTGGCAAATTTTTCATGGACAATATCACCAAAATGTTTTCCAAATTGTTTGCTTTCTCCGCCTCTCTTTCAGTGATGTCAATGAGTCATAGATTTGGTGTATCTACATAATCCCATATTTCTTGAAGGTTTTGTTCACTCTTCTTGATTCTTTTTTTAAATTTTTGTCTGATTATTTTAAATCATATATTTTTTGAGTTCTAAGATTATTTCTGCAGCTTGGTCAATTCTGCTGTTAATCCTTGCCATCATATTATGAAATCTCGAAGTGAGTTTTTCAGCTCTATCAGATCAGTTTGATTCTTTCTTAAAATGGCCATTTCATCCTTCAGCTCCTGGAAAATTTTATTGTATTCCTTAGATTCCTTGGATTGAGTTTCAAAGTTGTCCTGAATCTCGATGATCATCATTCATATCCATAGTCTGGATTCTATTTCTGTCATTTCAGCCACGTTAAGAACCATTGAGGGGAAACTAGTGCCATTGTCTGGAGGTAAGAGGACACTGACTTTTTGAGTTGCCAGAGTTCTTGTACTGGTTCTTTCTCATGTGTGTGAGTTGATGTTTCTTCAGTTTTTGAAGTTGCTGTCTTTTGGATGGAGATTTTTTGCTTTTATCTCTTTTGATGACCTTGGGGTTTTGCTTGTGGTATAAGGTGGGTTCAATCAAATGGCTTCATTTCTGGAAGATTTTAGGGGGCCAAAGCTCAGCTCAGCACTCCCAGGGTGTGTACTCTAACTCTGGGAGCTGGTACCAGGCCCCTGCTTTGTTCTCTGTCTGTTCCAGGTAAGGAAGCTGCTGTGCTGGAGGGGCAGAGATGTTCCCAGTCTGCTGGCCACAACACTTTGTTGGGTGGTACCCACCAAGGCACTTTGTTGGGGCTTTGAGATCCATGCTTGCTCATGTGTGCCAGCAGCTGTGTTGTGGGGAGGTGCACACGTGTTAGCTTCTGGGGGGTACCAGCAGTAACAGGGCTGTGGTCTTCCCGCATGTGCATGCACTGGCAGCGGCAGGGGTGGTTCATTGGCGGGGGCTTGGCCATGAGCATCTGCATGCGTGTTTGCACCAGTGGCAGCAGCAATGGTGTTGGGGTGGGGTGGGGGGTGTCGATGTCCATGAGTGCATTTTCATGGATCATTAGGCAATTTAAGCTTCAGTCCTCTTCTCAGAAAACAGTGATAATAATTATATTGACCTCACTGAGTTTCTTTGAAGATTAAATGAGATGATCCATACAAAGAATTTGGCACAGTGCAGAACATAGAGTAGGTATAAATAATTATTAGAAATTATGGGCCTGGTGCAGTGGCTCACACCTGTAATCCCAGCACTATGGGAGGCCGAGGCGGGTGGATCTCCTGAGGTCAGGAGTTCGAGACCAGCTTGGACAACATGGTGAAACCCCATCTCTACTAAAAATACAAAAATTAGCCAGGTGTGGTGGTGGAAACCTGTAATCCCAGCTACTCGGGAGGTGGAGGCAGGAAAATCACTTGAACCCTGGAGGCAGAGGTTGCAGCGAGCCAAGATTTCTTAAGGAAGCCTGAGTTGTTTATGTTTTGGTCTATTAAGAAAAGAGAGATCGTTGGTAATAACAAACTGAAATAATGAACATAGCAGAAAAACACAAATCAGTTGTAACTGAAAGTTTCCAACAGTTGGAACATATTTCCTGTTTTCAGGGTATAGAATTTATAAACGTAACAAGAGAGAATGTAACTGGAAGATTCTGAGTCAGGCCCTGTATTTCTCCTCAAACACACACAATTGTCCTTTAAGATTTTTAGAAATTCTGCAGAAAAGTTATATCATCATGAAGAGATAACGAGCTCTTAGTCTTTTTTTTTTGTATAAAATAAATGTTTCTGAAAGCTAACTCTCATCAACATGAAACTGAAATTATTAATGAGCTCTTGAAAATACACATAAGGAAAAATAATCCCATGTTCATCTTTCTTATCTGGCCTCAAGGAGAGATCATTTGGTCACAGTTGGAGTCAGCCATCAGCTCCACCATGGAAAGAGATGACCTAGTTCACTTTGGTATTTCTCACTGGAGATTAAAATATATAAAACTTTAAAGAGTGGTATCTGTCTGGATAGATCCATGCAAAGAAATCTATATAAAGACAGAGGTGTATATATATATATATATACACACACACACACACACATATATATATATACACACATATATATGATTAGCTTCACAAAATTGTATAAAAGTTGTAATAAATGCATTTCATATGCATGCATTTTATTTACAATCTTATAATTAAAATTACATAAACATTTTATTATAGACTTTGTTATTTCCAAAAAGAAAATACAATTTTTAAAAAGTCACCTTAGACTTATATTTCATGAATTTTTCCTTTTCTTCCCATCTGGGCAAAAATTGGGACCAGACTTAATTATATTCTATGATATTTAAAAAAAAACTCTTGAGTAATGAGATTATAGCAATGAAATGTCCTAAGTTGATTACAGACTGTTGCTCCCCTCTTTACTTCCCTAACCCCGAATTCTCAGGGACTCACCCAGAGCAGCAAGATAATAGCAGCAGAAGCTACCTCGTGGTAGGGGGAGGCTCCAGTATCAATAGGTGTAACTGCTGGTAAGCAGAGGAGTAATCATCGCTCTTTTTGCTGGAAATCAGCTGCTTCTGGAGTTGACTTCTACTTTCAGTCATCTCAGCCCACTCAGAAACTGACCTAGAAAATGGCATTGTCAATACTTTGCTAGTCTGAACTTCATTGTTGGCTATTCACTATGTAGATGCTTGTGCTTACAGAGCAG
Organism: Homo sapiens; assembly: GCF_000001405.40. Taxonomy (NCBI): domain Eukaryota; kingdom Metazoa; phylum Chordata; class Mammalia; order Primates; family Hominidae; genus Homo; species Homo sapiens. The sequence continues at coordinate 187,316,183 of NC_000004.12, read as the reverse complement.
TTGCAGGGAGATAGAGTGACAAGTAGAAAATGATAAAAGGGTGTCATACCACAAATTGATATAAATGTACACCTAAGTCCTCAAGTAAGTGCTCAGTTGGGGAGCTGAGTGTGTAAGGGCTGAGGTATTTGAGAGAACGCTCCGTTGCTGATGTGATACAGTTGCCTGAAGTTTGGGTGGAGTTAACACAGGTGAAGAGGGGGCAAGTTTAAGTAGAGTGTGCACCTTGGGGAGTCAAAAAATATATTGTTGAATGCATACGGTGGAGCGGAACTGGAGAGAGAATTGACAACCAGACAGAGGAGTCTGGGGATTGATAAAGCAGAAAATTGGGGAAATTCACATATTTTTGAGTAAGGAAGAGGCCTGATGAAAAGCTATACGCCAACATTAATAATAAAACCCCGATATGCCAATGTATAAACACACTGAAGTGTTTGTGCATTCTTATATTGTAAATATATCTTGAATAAAAATATTATTTGTTGAGCCATGCACAAGTATGTTATTGGTATTATTTTTTTCCTTTCTCCTTCCTTCCTTCTCTTTCTCTCTCTCTCTCTCCTCTCTCTCTTTTTAATGGAGTTTCACTCTAGTTGCCCAGGCTGGAGTGCAGTGGCGCAATCTGGGCTCACCGCAACCTCCGCCTCCCGGGTTTAAGCGATTCTCCTGCCTCAGCCTCCTGAGTAGCTGGGATTACAGGCATGCATCACCACGCCTGGCTAATTTTGTATTTTTAGTAGAGAGGGGGTTTCTCCATGTTGGTCAGGCTGGTCTCGAACTTCTGACCTCAGGTGATCCGCCTGCCTCAGCCTCCCAAAGTGCTGGGATTACAGGCATGAGCCACTGCATCTGGCCGTTACTGGCATTCTTGAGAAACCCATAATCTCTCAATATACATTACCATAAAAATTAACAAAATAGATTCTTCAATTTTTCTTTGTAATCATTCCACTCATTTGTTAATTCCAGCAATGGCCATGACAGGTCCAACTACAAAATCAGTATGACAAAGGTAAACAAAGTGACAGCTGCCGTATTTGTGGGCATTCAGTCAAAAAGCCGTTGGTACTCCTTTATTTTTGGTTTGAAGTTACATCCTTACTTTTCTTGTTTGTTTGTTTTGTCCAACATCTCCCAAACCTCTGGTAGCCACCATTCTCTCTACTTCTATGAGTTCAGCTTCTCTCAATTTAATATGCAATTATGTAAGTAAGATCATGCAATATTTTTCTTTCTGTGCCTGGCTTACTTCAAATAACATAATGTCCTCCAGGTTTATCCATGTTGTCACAAATGACCAGATATCCTTCTTTTTAAAGGTTGGATAGCATTGTATTGTGTATATATACTACATTTCTTTATTGATTCAACCATTAATGGACACTTAGTTTGACTCCATATCTTGGCTATTGGGAATAATGCTGCAATGGACATGAGAATGCAAATACCTGTCATACAGAGCTATTGACTTTCCTTTGGATATATACCCACTAGTGGGATTGCTGGATCATATGGTAGGTCTATTTTTACTTTTTGAGGAAGCTCTGTACAGTTTTCCATGACGTCTGTACTAATTTACATTCCCACCAGCAGTATGCAAGGCCTTCGTCTTTTCTACATCCTTGCCAACATTTAACTTTCATCTCTTTGATAAAAGCCATTCTAACAGGTGTGAGCTGCTATTTTGTTGTGGCTTTCATTTGCATTTCTCTGCTGATTAGTGATGCTGAGCATCTCTTCATATGCCTGTTGGTTATTTGCAAGTCTTCTTTTTCCGTATACTTGCTGGCCTTTTGTATGTCTTATGCTATCTCACACCACATACAGAAGTAAACTCAAAGCAGATTAAAGACCTAAATGTAAGGCCTGAAACTATAAACCTGCTGAAGCAAAATATGGGGGAAAAGCTCTATAACTTTGGTCTGAGCAATAATTTCTTTTACATGAACCCAAAAGCACAAGCAAGAAAATAAAAAAAAATAGACAAATGAGATTATATCAACTTTAAATGCTTCTGCACATCTGAGGAAACAATCATCCAAGTGAAGAGAGAACCTGTGGAATAGAAGAAAATATTTGCAAACCCTACATTTAATAAGGGATTAACATCTGAAATATACAAGAAACAACTCAATAGGAAGAAACCAAACAATCCAATTTAAAAATGAGCAAAAAATTTGAATAGACATTTCTCAAAAGAAGACCATGTATATCTGAGGTCCAAAGACATATAATTTAGAGAAATCTAAAGAAGGCTATGATCTAAAGTAATCTGGTAGATAGCTTAGGAAAACTTGCCTTTCAAGTAAGACAGTAACAGGGCTCTGGTTCCCAAGCAGACAATGCCAGGCAAAGCATGCAGGTGGATGCTGAAAGGAATTCATGGCTGTGACAAGAAGAGGAATATGAATCTCTAAATCCTTAGTGAGCCGGGAAAAAGGCATAATTGTGGATGGGCGCGGTGGCTCACGCCTGTAATCCCAGCACTTTGGGAGGCCGAGGCGGGTGGATCATGAGGTCAGGAGTTCAATACCAGCCTGACCAAGATGGTGAAACCCCGTCTCTACTAAAAATACAAAAATTAGCTGAGCTTGGTGGCATGCACCTGTAATCCCAGCTACTGGGGAGGCTGAGGCAGGAGGATCGCTTGAACCCAGAGGGCAGAGGTTGCAGTGAGCCGACATCATGCCACTGCACTCCACCCTGGGGGTGACAGAGTGAGATTCTGTCTCAAAAAAAAAAAAAAAAAGCATAATTGCTACATTGTGAGGTCTGGCTCACACCTATATTTGCCGAAAGAGAACTCTAGCCAAAAATGCAAAATAAGAAGTGACTTTCTGAAAATCTTGCATACATTTATATTACTATATGTCTTAGGTATTCTAAAGTGCTAAATAAATTAATTTTTTATGAATGAATAGTTTAAAATAACCTATAATTAAATGGCATATGATAAAAGCACTGATATGCATAAAATGCATATTCATCTTTAGTTAACTTTTCGAACAGTTGCAAAAAGTCCAATTTTGTGGTTTAGTTGCTTAGTGTGCCTAAGATGAATATTTCTTGCATCACAACAGATACTCACAGGCATCCTCTATTTATTATTCTTTCGGTTACTGTAAACGGTAATTGGGACAACTGGAACTCATGTTCTTAAATCAAGGCAGAAACCCCTTTGAAGCAGCAGAGACTATGTTGTGGGTCTCCCCTTTTAGTGCTCATTTTAAAAGACATTTTGGTTCATCTTTAAGATTTAAAGGCTACTGATATGCAGAATCATAATAAAATAGATGTTTCAGTGTTCGTGTGGAACGTTTCTGTAATTGGGTTTTAATTGAACTATTTTAAATGGATATTTCAAAACCTGAGTGGCTGTTTTAATAATGTGCTCCAATATGCAGCTGATTATGTCTTTATTCCTATTGGATTGTCAGGGAATTTAAACTTCTATCAGGATTTGCTGGTCACTGCTTCCTTGACATCCTCTTTTTGTTCCCTGCACAGGCATTCCAGCAGTAACTTTGATAAGACTAATAACCAGGAAACAAAACTATAAAGCCATATTACGTGGCCTCAAATAAAAACTTTCATATAACATATTATGTCCACATTTTTAGGATGGCAAACATTGCTTTTGGTTCAGAGAGAAGCCTACCATCTGTCACCTGAAGAGCAGGCACAACAGCAGTTGCTCTGAACACAAATACTCCTTTTTAAGATACAATCTACTCTGATGTGTTAGAGGAGAAGAACAACCTAGGGCACACAGAGGAGTCTACTGTCTAGCAAAAGTCCAGTCCCTTAATCATTTCATCCCTTTTTATTACTCTGAACTCAGGGTTCTAACAAGGATTGTACAGACTCTCAGAGAGATGCACTCCAGATCTCCGAAGATGAGAATTGGACTAACCAAGATGGTGTCCCTGTTGCTAAAGCAAACTCTGGTTTGATAACACAGGCCTAGCTCATATTATTGTATGTCAGTCTATTGTGCTTTGCAGATATTACATTTCTTACAGATTGAAGGTTTGTGGCAACCTGGCCTCAAGCAAGTCTATTAGTGCCATTTTCCCAGCATGTCCCGCTTCATATCACCATGTCACATTTTGGTAATTCTTGTGATTTCAAATTGTCGTTATTATTGTGTTTCTTATGATGATCTGTGATCAGTGACCTTTGATATTACTATTGTAATTGTCTTGAGGCACCATGAACTGCACCCATGTAAGACAAAGAATTTAATCCAGAAATGTTGCATGAGCACCGACTGCTCCACTGACCAGCCATTTTCCAATCTCTCTCCCGCTCCTCAGGCCTAAGACACAACGACGGGAATTAGGCCAATTAATAACCCCACAGTAGCCTCTAGGTTTTCAAGTGAGAGGAAGAGTCACACATCTCTTACCCTAAATCAAAAGCTAGAAATGATTCAGCTTAGTGGGGATAGAATGTCCAAAGCCAAAACAGGTTAAAAGCTGGGCCTCTTGCACCAAGCAGTTACCCACGTTGTGAATCCAAAGGAAAAGTTCCTGAATGATATTAAAACTGCTACTCCAGTGAACACACAAATGGTAAGAAAGCAAAACAACCTAACTGCCGATTTAAAGAAAGTTTGAGTGGTCTGCACAGAAAATCAAACCAGCTACAATATTTTCTTAAGCCGAAGCTTAATCCAGCACAGGGCCCTAACTCTATTCAATTCTATGAAGCCTGAGAGAGGTGAGGAATTGGCAGAAGAAAAGTTTCAAGCTAGCAAAGGCTGGATCATGAGGTTTAAGAAAAGAAGCCATCTCCATAACATAACAGTGCTAGGTGATGCAGCAAATACTAGCGTAGAAGCTGCAGTAAGTTATCCAGAGGATCTACCTAAGATCATTGATGAACGTAGCTACACTAAACAACTGATTTTTAATCTATACAAAACACCCTCCTACTGAAAGAAGAGCCATCAGAGGCAAATGGCATCTCCTATTTAAGAAGGCTTTCATAACTGGAAAGAAGTCAATGCATGGCTTCAAAGCTTCAAAGGACAGGCTGACTTTCTTGTGAAGGGCTAATGTAACTGCTGTATTTTTTTTTCAAATTTCAAAAATATTTTATTTCATTTTTACTAGAGACAAGGTCTCACTATGTTGCCCAGGCTGGTCTCAAACTCCTGGGCTCAAGCAATCCTCCCACCTCAGCATTCCAAAGTGCTGGGATTACAGGCATGAGCCACAACACCCAACCTAGCTCGTTACTTTTTAAGTTGAAGCCAATGCTCATTTACCATTCTAAAAATCCTAGGACCCTTAAGAATTATGCTAAATCTGCTCTTCTTGTGCTATGTAAAGGGAACAGGGAAGCTAGGATGTCAGCACATCTTTTAACAGCATGGTATACTCAATATTTTAAGCCCACTGTTGAGAACTACTTTTCAGAAAAACAAAAAGGATTCTTTTCAAAACATTACTGCTCTTTGACAATGTACCTGTCTTAAGAGCTGTGATGGAGATGTACAAAGATATTAATGTTGTTTTCATGTCTGCTAGCACAACATCTATTCTGCAGCCCATGGATCAAGGAGTCATTTCAACTTTCAAGTCTTATTATTTGTGAAATATATTTCATAAAGCCACAGCTGCCATAGACAGTGATTGCTCTGACGCATCTGGGAAAAGTAAGTTGGAAACCTTCTGGAAAGAATTTAACATTTGGGATGCTATTCAGGACATTCGAAATTCATGGGAGGAGGTCAAAATGTCAACATTCACAGGAGTTCGGAAGAAGTTGGTTCCAACTGTCACAGATAATATTGAGGGATTGAAGACTTCAGTGGAGAAAGTAACTGCAGATGTTGTAGAACTAGCAAGAGAACTGAAATTAGAAGTGGAGCATGAGGATGTGACTGAGTTGCTGGAATCTCATGATCAAACTATAACAGATGAGGAATCGCAACTTATGGATCAGCTAAGAAAGTGGCTTCTTGGGACAGAATCTTCTCCTGGTGAAGATGCTGTGACATTGTTGAAATGACAACAAAAGATTTAAAGTATTACATAAATTTAGTTGATCAAGCAGTGGCAGGGCTTGAGAGAATTAACTCCAATTTTGAAAGAAGTTCTAATATGACAAAAATGCTATCAAGCAGCATCATATGCAACAAAGAAATATTGTCTGAAAGGAAAAGTCAATTGATGCAGCAAACTTCACTGTTGTCTTATGTTAAGAAATTGCCACAGCAACCTTAACCTTCAGCATTCAACACCTTGATCCGTCAGAAGCCATCAACATAGAGGCAAGATTCCCACCAGAAAAAGATTATGACTTTGCTGGAGGCTCTGATTGTTGGTTGCATTTTTAGCAATGAAGTATTTTTAATTAAGGTATGTAGAGTATTTTTTAATAATGCTACTGCATACTTAATAGACTACAGTACAGTGTAAACATAGATTTATATGCACTGGGAAACCAAAGTCTTCGTGTGACTCACTTTATTGAAATGTTCTCTTTATTGCAGTGGTCTGAAATTGAACTCACAATATTTCTGAGGCATGCCTGTACTGCCCTCTCCCAAGAATGCCTACGTGACCAGCCCTCAGACTGGATCTTCTGCCTCCAAATTATGTTTGCAGTTCATGTAGCAGGCATGACAGACTTCGATTCTAATAGTTGCCTTCTTGCAATCTCTAGTAGCTGCAGCAACCTCCCACTGCAGATGTCTATTGTGAATCTGGGCCCCTGGCCCTTGGTCTACATCTCACGTACATTCAGCCTTCTTGCACTTCCAGCCTCTTCTCCTTGTGGCTCTCTTGCCCTGTCACTTTGCTTATGTGCACTGTGGCCAAAGCTAAGGCACCAGGGAGCATCAAGAAAAGACAAACATCTGTGAGTTGGATATGTGCCAATATTGATATTCTCTTATACCTCAATGCCCTGTGCTAGAGTGTCAGAGAGGAAGCGCAGAATGCAGCCATACTTCTTTTCAACCTACTGGTCAAATTTGGGTGGTTCAAGGTAATATACCCATTTTTTTATGTCTAGATGCTACACTGACATTATGATTAAAATACATTAATTTGTAGGAATAGATTAGATGTAAAACTTCAGAACATAAAAAGTACATGTGGTATCTTGAATCTAAGTTGCACTCCAGAATGCTATGTATAATTCCAATAAAACAACGTAAACAATGTACAGTGTTACTTGGTTTGATAAAATGGATAAGAGGAGGAGGCCTGGAGCCCAACTACCCAGGTTCAAATTCCAATTCTACTATTTTTACTAATTGTGTGTGACCTTGGACAAGTTCCTAAACTTCTCTAAGGCCTAGCATCCCCAGCTGTGACAGGGTAATGTTGACTCTGTCCTAGAATTGCTGTGAAGATTTAGTGAATATCCCTGGGCAAGTACTCAGGACATCTTACCTATCACTGTTTCTAGATCTAACAATAAAGCTTGAGCACATCAGCATGAATAATTGCTAGAAAAATAATTTTGAATCAATTAATGGCAAGTAAAATGCATGCTATGAAGAAAAGCACAAATAAGAATCTGGTGAATAGCTTCAATACACAGATCATAAATAGAAAAGACAATTCAATGACTTCTAAATAAATGTACTCAGCACTACCCAGCATGTTGCCTCTACCGAGGCTCCAGCATCTGAATGTCCAAAGCCTTCACTTTTAAGCTCCTTCATTGTGAAACCTCTAAAGCTGGCTTTACAAACTTGTTCTTTTGTCTCTTAATTTTAAACTTCCCCATGTACTGAGTCTGCAGTGCCTAGCAATCCTTCTTTCATCTGCCAAGGGCATTTCTGTTTTCTTCCTATGTCTTTACCAACAAGGGGAATTTGGAAATTAATATCTTCAATTTTATTCACAATAAATATTTCACTCCTTGGAAAAAAAATGCCTACATTATCTATACTAAAATGACACCTTCTCGACCCCAGCATAGAACCCAGAAAGGACAAATGATTTTTAAAGTTTATTACTTAAGGTGGACTTAGAATTCAGCAGGAAAAAACTACTACACAAAGACAACCAAGACAAAATTAGATTAAGTTCCCAATTTATTTAGCCAAATATATAGGCAGACGTGGTTCACATCAGAAGGGGTATTGCTTGATCAGAGTATCTCAGTTTCCTACTATTCCTCAGCCTTTTTATACCCATTCAGGAAGAACATCCTAAAAGTTTGCACACTTATGGGCAGACATCAGTGCCTCTCTTGATACTTTGTTGAAACCAATGATCAACAAGGCTACATCTTCATTTAGGAGGTAAATGTAGAGTTATTGGCATGGATTTCCTGTCGTATATCTCCTACTTTATAGTATCCCTATCTTCCATTCCTTACCTTTTTTTTTCTCGTACAGAACTATTATATTGGCAGTTTGATTCTGAACTTTGTCTGATCAAAAAATCCAGCTACCCACAAAATGCTACACCCATCCAAAAAGAAAAATATAGTAGGTAATATCTTTAAATATGAGCATTATGTCAGGGTAATTTCATAGCATAAATAAAAGAGATGTAAACATATGCTAAACATTGTGAAAATGGCTATGGTCATATGTACTAGTCTTCTCAGGCTTCCATAACAAAATACTGTAAGTCTGGTGGTCAAAACAACAGAAGTTTATTTTCTTACAATTCTAGAGGCTGAAGGTCCCAGATCAAGCTCCAGCAGACCAGTTCCTGATGAGGGCTCTTTTCTTGGCTTGTAGAGGCAGCCTTCTTGCTGTGTCCTCACATGGCCTTTCCTGTGTGCATCTGCATGGAGAGAGAGAACATTAGAAAAGTACATGTGGTGTCTTGCACACTTAGTAGACTACAGTATAGTATAAACGTAGCTTTTATATGCACTGGTAAATCAAATTCTTCTTGTGACTCACTTTATTGAAATGTTCTCTTTATTGCAGTGATCTGAAACTGAGCTCACAATATTTCTGAGGCATGCCTGTACTGCCCTCTCCCAAGAATGCCTACGTGACCAGCCCTCAGACTGGATCTTCTGCCTCCAAATTATGTGAGAGACTGAGAGCTCTCTCTCTTCATTTCCTCGTAAGGCCACCAAACCCGTCAGGTTAGGACCCCACCATTATCACCTCACTTAACTTTAATTACCTCCTAAAATTCTGGTATCCAAATACAGTCACACTGGGGGTTAAGGCTTCCACATGAATTTTGTAGGGACACAATTTAGTCCCTCGCATGTAATAGCCATATCAGTACCACTCTTATGTAAGTTTATCCAGATAATTGATATAATCTGTTAAATCTATTGTTGGGTCATCCTACTTATGCTATAGCCTTTACCAGACATTCCCTCTTTGACTTCCAAGCCCATTTCAATAACAAGGGAGCACTCTTCCTTACATTTTCCTCCTAGTTGGTTCAGTTAACACACACACAGCATTATTACAACAGTTAGTAAATGAAATCAACAATGCTGCTTTTCTCATAGCGACCAATTTTTTACCCTATCCATGCCAATTCTATTTTCTAAGATTTGAACCTGATGCACTTTTGCTATCAAGCACCATGCCTACATTTGACACTAAGATTCTGAAGTTGTTCATTCTGTCCTTCTGAGATCTGGAAGACGGGCCACAGGGGCTGTCTCATATCCTCACATGTTCACATTTCATGTCTGAATCTCAAGCTTCACACACTTCTGAGATTTGGAAGATGGGCCACAGGGGCTGTCTCATATCCTCACATGTTCGCATTTCATGTCTGAATCTCAAGCTTCACACACTTCTGAAGGCTCACTGATTTGTCAAGGAAAAGGAGTACATTATTTGATTTAATTATGGCCATCATATTTGACTCTGTCTCCCTGAGGCTTTTTGGTTTCCAACCAGTATATCGCTTCTGATTTCCCTCTCTCACCATTATGTTTTCTGAATAGGTCTTCTCTTCCTGTCATGCTAATTAACACCCCCCACCACCACCACCTCGCTTCCAAGCACATATGCTCTCTCATTTCCAGGACGTATTCCTCCATTACTGCCATATAGGGACCTCTTTCCAGAAGAAAGAGATCACATCTCATAGGCCCAATAAACCACTCACCAACAGGAACTTTTACAGAACTGAAAGGAGCCTTCTGACAGAAGCCAAGCCTATTATCCTAATTGCAGGCAATACAGCTTGGAGCCTTCTGAAAGATTTTCTAGAAAAGCCACTGCAAACTACCTTGACCTTCCTCACAGGCCCTTATGATAAGAGTAGACCACTAAAATTGATAACTAAATTATGACTCATCATAGGTGTCAGGGAAGTCTAAACCCAGCAACCATTTTAGATGGCTCTGAAGTATTTGGGGGATAGTTTTAAAAACGTAAGTACTATTTGAATAGTACTTAATGAACTTTAGTGAAAAACATTGGAAAGAGTATTTAGAAACCTCATTATTATTAACTTTTACACTATTGTGACTTCATTTAAAATACTTTGTTAAACTGAGAATGTCTTTCCCTTCCAGCACCTACTTACCTGACCATTGTCTCAACTACAGCTGATGGGATCCATGACAGAAGCTTAACCAAAACTAGCCCATGAGATTGTTTTTCTCAGGAATGTAGAAATGAGGCAGAGGTTAGCCACTGTCCGTGTGCTCTGGAGCTAAACGCATGTAAGTGTAAGGGTTCTCTTCTGTCCTAAGCTGACACAGGCTGCAGAGAAAAGTGGTTGATGCTGCCAGTCAGAGAGAAGCAGATGAAGGAGCCATGCAGCCTGGAAGGCGAGAGGAGGGCCAAGAAAATGAGCTTGGTTTCCAACGGGTTCCGCAATTGCTATTTTCGGTGGCTGCTGAGCCCAGGTGCTGTTTCTTCACTTGAGCTCCATGACCCTCCCTGTGTGGTGGGTTGAACGGTGACCTCCAAAAGATATGTCCACCTGGAACCTCAGAATAAGATCTTATTTGGAATAGTCTTTGTAGATGTCAGTAAGGTAAAGATTTGGAGATGAGACCCTCCTGGATTAGGGTAGGCCCTAGGTCCACTGGCAGGTGTGCTTCTCAGGGTCTGAAAGGGGAAGACAGGGCCACCCAGAGGAGGAGACGGAGGCAGAGACAGGGCCACCCAGAGGAGGAGACGGAGGCAGAGACAGGGCCACCCAGAGGAGGAGACGGAGGCAGAGACAGGGCCACCCAGAGGAGGAGACGGAGGCAGAGACAGGGCCACCCAGAGGAGGAGACGGAGGCAGAGACAGGGCCACCCAGAGGAGGAGACGGAGGCAGAGACAGGGCCACCCAGAGGAGGAGACGGAGGCAGAGACAGGGCCACCCAGAGGAGGAGACGGAGGCAGAGACAGGGCCACCCAGAGGAGGAGACGGAGGCAGAGACAGGGCCACCCAGAGGAGGAGACGGAGGCAGAGACAGGGCCACCCAGAGGAGGAGACGGAGGCAGAGACAGGGCCACCCAGAGGAGGAGACGGAGGCAGAGACAGGGCCACCCAGAGGAGGAGACGGAGGCAGAGACAGGGCCACCCAGAGGAGGAGACGGAGGCAGAGACAGGGCCACCCAGAGGAGGAGACGGAGGCAGAGGCAGGGCCACCCAGAGGAGGAGACGGAGGCAGAGGCAGGGCCACCCAGAGGAGGAGACGGAGGCAGAGGCAGGGCCACCCAGAGGAGGAGACGGAGGCAGAGACAGGGCCACCCAGAGGAGGAGACGGAGGCAGAGACAGGGCCACCCAGAGGAGGAGACGGAGGCAGAGACAGGGCCACCCAGAGGAGGAGACGGAGGCAGAGACAGGGCCACCCAGAGGAGGAGGCGGAGGCAGAGATTGGAGTGATGCTGAGACAGGCTGGGCCGAGGTCCGCCAAGGGCTGCCAGGCAGCCACCAGAAGCTGGGAGAGAGCCAAGCAAGGACCCCCCGCTGAGCCTTCCGAGAGAGCGCGGCCTGCTGACACCTGGGTGTCAGACTTCTGGCCTGCAGACTGTCAGAATAAGCTCCTGTTGTTTTAAGCCACCTGGTTTATGGTAATTTCTTGCAGCAGACCTAGCAAATTAATAGACCCCATAGTCCTGTAATTCATTTTGCTTAAACGAGCATGAATAAGATTTAGTTTTGCTAATAAATAAAAGTTACTTCACTAAGACAGAGGTTATTTATACATAGAAGTTATTTTACTAACAATTTAAAAATGTCTTACTGTTACTGTCTGACAATTAAAAATATTCTTAAAAATAATGTGAAAAATAATCAATAAACTATTGATTTCTAACAAGGAGGTAATATACAAATGGGATGGTAACCCCCATAATTGTATGTTTGGCCTTTTGACATCAGTCAGCATCCCATATGAATATCTCCCCTAATATTCTAAGATGTGAAGATACTTGCATGAGCTTAGTTTTTAAAGTTTTGCTTTCTAATCCTTTATGGTAATGAAAATTGCTTTTCTATATATACCAGTAAAAGTGTAGTATAATTCTATAGAAGAGCAAACTGAAAACAGAAAAAAAAAAGTCATCTGATAGGAGAGGGGAAAGGAGGTACTAGGTTCTTGGAGCGTAGGTAGGCCACCACCCCGGCCTCCTTCACAAATTGACGTGAATGATCTCTTTGGCTGACTGACTAACTGATCCTCTAGTATTGGGGGCTATAGTGAAGAGATTCTACCTCCCCCTCAGGGACATCCAAGTAGTAACTCCACACAGACCTAGGAAATAGACCAACCACTGGAGGAAGAAATTATTTAGCCCAATGCTCTCAGTTTACAGAGAGAAAGCTAAGGCTCAGAGAGGTGATGTGAATTCCCTATGGCTGCAGAGCTGCTGACTGCATCCTCTCTGCTAATAAATACAGGAATAAGGGAAGAAGCAGCAGGATGGGGCTACTTGGAAATTCACAAGCCTGCTGAGGAAAAGAAAAAAAAATCAAAACAGCCGCAAAAAACAAACACGACAAGATTTTAAAATGCTATTTTGTGGTCATTGGAGGAAACTCCGAATTCTGCCTTCAATTCAATCTCTCTGTCCCTGAAGTGAATAAGAAAGAGAAGTTCATGTTTCTTTTGAAAGCTATGTTGTCTGTTCAGCAAAGTCTGAATCGTAAGAAAATTAGGTTCTGCCCTGCCTCTGTCTGTATTTTCCAGCTGGACCTATATTCCCAAGCAATGTCACACATCTGCAAGTAAATTAATCCAAAGCAAAATAACATGGAGTTTATTTAAAGTTCAAGGCATTTCTTGAACATAAGCATTTGGTCCAACGGGTCACTGATTCCATTTTCAGTGCACTGATAACAAAATTCATATATATTTAAACATTAAAACAAAAAAAGGAAAACCTTTTACTTGTTTTATTCTTCTTATCCATGACATTTCTTGAGGGTTTAGACATTTGGCCCCTAATTTTATTTTCACTTCATTGCTCTGACAGCCGAGCTGCATAGCTTGGCATTAAAACAAAAATCAGTCTGTGTGGTTGCAATATACAACTTCCTTGGTGTGGGAGGGCCTGCAACGTCTGGTTACTTCCTGCCCAGCCATCTTTGTTGGTTGCACTGACAGGAAAGGTCATTCAGCTTTGTGATGAAATATAAATTTGGGAGAAAAGAAGGAATCTAATTATCTGGCCTCAGAGTCCAGTGGAGTGAAGATGAGCTGGATAGCTGAGCTCTGACTTGAACGTCTGCCCTCTCCTCACACCAGCACAGGAATGTCAATTGGCGAATGCTCCTGATTTAATATTCTTGCTCTTACTCAAACAGGAAAGCAGTCTTTCTTTTAAAGCATTGCCACTGTGCTTTCTGTAATCTTTAAAACTGTTCACTTCTAATCACCTCTTGAATCCTGAAATACATGTTCACATTTACCGATAAGATCTTCCTCCCTAGCAGAGACTGAGTGTCTTGGGCTTTCTTGACTAATGCTACGTTGGTCACTGCTGTGGTCTGAGTGTTTGTGGCTCCCCTAGAATTCATGCTGAAATCTAGTCACCAGTGTGAGAGTGTTGGGAAGGGGGGCTGTTGGGAGGTGATTAGATCGTAAGGGCGGAGCCCCCATCAGTAAGGGGATCGGTGCCCTGATGAAAGAGGGCCCAGAGAACCGCCTCGCCCCGCACGCCGTGTGAGGATGCAGCAAGATGGTGCTCTCTGTGAACAAGGAAATCGGCCCTCCCACAGACACGGAAACTGTCAGGCCTTGATTTCGGACTTCCCGCTTCCAGAACGGTGAGAAATAAATTTCCGTTGTTTATAAGCCACCCAGTCTATGGTATTTCGTTATAGCTGCCAGAACAAACCAAGACAGCAGCACTGCTTCCTCAGGCCATTAGGTGAGAGTGCAAATCTCAGCAAATCAATCCTGGCTTTGGTTCCAATCCCTTGCGAACACTTTTCAGGTCAGAGTTTTAGACTCCAAGGAAAGTGGCGGCTTCGTCCTGCCTTCCCTTAGGCGTATCTATGCTTGCTGTTATTTCTTACAGGGAAGTAGCAACTTACACTCAAATCACTTACTTCTTTGAGAAAAGTATTGAATATTCCCTAAATCTTTTGTTATCCTATTTGGGGACAGAGGAAGGAGTCTGTTGGCTTCAGAGCCCAAACAGGAGCCATTGTATGGCTATTTTCTTAACCATATCTGAAAACAAAACACCAGCCATTGCCCAGAAGTGTCTACATTAGCTGAGTTGCTAACTTGTGAATGAATTGTGTGTATTTTGCATTGTTAATGTAAAGAAAATCTAAAATTTAAATATTTGCGCCCTAAAAATAAGCAAAAAAAAAAAAAAAAGAAAAGAAAAGATAATCAGAAAATAGAAAGGAATTTGAAGAAATATTTCTACAAGGTTTTATGCAAGGCTGCAGGTAAAGCCGTATGGACTGTGGTTGAATAGGCTCCATTCAGATAGGCATAGGTGCCATTCAGATAGGCATAGGTGATGATGTGAATGGTTCTCCCTGGAGAGTTGTTTGATGCAGTGGCCCCACCCATGGGGCAGGAACTTTGGGTAGAGTAGCCGAAGGAGTAGGCAGGTAGCCTGAATGACAATTCATTGAAGAGCTTGGCTAGAACACCTCAAAAGCTCCCTCAAGTCTGGTAAGGACCCTTCCTCACCCTGGAATTGAAAGTGTGGAGACTGACAGGTATTTTTCTCCAGCCACTCATTGTGCTCTGCTTGGAGTTAGCTTTACTCAACATTTAGCACCCCCAAGACTATATATGTATGTTATTGACCTCTTCTCTCCACCCTCGTAGATGCCAGCCTTTCCAGCTTATTGTCATTATTTATGGCTCTACTAAGATGTAAAACTGGCTTCAGAAACACAAAACAAAATAATGGGGATGGAGAAGTCAGAGACAGAAGTCAGTTCTAACCCATCCTATGGCTCCCTCTCCTATGGACCAATTTAGAATTATTTTCTTATATAAAGTGTTTTTGTGGTAATGTGAAAATGCCATTCTCTACAATGTGCAGACACACATGCGCAATACATACATACACACACGCACACACAAACACGCACACACACGCACACAAACACACAAATGTGTCCACATAGCAAAAAGATTGCTTGGTGAGATGTCAGTTTGCTGAATTAAGTGTATATTTAACGCTACCTCAACTTCACATTAAGGAGACTTTCATGCCCTTTATAGAGACAATATTCAGTACAGTCTTTCCTAAGTTTATTGTAATGGGTTATATTTTAAACAAAAGGGAAAAGTAGAAATGAAAAGAAAGAAACCGAAGCTGAATTGTAGATACAAAATGGAAAGAAGAAAATCATTTTTACAAAGTAAGAAATATCAGAAGGTATGAATTATGAGTCAAAAATAATTTGACAAAATTGCAACTATTTCAATAAATTTTTAAAAACCTATCAAGCATGAGGGAAATGGGGAGCACTAGGTTCTAGTTATGAATCTTTTTCTAACTAATCATATAATTAATTACCTGATCTCCGGTTTTCTGTTATGACATCAGAAATGGACTAAGACAAATACTATTCTGTGGGAGTTGGCGTGGAATAATGTGAAAGACATGAGTTTTGAAGGCAGAGACACCCAGGGTGGAGTCTAATTCCATTAACTTCTCTGATGATTTTCTTTACCCTTCTCATCAAAAGCATACTGTATACTAATCATCTAACTAACCAAGAAGCATTTATTGATAACCTACTGTCTATGATATGGCACCAGTCTAGGTAATATGTGGGGGACAAAGGCACGTAAGACACATGTGTCAAAGAAGGGAATGCATGTCACTAAGTAGATGGCACAATGCAGGATCACAGTGTAGAGACAGAAATACATAGAAAACACTTCAAGATAGTAGTAACATGAAATACATTAAAAAAACAAGTAGATTAGCCATATTACAACATAGGGATTGCATTGGAGAAGGTGAGTAGGGGGAGAAACAGATTTAAAGTGAGATATGGCAAGACTGTAGAAGACTTTGAATGCCAAGCTAATAAATGAGGGTTTCAGTAAATAGGTAAAGAGATATAAGCAAATTGGTCTTCTAAAAGGCATGTCAGAAGCATGCAAAATGGATTGAATTGGTGAGAAAACTCAAGGGTCTGAAAATAGTCTTTGGCATTCAAGGGCAAGTTGACATTCTCACCCATCAGTTTGACAGGTGTGAATAATCATGTTGTTATGGAAATGGCATAGGAGATTAAAATCATCAAAATCAAATATCCGTATATATTTTTATCTCTATTGCTATTGTATTACTGATGATAAAACACTTTTGACATATGATTTCTAATAAATGGAGCAATTAACAATTATTTTATGTCTAAGCCCACAATATTCATTAATTTCCCCAAAAGGTAATCTTTCTTTCTTCACAGTTGTGATTAAAAATAAAACCTCTGAATTCATTTGCCAAGACTATATAAAGGCTTTTCTACTATTTTCCCAGATGTGTAACCTTTGTTTCTCTGTATGTTTAACTTCTATTCTTTCTGACAATTTTATAACTAGCTGGAAATCTAAACATTTCTTTTCCCTCAAGAAATATGTTAAACTGAAAAAACATGATATCTAGGCTTTGAACAAGACAAAACAAACCAACCTCAAAATATTCATGAACTTCAGATCACTCAAAATTCACAAATCTGTATACATTAGGCTGCAAGAATTTTAGCAATATATGTAATATGATATGCCGTCTGCTTTACATCTAGACAAAATAAATAGAAATTGTAATGGTTTTATGGAAATCTTAATACACAGGGACATTATAAGAGACATTAGTTTGGAAGTCTGTTACAAACATTAAAGCAGCAGCTTCTATGTGACTTTTGCATTGAAGAACCTGACTCAAATACCTGGTGGGTATCCATGATTACATCTCTATTTTCTCAAGCATCTACAATTAGGACAGTGCCTAGAAAAGAGAAAATTTGGTTAATTTTAATGCATTTTTTTCAGTCACCACCACTTCCAATTTGTATATAGACTCTACACATGAGCCTCCTCCTTTACTTATCTTTAAATATTGAATTTTCTCACGAGTAGGTTTTAAGCACTCTTTTCTTACACATATGTACTTTTTCGCAGTTGATCTCACACACTCCCATGAATGTAGATCTATCTACCATCTATAATCTGATAAATGCTAATTATGTCTTTAGCTCCAACTTTCCCCCTAGATCTAGGCTTATATCCAACTATTTATTTGAAATTTATGTTGAATGTCTCATAGGCATTTCAAGTAGCCTTAGATATCCCAACATATCCCAAGTACATTCTATGACTTCCCTCCTGCCCTCGCCCAGCAGAGTCATCTTTACATTTCAGTAAATAGCACCATTATCCACTTGGTTACCAGGCAACAACCTAAAAGTCACCTACTTCCACTCCTCCCTTCTCCCATCCCTCACCTCCTCTCATCAGGCTCTCTGTGACACTCCCAGATAGATCTCAGACTCACCTCTTTCTACCTGCACCCTCACCACCATGATTCAAGCCAGATTTCTCTTGCCCAGATCATTCACTAACTGATCTCCTAGTGTTTAATTTTACCCTTTTCAATCTATTCTCTTAAGTGACAAAAATAAACTTTTAAAAATGTAATTCATATCCCAGGAACAAAACATGTCCCAACCTAACATCTTTCCACAGGTTTCCATGACACATCGAGCCTTTGCATGGCCTGGCTTTTGTTCTCCTTTCCAATCACGCATTTCCCCAGCCACTGGCTCACTGCAGCAGTCACACTCCAATCTCCCCCATTGCTGGGCCTCCAAGGTTTCTCTTTTCCTGTGCTTTCATGTGACTGGACTTTTCTCATCCTTTATATCTCAGCTTGAACCTCCGTGGAGGGCTTCCCACTTGCAGCCATCTAAAGTAGCTTCTTCCATACTCTATTTTAAAGGCCCCATTGTTATTACATAAAGACCCAGCATCCCCATTTGTGTTCTTTATAGCACTTTTCATAAACTGGATTTTATTTTGTTTATTCAACTACTTGTTTCTCTTCCCCAAAATAATGTGAGTTGGGATCCAGGATCTCTTCAAGTTATATTCCAGTACCTGTGGCATAGAAGATGATATGGTTTGGCTGTGTGCCCACTCAAATCTCAACTTGAATGGTATCCCCCAGAATCCCCACGTGTCATAGGAGGGACCCAGGGGGAGATAATTGAATCATGGGGGTGGGTCTTTCCCATGCTATTCTCATGAGGGTGAATATGTCTCAAGATCTGATGGGTTTCTCAGGGGTTTCCACTTTTGCTTCTTCCTCATTTTCTCTTGCTGCCACCATGTAAGAAGTGCCTTTCACTTCCTGCCATGATTCTGAGGCCTCCCCAGCCATGTGGAACTGTAAGTCCAATTAAATGTCTTTTTTTTCCCCAGTCTCAAGTATGTGTTTATCAGCAGTGTGAAAACGAACTAATACACTAAATTGGTACCAGTAGAGTGGGGCACTGCTGAAAAGATACCTGAAAATGTGAAAACAACTTTGGAATTGGGTAGTAGACAAAGGTTGCAACAGGTTGGAGGGCTCAGAAGAAGACAGGAAAACGTGGGAAAGTTTGGAGCTTCCTAGAGACATGTTGAATGGCTTTGCCCAAAATGCTGATAGTGATATGGACAATAAACTCTAGGCTGAGGTGGTCTCAGATGGAGATGAAGAGCTTGTTGGGAACTGGAGGAAAGGCGACTCTTGCTATGTTTTAGCAAAGAGACTGGCATCATTTTGCCCCTGCCCTGGAGATTTGTAGGACTTTGAACTTGAGAGAAATAATTTAGGATATCTGGTGGATGAAATTTCTAAGCAGCAAAACATTCAAGAGGTGACTTGGGTGCTGTTAAAGGCATTCAGTTTTAGAAGGGAAGTAGAGTATAAAAGTTTGGAAAATTTGAAGCCTGACTATATGATAGAAAAGTAAAACCCATTTTCTGGGCAGAAATTCAAGCCAGTTCCAGAAATCTGCATAAGTAACAAGGAGCCTAGTGTTAATCCCCAAGACCATGGGGAAAATGTCTCCAGGCCAAGTCAGAGACCTTCATGGCAGCACCTCCCATTACAGGCCTGGAGGCCCAGGAGGAAAAAGTGGTTTCATGGGCCAGGCCCAAGTTCCCCATACTGTGTGCAGCCTAGGGACTTGGTGCCCTGTGTCCCAGCCGATCCAGCCGTGGCTGAAAGGGGCCAACATACAGCTTAGACTGTGGCTTCAGAGGGTGAAAGCCCCAAGACTTGGCAGCTTCCACCTGGTGTTGAGCCTGAGGGTGCAGAGAAGTCAGGAATTGAGTTTTGGGAACCTCCGCCTAGATTTCAGAAGATGTATGGAAACTCCTGGATGCCCAGGCAGAAGTTTGCTGTGGGGGTGGGGCCCTCATGGAGAACCTCTGCTAGGACAGTGGATAAGGGAAATGTGGGGCTGGAGCCCCCACACAGAGTTCCTGCTGGGGCACTGCCTACTGGAGCTGTGAGAAGAGGGCCACCGTCCTCCAGACCCCAGAATGGTAGATCCACTGACAGCTTGCACTGTGCACCTGGAAAAACCACAGGTACTCAACACCAGCCCATGAAAGCAGCCAGAGGGCAGCTGTACCCTGTGAAACCACAGGGGCGGAGCAGCTCAAGGCCATGGGAACCTACCCATTGCATCAGCATGACCTGGATGGGAGACCTGTAGTCAAAGGAGAACCATTTAGGGCTTTGAAATTTGACTGCCCTGCTGGATTTTGGACTTGCATGTGCCTTGTAACTCCTTTGTTTTGACCAATTTCTCCCATTTGGAATGGCTGTATTTACCCAATACCTGTACCGCCATTGTACATAGGAAATAACTAGCTTGCTTTTGATTTTACAGGCTCATAGGCGGAAGGGACTTGCCTTGTCTCAGATGAGACTTTGGACTGTGGCCTTTTGGGTTAATGCTGAAATGAGTTAAGACTTTGGGGGACTGTTGGGAAGGCATGATTGGTTTTGAAATGTGAGGACATGAGATTTGGAGGGGCCAGGGGTGGAATGACATAGTTTGGCTGTGACCCCACCCAAATCTCAACTTGAATTGTATCTCCCAGAATTCCCATGTGTTGTGGAAGGGACTCAGTGGGAGGTAATTAAATCATGGAGGCCTGTCTTTCACATGCTATTCTTATGAAAGTGAATAAGTCTCATGAGATCTGATGGGTTTACCAGGGGATTCTGCTTTTGCTTTTTCCTCATTTTCTCTTGCCGCCACCATGTAAGAAATACCTTTCACCTCCCGCCATGATTCTGAGGCCTCCCCAGCCATGTGGAACTGTAAGTCCAATTAAACCTCTTTTTCCTCTCAGTCTTGGTTATGTCTTTATCAGGAGTGTGAAATGGACTAATACAGAAGATAAGACAAAAATACTCTGGAGTGAAAGAATAAATGCCTAGATGAATGAAATTTGTGATTTGAGTTAAAAATGTCAGTGGTAGTAAAGTTATACATTCCCTTCTAGAACTCCTTTCTGAGAGCTTAGTCATTAGAATGGTCAAACAGCCACCATCTTGAAACAAAGCTCTTCCCAGAGTCATAGTACTGGGAAAAAGGGGATAAAATGTTTCTGTGGGAAAAAAAAAAGAGGCCATTTGTAATAAGGTTGCCACAAGTCTCTGGCTGTTTCAGAAGGAATCGGCAGTCTCCAGTTGAATCCAGGCCAAGGATTGTAAACAGGGTGTGGTAATGTATCTTACGAATCATATACATTGGCCAAGCTCCAGGAAGACAATTCTTCAACTGCTGCTTCTAGTATATTTGGATATGAGATAGTATCATTAGTCTTTTTCTTCCTTTCAAGAATGTCACTGTCTATAATTTTAAGAAAATTAGTTTTTTATTCTTAAAAATGAGCTCGAATTTCATAATCCTCCAATTTAATTAAGTGTGAATTAAATAGTGCTTTAGAATGATGTCATAATTGGGAAATTTATGAAACGCTACAGTTTTATTAAAATGTGCTACAAAAATTACCATTGTAATTAAAACACTCAGCTTACCCTGGCATTGCAAAGGAGATCAAACTAGTAACACACATTTATAATGCTAAAATAAATGCATAATCTTTGGTAGTTCATTTTGTAATTTGGGTGCTGAAACTAAGTTTCTTCTCAAAGGGGGGAATTTTTTTTTTATCTCTAACATAATTTCTATTCACTAAGGTTTCAACTACACTGCCAAAACTCCAATCGCCACTCATTTGGAGGATGATGTATTTTGCTTACTGGGGCAGACACAAAGCTCTATGTTTACACAAGGTATCTGAGCTTTGCTTTCAGCTAGGGCAGGCCATACAACTGAATTCCATCCAATGTGATATGAGTGGGAGTGATATATACTACTTTCAGGCCTGACCCCTACAATGTCTCGCAAGATGTCCTGTGATTCCATATCTGCTGGGAAAAGATAGAATCTTTCAGTGGAGGGTTTCAAGGATTTCAGGTCCTCTCTGTGGAAGGAACCTAAGTCCCTGAGTAACTGCTTGGCAAGCCTCCCCCCTTCATTCTGACCTTGTTGATAGCCATTGGACTCTAACGGCTGCAAGAATCAAACCTTTATTTTGTTAAATAATTGAGATTGTGGATGTGTTGTTATAGCAATTGACCTTTTCTGGTAAATACAACTGTAAAACCCAGTTTTTGTAACTGTTCAAATAGAAGTTGTGACCACTTTTTGTTTTAATTATATGATTATATTAGACACCGTACCAAGCACTTTATGTAAATTATTTTATTTAAATAGATGGAGATAATTATTTAAGTATATTTTACCAGTTATTTGTATTATTTTATTATTAACTGCTTTATTTGGAAGAATGCAGTTGCTGAAGTCAGACCAATGTAGAATAAATGCTGACTCCATTACTACTCCTGGTTTTGTGGCCATGCAGGTAACTGAAATGCACCTGTGAGACTTTGTTTCTTTATTTGTAATATTGACCTGTTAATACACAGTATACTTGGTTCTCGTAAGAATTAAATAGAACTTAATGCAAAATGCTTAATATAGGACCTAACACACTCAATGAAGAGTGACATAGAAATATGTGGTAGCATGCATATAGTAAAGCAATTTTTATTTCTCAGAATATTTAAAAATCATAATGGGAAAAACCATAAGGGAAATAATATGCCAGATGACTGATGTCTTTTAAAAGATACTTTTGATCAGTTCATTTCTATAACAGCAGAATTGATTGTATCAAAAGAGCTTTTCAGACGTATTAACATGGGGAACCCCGATGTGTAAACAAGCATCAAGTATAAGGAATCTGTCAGAACCAGCAACAGACAAATGAACATCTTCCAGCAGGCTTCCTTTGATTTCAGGGAGAATTTCCTCTTATTTATGATTGTATGCCCTAAAGGAAGATCCCAATATTTAATGACAAATTGGAAGAGAACAAAGAAGGAGATTAACAGTCAACTTACAAGAATGAAACTAAGTAAATGTAAATGCCCAGTAGGAAAAAAATAGGTTCTGCTATTATTTAGGAATCATAATTTATGAGTCAGTTGATTTTTTTAATAATTAATGAAATTATAACAAAATACTGTCAACATTCATAGAAGTATAAAATGTTATTGTAATTTCTAAAATCTTATAATGTAAAAAAATCAAACATTCTTCCACAGTAAAGAAGCTATTCACTCTGTAAATACATGCAGATCACTGAATATTTTGCTTTTAAGTAACAGAATACCTTTTAGGACCCTTGAGAAGTGTGTGCTGTTGCATATATATTTATTTTATTTAATTAGTCCAGAGCATTCATCTTATATATTTTCATTGAATTCTTCTTTAAGAAACTTAATCAAAATTTTCCTTTCATCTTATAAAAAAAGCACACGCAGATTTAAAATTAAATTTTAATAATATCATTAGTTCTATAATATTCAGGGATCAAAAGGAATTTCTCTCCTGTCTCCCTCTCTCTCTCTCTCCACTCCCTTTCTCTCCCTCCTCCTCTACCCCTCCCCTCTTCTCTCTCCCTCCTTCCCTTCCATCTTTGTTTCTCTCCACTATTAGACGATCTTAACTGTATGCACAGTCAAGAATGATTGTGTTTCTTACTAGGTTCTCACTAGGTACTTTAGAAATTCTGAATCTAACAATAAGTTCTCATTTCTATCATTAATTGCATTTATGAACTAGATCTAAAATTTCTCATCATGGTGGAGAATGATGGTAGCAAAAAGCCTTTCAACAACACAAAACAAGAGAACCTGGTCTGTAAGGTCAGTATTAGTTTCTCCGCCTCAAGCAGAGGGTGCCCCTCGCTCAGCTATAATTATTATGAACCGCTGTTCCAAGACTTCAGGGAAGTTATCCCAGTGTAGGACTTAGGGTTTATGTTGCGGATGGTACACATTCTTCTGTCTTATGATAGAAACACAAAGGAACTCTCATGATTTTCTGTCTCTGCAGTGAGTTATGGAACATCCTCTCTATGGCATGAAAAATTTTCCCAAAATAGAACTATTCCTTTCAAAAGCAGATACCTTATGTAGTCAGTTTCTTCTCCAAATCTCCCACATTGTGAGGTTTCCATCGAAAACTTTCCCCGGGGCATCAGTGATTCATGTGGATCACATAATTCCTCCTAATTTTTTGTAAAATTTGAATTTGTGATGCACTTGGAACAAGGTTAGCAACCACATGGCTAATCAACATCAGAATTATTTATAAAGAAATTCTGGAAGCCAGACACTATACAGATAACTAGTTATTAAAACATCAAAACAATTTCTATATGTCAAAATTATTTTCACTACCATGGTTCTCATTAGAAATTGAGAGAGCAAAATTTTATTATAATCAAGAGATTTTATGGTCTCTTTCCTAGAAGAATTAGAGATATTTGATTTGTGTTTAGAAATGGAAAGTCTCTCAAAAACTTTTATTACCAACAATACAAAACTAGCCACAAAAATAATATTTGAAACATCTTTAGAGGATTTCCAGCAGGCTCCCTCAAAATCACTGAGCTTAATCTTATAACTTGATTAGTTGAGAGATTGATTACATATTGCAGAAGGTTGTATTAGGTTGATGCAAAAGTAATCTTGGTTTTTGCCATTACTTTTAATGACAAAATCTTTTGCACCAACCTAATAGATTGGGTCAGATATGGAATCTGGAATTTAACCTGAAAGAGATACAGAGGAATATGAATGCGTTAAAATGGGAAATGACATAAAATATAAAAGAGGCAGACTTGGGGGAAATATGTCTCTGATGATAGGCACTTCCTTGAAGCCCCAGAGGTATCGCTGCTTCCAAGCTTATAGGAACCACCTGAGGTCACTTTCCAGCTAGCGCAAACTGAGCTTCTGTGAACCATCACCAGGGCCACTGCTGCAGGTTGGTTTTGCATGAGGCACAGGGAGATGACTGCAGGCCTTCGAGGAGAGAGCAATGCCCACACACAGGGCAAGGGAGTAAGGGAGAAAGGAATTACTCAGCTGAGAGCTAATAAATAAGCAGGCACTAACTGGGGAAAAAAGAGTTTTTCCTTCCCAGTGGATCGAACACGACCTGCCAAGACCCTGTAGCCTGTCTTTGCTAAAGAGAACCTGGGTAGCTGGAGTGAGGGGTAAGAACAAGTGTGATTTCGGTGCAGCCACAGTGGTAAACCACGTTAAAGAGGCCACATTGAAGAGGTTGTTTTTTTTTTAATCCTGTTCTCAGTACAAATCAATAACAGCATTTTAACAGGGGAGTGGCATAATCAACTTTTTATTTATGAAGTATCACATGGGTACCACCTTTGGGCTACTACCACAAAATACCATAGACTGGATGGCTTATAAATAGTGGGAATTTATTTCTCACAGTTCTGAAGGCAGGGAAGATCAAGATTAAGATCCCAGCATGAAATAGACAGCCATCTCACTCTAACTTCACATGGCAGAAGGAAGAGGCAAGAGAGCTTTTCCAGGGCTTCATTTATAAGGACACTAATCCCACTCATGACAGGTCTGTGCTCATGACCTAATTACCCCCTAGACAGCCCTCCCAACGAATACCACCACCTAGGAGTTAGGATTACAGTATATGAAATTGAGGGGGTAATATGGTTCCACTCTGTGTCTACACCCAAATCTCATCTGGAATTTTAATCCCCATGTCTTGGGGGAGAGGCGTGATTGAATCATGGGGGCAGTCTCCCCCTTGCTGTTCTCATGACAGTGAGTGAGTTCTCACGAGATCTGATTGCTTAAAAGTGTGTGGCACTTACCACTTTGCTTTCTCTCTCTCTCCTGCTGCCATGTAAGATGTGTCTTGCTTCCTCTTTGCCTTCTGCCATGATTGTAAGTTTCCTGAGGTCTCCCCAGCCATGCGGACTGTGAGTCAATTAACCTCTTTTCTTTATAAATTACCCAGTTTCAGGTAGTTCTTTATAGCTGTGTGAAAATGGCCAAGTACCGGGGGACACAGACATTTGTACCACAGCGGATACTAAATGGAGATTGTATGGAAGCTTCAATATACATGATCTAGTAAAGGTTGATAGAGACATAATTTGAAATGAAACACATAAAGACTACGTGATCCATTTTCTGAAACTATGGCCTCAATTCAACAGCTTTGACCTAAAAGAATCAGAATTTACTCTTTAATGCTAACATCCACATGCTGGAAATGCTGATGGTTTATTCATAGTTTGTTTAGTAACTAAATATGACACTTGGTAAGATTTCATTCATAGTATCTAAAAATAAAAGATATCAGAAAGTACAACCATAGCATTATCAGAAACAGCATTGTTTTAACTTTCAGAATTTAGCTTTTAAAGAAACAAAGCATAAAATCTATATGAGCAAAATAAATATTTTATGGCTACATTCAAGGAAGACTGATCTTAGGCTGATTACCTTCTCTCTCATAAATATTTGCAACTCCCTAAGGACCTGGAGTTAGTCTGATATTGATGATTTCCTTAAGTGATCAGTGCTGTACTTTCCAGGCTATAGGGGCTCAGTGAGTACTTTCTGACTTAATGAGTTTCCTAAATACTAGCACATTCTACCTCAAGAGCATTATGCTTTAGTGGTTGGGGTAATGGCCATGCACTAGATGTTTTCTGCTTTAGAGAATGGAAATGTCTAAACTATTATGTGCCAGCTTTAGTAAGATGAAAAGAATTTCCTGCCTAGTGAAAAATATTTTTCCTGTAAAATAATTGATTCTCACTGAAATTCATATTCAAAGAAGTAGGAAGCAGAGAGTCAGTCATAAGACTGGAATGGCTAAAAAGAGGCTGTTGAATGCACGACTGATTTACAGAACTTGGACTCGAGGTGGAAGTTTAAGGACAAGATGTTTTTTCTCATGTAATTTCCCAGTGAGAGGGTATTTACAGAGTGCCCAGGTGTTACTGAGCTGATTGCATTTATTAGGATGACCTGACATGCCAGGGAGCTGTGATGTGGGGCACAGTGTGACCCAGTCTCTGAGACCTTTGGAAGTTCTCCCCTGCTGTCCTGGAAGCAGAAGTAAATTTCAAGAGAATTGGTGCTTTTACTTTGGCCTTGCAATATCTGCATCGGGAGGTAGGATCCCAGCCTTCCCTGGCCTGGAAGACTTCAACAGGGGCAGCCTGGCCCCAGGAAAGCTCAAGGAAAGGATCATAGGTCCAATCTGGGCCATCCCACTCTTAAATCACACCCAGAGAATCTCCAGAGTTGAGTATCCTCTAGGATCTAAGCACTCTAAACCCTAAAAATATATGTTGGAACAGTCGCATACTCTTCATTTCACAGGTATTTATTATAGTGTTTGCAATAATGGAGTTTCCCTTAGAACCACTAATTATCCCAAGTTAAATTTTTATCTCTTTGACCTTCATTCCCAGAAGTAGATTATTTGCATCTCTAGGGCAAAGGCCTTGAGACCATGGGGCCAGTGTATCTTTTTTATTGTTACCCAAGTACCTTCTGGGGCATTATGAACATATGCATTCTTTAAAAAAATTTTATTATAGTAATTTTAAAACAAACAGGAAAACAAAAAATATACTACAAAAAAACCTATATACTCACTATCCAGAGTCAACAATTATTGATATTTAGCTTATGTAGATCTGTACGCTATATGAGTAGGGTATATATTGTAGATCTATACTCTATATGAATATCCATATTTATATTGCTATTCCTATCTGTTTGCTAAATCATTTGAAGTTACTTCCAGATGTCCTGACACTTTCTCCTGAATTCTTCAGTATGAACAGAAGTGCTCTCCCATGAGATCGCCATGGCTTTATTGTACCCACCCCACAAAATCAGCAGGAATTCCCTAATACCAGATACGTGGCCCAAATTCAAGTTTCCTCAATGTCTGTTTTAACTCTTGTTTTCTAAGCAGGATTCGATCAAAAAGCATTTAATACATTTTTTTGTTATGTCACTTGTCTTTTTAAGTCAAGTATAGTTTTTACATCCTTTTTCTCCCTGAGCTATTAATTTTTAAAGACATCAGCCAGATATTGTGTGATGTTCTATTTCCTGTATTTGTCTGGTTGTATTTTCATAATATAATAGTTCATGGAGAAAATTGGTGTTTCCGGTTGCATTTCATTAACAGAATGTCTAAGGAGTCCTATTAGTTAGTGGTAATACTGGATTAATTTTGTTACAGTCAGACCTTTCCACTATAAATACATGTTTCCTCCTCTGAAAATATGAAGTAGTCTGTGGAGAGATAATCAGCATTGTGTGAATATTCCGTTTCCCAACATTTTATGAAAGATGTTAGCACCACTAAGTTTCTTCCTTAAGTTGTTTCATTATGATTAGCAAAATGATTATCCAATTCTATTCCTGTTACATTTTTAACTGGCATTCTTCTGCAAATAAAAGCTTTCTTTATCAATTAGGATCACCTTTTTTTAACCTTGAAACTAAAATTCTTATTTAAAAAGCAGAATGAATATTTTGTTCTCATCTTTTAATTACCAACTTTCAAAGTACAGAAAGAATATACCAAGAAAGCATATAAAGAATTGGTATATTATTTATCTGTTTGATTACATTATCTTTTTTTAGCATTACCATTGACCAATGATGTGTATGTATGTAATGAATTTCAATGAGTTATAGCTATTTTGTTATTGTTGTTGTTGATGCTGGAATTAGTTTGAACTACAGGAAGACCTGTCAGGCTGCCACTGTGTCCTTTTTACATAATCTCGGGAGTCCTAGACTTTCCTTTCTCGTGGTATTTAAGACACTCATGATGTATAAGACTCAGCTGGCCCCACCCCCATCTCTGTCTCCCTATTTCTCCATCAAGAATCACCTACTCCCTAATGGGCCCTGCTTCCTTCAGTGTGGAATGATAATTTAAAAACAAAATACGAGGCTGGGCACAGTGGTTCCCGCCTTTAATTCCAGTGCTTTGGGAGGATCACTTAAGGCCAGGAGTTTGAGACCAGTCTGGGCAACACAGTGAAACCCAGTCTTCACAAAAATTTATTAAAAATTAGCCAGATGTGGGGGCATGCAGCTGTAGTCCCAGCCACTTTGGAGGCTGAGATGGGCAGGTCACTTGAGCCCAGGAGTTCCAGGCTGCAGTGAGCCATGATGATACCACTGCACTTCACCCTGAGAGACAGAGTGAGGCCCTGTCTGTAAAAGAAAACAATAACAACATAAAACCAAACAAACGAAACATGTGTGTGAGAAGTGCTGATTCCTACACGAAGCATTATTGTTGTTTTTGGGCTTTTTCAATATGGAGGGCTAGAAAATTTAACTTTCAAAATTATAATTTGGTATTGCAATTTGAGAGATCAAAATAGACATCTATCAACTAAGACGGGCCCTAAGTTTAAGAAAACAAAAGTTACCTATGGGTCGAGGGTTCAGGGCTTGGCTGGCCTGGCAACTTCCTAAATTCCTACAGCTATAAACCACCCTCTTACTCCTTAACAACAGGAGACATCAGGCAAATTCCTAACTCCGATTTATAACCCAGATGGCTACAACACTGATTAGACAGAGGTCCGGCGTTACACACATTCTTTTCTGATAAACAACTGCAGATCTTAAGGCAGTTTCAGCCAGCTTGTAGAGACTGTGTGCAAATTGTCTTCCTGTCCTGTCATGCATCTTTTTAACATAAAGAGCCAAATTCCATCTCATTTTCATGCTAAAACCCAGCCCCAAAGTGAACATGGGATGTATGTTACATATCTACTTACCCTTCGTGCATGTTTTTGCCTTTCCAGCTGCCCTCATCGACATGTATAACTTATCCCCAAACCTGCCGAATATCTCTGACTCTATTGTGTGGTACAGGCCCTGTGAGGCATAAAACCCAACCTGCCCTTTCCCTCTTCAAAGAGAGCAGCCTGGGTCCATGCTGCAGATTCTCTCTCTTGAGACAGTTTGAAGCTGACATCACCGATAAAACTCTCTTTTCTATTATTTCACCATCCTGATGGTCTTTTGGATGACAGTACTTTCAACTTAATTTAACATTACAGGGTTTTAAGTTTTTGATTTTATATTCATATCTCTTTTTAGGAATTTCATTGCAACTTTTAGTTCTTGAAACAATGATTACTATTAAAGCAAAACAACCGAGATAATTTTAAAATTCTTCTGCCTTATTAAACCTTAGGATATATATTTTTAAGAATAAACAGAGTACTGTGTTCTAGAGGCACTTGGATGCGAATATTTCTATTTTCATAGGCTTGTAAGTCCCACACATACTGAGCTCCTTCACGGCACGAACAATGCCACATTCATTGTTTTTAATTACTCCTATTGCCCTCACCTAGACCCTGGCACACAGATACTTTCCAATTATTTGTTGCATAAATACAAAGTTGGAACATCAAAAAATGCTTAACCATCCTTGGCTGTCAATGATACCATTTCCCAGGCGTCTCAGTTCCTAGGTAAAGAGAAGAAAAAAAAACTTCATCTCCAGCTTCTATAGGTATTTCCTTTTTAAATGTCTCTGAGATTCATCTCTTCCTCTGCTTTTACACAGCTATTGCCACAGCCTGAGCACCAAGCACTCCATGCCTGGATCATGGCAGTACTTTCAGTCTATTTCTACCCTTGGTATCATCCTTTCTAATTTGTCTTGTAAAAACCATCTCCTTAAATTCTCTTTCCATTGTTTTAGTATAGACCTTCCAGTAGCTTCCCATTACCTTTAGTATGAAATCTAATTGAATTTTATTGTCTCAACCTTTTATTTGACTTGATTACTTCTGTAATCACTAGCTAATTTTAAACCAAGGCCTCTTGATCCAAAGAAAGAAAAGTTTCATTTGGTGATGCTCCCTTTGCAGCACCTATTCTTGTGATTCCTTCCTGACTTTTCAGAACTCATCCAAAGACTTCCTGCAATATTAACATGATCCTGCAATATGAACACGATTGTCTCTAGCAATACCAGCAATTTTCTATTTTGAAAGATGCTTGATCATATTGTTCCCCGGTTTGATGTGAATAGAAAAAGAAGAAGTCATTTTAAACCAATCACAACATGACACTGAGATACTCAGAAAAAGTTTAGGTAGGTAGGTACTGGAAATAATCCACGGTTAATCTGCAGTTGGGAAAGGCTTGAGTTGAAAAAATTATTCTGACAATTCAGAGGGAGAAAAGAACTTAGTTAAAGAATAGTACTATTGTGGAAAAAATGAAAAGTTTGGCTGAAGGTATGTACATTGACGTCTATTTTGATCAAATCCTCAAATTAATTGCTGGGCTTTCTATTTCTTTCTATCTGACTCTGTGGGCTTTTTTTTTTTTTCAGTCTTTAGAGAGTTGTGAAAAATGCATGTAAAATACATTCCTGCCCATTATAAGATCTGTCATATTTTTCACCATGACTTTCGGTGTTTGCAAAATAATTTTGACTTTTTCTCCAATATTTGACATTTACTTAATAGCTGATGTATTTCTCAGGCAAGTAATTTGGGGGAAATTGTTTGAAGCAGAAACCTTGGGGTGCTTCAAATGAAATTCTGCCTTTTCTTCCAAAGACTTTACAAATAGTCTTTCTTCATCCCTGTGACAAGTCTGAGTTCAATTTTACCTAATTTTAAGACTTGTAACAAGGGAAAAATAATGTTAAAAATGATTTTTATTTATTTCAGAATGTCATCAAAGTATACTAGAAAACCAAAAGTCACATCTTCAAAAAATAAAAACAGAATTGATTACATATATGAGAAATAATATTTAATGAAATTTGTATTTGTGTAGATCTTTCTGGATCTTGAATAACATATTATAAAATATTAATTATTGTACCCTAAATAGTATTTGACTATATTCTTTTTTATTCAATTTCAAAATATACACCTTAAATAACAAGGGCTCTCAGATGGAATAAATAGTATCAACTAAGGAGAAAACTGAATTATAGTAAAGGAAATATTGGCATGCAGAATTAACTGCATACAATGTCTTAAATCCTACAGGTTTTCAAGTGGATACCATTGTGTTTTGTTCTAGGCAATATTTCATTGTCTATGCACATTTTAAAGACATCTAATTTTAAAGAAAACAAACAGAAGAACATAAAGAAGAACTGGTAGAAATATTTATAGTTTAATATTTTGAAAGCCCGAATAACTACCTTGAAGAATTTATTACTATTAATAGTATTGAACAGGATGATAATTAGTTTCTGGGTTCACATTAGGAATATTGAAATATAATAAGTAAATTATGAAGCTCAAAGTCGTCCCTTAAAATCAGAAATTTAGTTTATAAATAAACATTAACAGTAGAAAAGGGAACAACATAGAAGAGGCTGAAGATCATCTATTTTGGTATGTTTGAGAAATCACTAGACATTAAAAACCCCTGACACAAACAGGAGAAATGAATTAAATTCACAAAATAATATGATAACGTTCTTTAGCCCCTGAAGAACATAAGCAATAATATTTCCAGCCGTAGACATCCCAAATAAGAGCATTTGGATCAGTGACAGCTGTGGCAGTCAGATAAGAAATGCTTTGTGAAACCGTAGAGGAGTAATTTTCCTAAACTTATTTATAGTTGCCCGGGCTATAAAAGTTGGGGGATGGCTGTGGGTGGCGTAAAAAATCAATCCCAGCCTTCGGGGGGAAAACACAATACTTATTTTATAAACATGATACATGGAAACAGTGATACTGTTATCCCACTTCATTTTCCATACTTTTTAGATATAAATCAGCCCAGTGACTAATTCTCATTGGTGCCAAGAAGCGTTTTTTGGGAGATGTCAAATGTTGTAAGACAGCTGTAAAGCTGCTAAGAGTCATTCAATTCTAGCAGATTCTAAGGACATTTGCGTTGACAGAATAATATTCACGGTGTGCAGCCAGACCTGGGCAGCATCTCGTGGAGATCTAATAACCTTCTGGCCTAATGTGAATGCCTGTTTCATCCCCCTAAAGAAGCCAAGGAGAGTTATTTGAAACAATGGACTGAGACACACTGTCCCTTGTTCCTGAAATTTCCACTGGGCATTGAGCCAAGATGTGGGTTCAGTTACAGAGCACTGCACATTTAGAATGGAAATATATATATATATATATATATATATATATATATATATATATATAACTATTGATTAGCAAATCATTGGTGCATCTTCAATCTCTTTCCCTTCCGCAAGAACTCCAAGTCCAATTACAAGAGCAGGAACAGGGGGAACAAAGAGAAACGTCTTTTTATTCCTTTCTGTAGGGAGAGGCTACAAAATCATGGGGGAAAAATGTCGTGAAAAAATACGTGTCTAATCTCTTCAAAATACCCTGAATACCCCTTTCCTCTGAGTGCTTCAACTGTGAAAATAATATGCTTTAAAAATTGTAAAACGCATCTTTGAAGAATTATACTTTAAAGTAGATTAGTTATAACAACGAGGTTATTAGCCCCACAGCCGCCCCAAGGGGATTAGCTTCCTTTCTCACACAAGAAAATGCTGCGTAGTACAACTCCCAGAAAGAACTGAGCCTCCACTTGAAATAGCCATATAGTGTTCCAAAAATAAGAAGTTTCTGACTACAGGGATCCTGGCATCAAAAATCCAGCCATCAGGGATCATAGTCACATGTCACCTTCTTCTTTGAGAGAAGCTGGTGACTTTGATGCTGCTTCAAACATAAGCAATAATATGGTTTTGTCCGAAGAGGTGACCCAGAGACATTGCTGGTCTGACATAACTAAGGAGCTATGTGAGTAGGTCGGTAGGAATGGAAAGAAGACAAAAGAAAGTCAAAGTCAAAGCCCGTGGATTCTGGAGCATATAGGATCAAATACTATCTAGAAAGACTGGGAAAACCTAGTTTCCCTATAGCTATCACCGTGAAGCCAAAATATTTTCTTTTTACTAATTCCTTTTATTTTTTTGAGACAGGATCTCCCTCTGTCATTCAGGCTGGCATGCATTAGCATTCATGGCAACCTTGGCCTCCTGGGCTCAGGTGATCCTCCCACCTCAGCCTCCCAGGTAGCTGGGACCACAGGTGCACGCCACCATGCCCAGTTAATTGTTTGTAGAGATGGAGTTTCACCATGTTGCCCAGGCTGGTCTTGAACTCCTGGACTCATGCAATCCACCCACCTCGGGCTCCCGAAGTGCTGGGATTAGAGGTGTGAGGGACTGTTAGAACGCTAAGTTCCTAAAGACTTACAAGTCTTCCTTCATCATTTATTTCTTTCCCCACTGTATACAGACGTAATGCTTGCAATATAAGTTAAGTAAAAATAAACGCAGTAAGACTCAGCCTCCCTTGTCTGAGGCATATGCCCCATTTGCTCCACTTACATGGCAGTTGTCACACACTGTTCTACTGCTGACTTACAGATTTACCTGTGTCCCTGTTATCTCCCTTAATAGGGCATATCACTCTTGAGCAAAAGAACTTTGTCGGATTCAACTTGTCTTCTTCCACGTGCAATAGATCCTTAAGGAGGACCAAATTTGGCGAGAGAAGCTGGATCTGCAAAAGCACAGCCAGTGTAAAACAAAACTTTGTCACAGAGAGAAGCTCTTCATCTCCTTTTCAGACATTAATGGCTATTTAGAGAAAACCTATAAAGACAATTTCTTCTTCTTCTTTTTTTTTTTTTTTTTTGTTGTTGTTTTTTTTTTTTTTGAGACGGAGTCTCGCTGTGTCGCCAGGCTGGAGTGCCGTGGCGAGATCTCAGCTCACTGCAACCTCCACCTCCCGAGTTCAAGTGATTCTCCTGCCTCAGCCTCCCAAGTAGCTGGGATTACAGGCGCCCGCCACCACCACGCCCAGCTAATTTTTGTATTTTCAGTAGAGACGGGGTTTCACCATGTTGGCCAGGATGGTCTTCATCTCCTGACCTCGTGATCCGCCCGCCTCAGCCTCCCAAAGTGCTAGGATTACAGGTGTGAGCCACCGTGCTTGGCCGAGATCCTATAATGACTAGTATGGAGAGAACATGAATACCATGACAGATAATTGAATGGAAGTGGCAAAAATAATGTATTCCATGATTAGAAAGCAGCACATTTAAAACTTTTAATATAGTTTTACTCTTCTTTCCCAGAATAAATTGTGTATTTAACCTATGGGTAGCAGGGTGTCAACTACAATTATGCATATTTGCAAATAAAATGTTCTTTCTTTATACTCTACAACAGGTCCTAATATTCCCTCCAGCATCATCCAACTAGAGAGTAGAACAGAGGTCTACCTTTCCTGGTACATTGTGATGGTTAATTTTAAATGTCAACATGATACGGTTATAGGATACCCAGATAACTGGAAAAATAGTATTTCTGGGTGTGTCTTTGAGGATGTTTCTGGAAGACATAAGCAATCAGTTTGAGAGACTGAGTAAAGGAGATCCACTTTCATCAACATGGCTGGGCATCAGCCCATTTATTGAGGGCCTGGATAGAGTGAAAAAAAGGAGGAAGAGCAAATTCACTCTCTCATCTGGATCTGGGTCAACTGTCTCTCCCGCCCTTAGACATGGCTGCTCCTGGCTGTCTGAGTTTAGCCTTTAGACTCAAACTAAATTTCACTTTCCTGATCTCCAGCTTGAAGACAGTATGCTGTGGGATTTCTTGGCCTCCATAATTGCATGAACTAATTCCCATAATAAATCCCCTCTTACACATCTCTCTCTGTATCCTACTGGTTCTGTTTCTCTGGAGAACTCCGACTAATACAACCATTCACAGTATCTGCCATTCTTCTGGTATTTATTTATTTATTTATTGAGATGAAGTCTCCCTCTGTCACCCAGGCTGGAGTCCAGTGGCGCGATCTTGGCTCACTGCAAACTCCACCTCCCGGGTTCAAGCGATTCTTCTGCCTCAGCCTCCCCAGTAGCTGGGATTACAGATGCCGCCATCACACCCAGCTAATTTTTGTATTTTTGTAGAGATGGGGTTTTGCCGTGTTGGCCAGGCTGGTCTCAAACTCCTGACCTCAAGTAATCTGCCCGCCTAGGCCTCTCAAAGTCCTGGGATTACAGGCATGAGCCACGGTGCCCAGCAGTAGTATTTAATTAGTAATTGTTCATTAACTTCAACTGTTCCAGGTAAAAGCCCCTTCTATTGGATGACAGCCCATGCCACCCTCCACCAGCATATACATAGCACACGTATCTGCACACATGCGTGCAAACGTTAAGTGGACATGCACAACGCACTCAGCTCCTCCACAGGGTGACATCCAGGTGAATGAAGAGGACATCTAATGCCCTACGAGCAAAGGGGGAAAAGGAGCTTAAGTCAAGGAGTTTTACCTGCATCTTCACTCGTCTTTGCTCCAAAGTACCTGGTGAATTGTTCCTTGTTCTATTTACTCCGTGAAGCACTCAGTGAAGCATTGTGGCCTGTCTTTGGCATCTGGTGCTGTAGATGCCTCCGAGTCTCCGCCCTATCCTCAGGGTGCCTCCTCCAGGGCTCTGTACCCAGCAGTGGGTCTCTCCTGAGGATGCTTCTGTGCCAGACCTGTTGCCCTCAGCTCAGGGACCTTCTGCTTCTGGGTTCTTTCCATGTCTCTGACTTCAGCCTTCCCTTCAAAGGATCTAACATCTTCCCACACTCCCTCCGTTTCATCCCAGAAGAGTGGACTGAGACATAAACATGTCTGTCCACTTTTCTTTTTCCAATTTTCTTTTCCTTTCTTGTTTCTCTTCCTCATCACCACCAGAGTGTAAGGGGCAGATTTTCCATTTTTTTTTCTTTCCAGTGTAGAAGGAATTCTCCCTATATCATATCCTCTTTTTTCTCAAACTGTATTTGTCCTGTCTCCTTCCAGATGCTCTGAGGGTGAACGGGCTTCAGAGAGAGGCTGGATAACCAATAAAAGAGGCCTCACAAAAATAATTTCCTATGAGATAGCAAAATTGGTGGCTCCACCATGGAGTCCAAAACAAGAGAACACTTGGTGAAACTGAATTATCCTTTGAACCGCAGGGGACATCAGCAATCACAGCAGAATCGAAAGCAGCCAATGCCAGTCATTCCCTGTAGGTCTGTATCAGGATTCTCGCCACTGCGAGGCGTCTCCCCTGTGGGGATGGCTGGACACAGAGGCAGTCTACTCTCGCAGGCATGGTGTATTCAAGCACAAACATTCCTTCTTCCAAATAGCATGGTGGTCATGTCATGAAAAATCATTTCTTTGATACCACCTTGAATGCTCAAGAATAGCACTGAAAATATCACCACAGTATTAATGAATAAGAACAACATGCTAATTAAATGTTAGGAATACCAAAGAAATTAGCTGGGTTATGTCTAATTACATTATCAACTGAGAATTATTTGCACAGGAAAAATATGAAAAACATGGTTCCAATTCAGAAAATCTTCTACCTAGTAAACTTAAGTAATGCGATTTTTTAAAAAATCAAAATAACCCTTGGTTTAAGATTTGGCTACATGGCAGACTGAGAGGAGGTGGTTCTAATTCTAGAATCAATGCTAATTTCCTCAGTTCAATTCCATCCAGCTGGCACCATCAGCATAATCTGTATGCTTTCTAGCTGGGCCAGCCTCTCCATTCAGCTCAATGCTTACTGAGCCTTGTGTAGATATCAAGAACCTAGCAGTCCCTGCCCACGGGGTGCTTATAATCTAACAGGGGAAAAAGAAATGCACAATTAATGAATTCAAAATATGAAAAAGTACAAGCCGCAAGCACAGTATAAAGTGTTAGCCAAAAGACCACACCGATTATCCATGACGGATTTTTCTTTTCCAATTCTCTCATAAAATCTTTATGTGATATGTGATTACCAAATCATATTTAGAATTTGAGAAGTTGAGGCTATTGCATTAACAGATTATTTACTGACATGCAGTCTTTTAGAATAGTAGCTGATTACAAAGAAGGAGGTAGGGCCACTAACTGGTATGACAAAGGACTGATCATTACACATTAAAAATATCATCCTCAAATCTGCATATATTGTCACAAAGGAGAAACTATAAGAGCAGTTTTTTTCATAAAGACCCGTTATATAATACCTATTCTTCATCAAATAACCCTCATAATTTATTTTAACCAGTTTTTATCTGTATTGTTTCAGCAAGAGTATTGTACAACCCCAGAGCATATATCCACATGATATTTTTGTGGCAATTATTATAATCTGATCAGATTCACCTATGTAGATCTAGGGGATAAGACATAACTAGCATTCTGCAGCAGGAAAAAATGAAGGAAAGAAAGGCTCAATGTCATTGCACTTGAATACAGAACCAAGCTAAATAACAAGGTCCCATTTTTCTCTGATGTTCTTTCTTATTCTTGAAGATTCAAGATGCAAATAGCATCACTTTTGTAGTGTTCTAGCAACACATTTCTCCCTGTCCATGTGCAGAAATGATTATTCTCACTTTTTTGTTACCTCTGGGCCTGAATATACTTCACTTCTAAATCTGTACTGCAGAATTTTTAGTAGATAATTTTTTAAGACTTTCTCCAAATGGAGTATAAATAACTTCAGGGCAGCAGTTCACCAATGCTTAATATCCTGTGTGGTATCTTTTCATATTGCATATTTGCCTTGTAAAGAGGAAATGAAGTAGCTTATATTATATATACACATACAGCATATATGTGTGTATCTATGCATATACACAGCAAGAAACATAAATAAAAGAAATATGGCTAAAAAAGGAGAGAAGGAAAATAAATTTAAGGGTAAATTAACACATGAATTTGAAGGCTATAGAGGGAAGACCACTTCAGGAAGAAAGAAAAGAATGTGTCCAAAGATGCTTGAGACAGAAGTTCAAGTTCCTGCAAGTAGCACAGATTTCAATGTGACATTAATATGAGGAGAAGGAGGCTGGGTGAGGAAGGGAAGGACAGCAGAGGAGAGATGAACCCCACAACTTTGGTTCACCTTATAGGTGACAAAGCTTTACCTGTTTACACATTTTCTAACTTACTTTGCTCTAGAAAATAATTCGGGCAACTTCCTTTCCTGTCCTAAAGGATTCTGCAGCTATTTCAGCAGGTCTGTTGGAGGAGCTGCCAGCAGTACCAGCACATGCAGATTTCACAGTGGAGAAAGTGAGTCTAGAAACCAAAAGGCAACTAAAGGTACCAGATGTGACTTTACCAGAACCAATTTTGAAAACTACATGGTAAGACACAAAACGCAAAAAGTTAAAAATAGTCAACTGTTAATTAGGGAATCCTGGGCAGACATGAGCGTTGGAAACTGAAAGTGGAGTCACATACGTTTTTCTTACTGTGGTAAAACTAGGCCAAAGTGTACAGGAGAAGCTGCACACAGCAACTGGTTGTGAGTCAGAGGAAAGGCTCCATCATCCAGGAAGATGTTTCCAGCTCCAATTGATCTAATTCTGCAAATACTGATAGATTTGTTTAAGGAAACACAGCAATGCAGGAAAGACGCTAGCAAGAACTTGCCAGTCAACAAAGCATGTCGATTCCTACGCCAAGTTATCCTGCCAATGCTCTTTAAAAATAAGGCCCAGAATTATTATTAAGTGATAATTAAAAGAAAAACATATGCTCAATTTTGGCTTGGTTTTCTGGGATATGGTAAATTTTGAAAGCCTTGCCCGTCATAAATGTGTGAGTATTTTATGATATATAGTGGACAGACCCAGCCTAACGTATATGATTCAATTGACTAAAAATGTCAGCATATGCATGATCAATTTCCAATTTCTCTTGCCATAAATTTAATCATTATTCATCATGAATTATATAATAAAAACATTAAAACCTTTTAAAATTTGATTATTATAAATTTGTGTTCTGAAAGAGAACTAAGTTGAGCTATGTCCCAACAAAAAAAGGAAGAGAAGGAATAAATCTAGCCTTAACAATGGTCTCTCTGAAAGTTTAAACTTGATTGGAATAATTGTAGAGAACTTTTTAAAATATAAAACTAGTGCCAATCTGCATAACAAACAAACTTTCTCATAAACAAACATGGCTTGTATATTTATGATGAACCCAGAGAATGATGTGAAAGTCATCAAATCAGGCCATCCTCTCTTGAGATATATGACTCCTACAATACTTATCACCAACCTATGCACCATTTTGCCATATGTTGCTTTCCTACAGGTGCTTAATACCATGATACCTCTGTTCCTTAAGTTATTTGAACTCCATTTCAAGGCCAAGTTTACTCTAGCCATGAGGCCAACTCTCAGGAGGTGATAAAAGAGCAGAGCGCTCTAATTTCTTTTCTTTAATTCCCAGAGCATGATAGTAACCCCACAGCCACTGTCACAGAGTGAAATGAAGTGTTCCTTTTTGTTCAGGTAGGCACTTGAACACAATTAGGGAAAATCTCTGCTGTGTGGGAAAAGTTGGAAGACTGTGACCTGTTTTGTCCTAAAAATTTCCCATTTCTGACATTTACATTGTGCTTTACAAATGAAAGCTGATTTTATGAAAAACAGTGCAACTGTACTTGGGCTTGTCAAAGGGCTGCACAGTTCACGGTGGCCAAAGAAATGTCGATGCAGAAATCAGAGCCCTAGGGTTATTTGCCTGAAAGGATCTAGAGAAACACAAAACTGCTTTTATAGAGGTCTTTCTAGAGATCAGACTGCTGTGATTAGGATGTGAAAATTGAGGGGTTTCCTTTCTAATAGTTCCCTTTGCACACTCCCTTCTGGGTTTTGACAATTAATTGGCCTGCTTGGGGCTACGTGCAGCTAGCTCCACTATAGTTGCTAGAAACCTACCTTGGAGTCAAAATAGCTCCTAGGGAATTTCGCTTTTCCATCAATGAGAGACTCCAGGACAAACACTTAATCTCTGTCTGCCACATTCTTCCTCATGACCTTTACGAAATGACTAAAGGATCCGCAAGTTGGAAACTGCTTTTTCAAAGCTCATGCATGAAAAATGGTTGGCAGTCTGAAAGGTATATTATTAAATATTGGGTTGGCAACATCTTTTTAGAGCTACAGTATTGAGTATTACTGACTTCCATCTAGTTTATCCAGGACTAAAGTGATCCGTGTGGATTAAGGCAATAATTCAATCTGAATGTTTGCTTTGTATTTAAAAAACAAATCAAATGTTGAACAGTTGTCAGGTGTTAGCTTGATCTTTATTGTAACTCTTTGCTAAGATTACAAAGATTATATTGAAAAGCACTTGAGTAAGATTTGGGTAGGGACAAATACCAGGTTGCCATTATCTGGTTTCAGCATCAATCAAGGAGGTATTAAATAATCTGATAATGTCTCCAGGTTCTCAAAAAATAAATCTCTTTATGCTAATCCACACATGCTACCAATCATAAGGCAATCACAGGGACTACAGGAAAAACAGTGTATGTGGTTCCACTCACAGATTCTGTACCCAATATAAATTAAGAATTAAGGTACTCTGTTCTGACTTATCTACATGTCACATATCTTTAGGCAACAAACAATGCCTATGGGTTGCAGTTCCTCTTCTGGCTTGGGAGATTCAATGTGGATCTCCATGCTTGCTTCTGCTGATTCCTTCAGATTTTTTCCCTATCTTTGGACCCACTTTCCAAATTGAAATGCAATTATTTTAGAATCATGGCATTTTAGATCTCAATTAGACCTTCAAAGTGGTTTAATCTGAACCATTCTTGTATCCTATCTATAGATAAGAAACTCAAGCCTACAGGAAATCCTTCCTTTGTAGTAGAACTCAAAACTCCTGATTCACAGCTAAATTCTATTTTCATTATGCCCAATTTATCTTTATCTTGTCTTCTTGCTTTCTAAATTATTATGATTTATGATGAGAAAAGCTGTTAGGATGTTTTCACCTACTCCTAGAACCGGCTTTCTAACTCCATGTGATGTAAAAAGTGCCTTTATGAACACGTGCCTTGAGCAGCAATATTCTCAGTATACCAGCAAGTCTACCTGTTTACTCCAGTGTGTGCCTGTTTGGTGACAATGATTGATTGACTTTGCTTCCCCTGCCTTCTGCCATGCCATCTCTCTCCTACATATGGTGACAACATTTCTTTGAACAGATGGTTTCTTCCTACTCACTATGCACTTTCCTCTGCAATTTGGTTTCCATCTTCCCCAAATTTACTGAAACCTGTGATCTTTTCTAGATCAAAGTCAAGAGCATTTCTCCTGCCATCTGTACGCTGCCCTAGACAGAATTTAATGACCCTCTCCTCTCCTTAAAGCTAGTCTTACTCTTTGTGATTCCTCCTTTAACTCCCTCTGTGTCTGTAGGTGTTTCCTAAGATTAGATCCTTGATCTCAAGTTTGTTGGTAAAAATTGAGGAGCTTGACAACAATTTGAAACACTGAGAGGTCTCACTATAATAGATTCAAAGGGAATGACTTTACACTTCTGAGGGCAAAATTCGGTCAAATGACCATGAGGCTTTCATTGCCTTTCTTCACACATTTTCAGGCTGGTAGGGCCACTCTTTCTGAAGCCATCAAAATTGCATGATTGAAGTATGTTTTCCCCTCTTGATTATCCTCCTATTCTATTAAATAAGCCCTTTAATACTGGATTGTGTGTGAGTCTCCCACCTTAAAAATTCTATTCACACCAAATCCTGGTCTAGCCTCTGCCTCATTTCTCTGTTTCCTTTCAAAAGCAAATGTGTCAAAATTCTTGTCTGTATCTGCTATCTACTGTCTCTCCTCTCCATGTCCCTTCTTAGCCCATTCAAGTCAGCTTCTGCCCTCTCTACCCCATTGAAAGGACTCATATCATCATCACCTGATTTCCATGTTGCCAAATCCAGTGATCTTTTCTCTGTCCTGATTTCAACTGCCCTCCAGTATTGGATGGAACGTGTACTGTTTTTCTTTTAAAATACCTTCTCCGCTTGCATTTTCTAACATAATCCTCTCCCAGGGCAAGCTCAGTCTCAGGCCCTCTTTTTTGTCTTCTGTTCTTAAGCATAACTAAGCCTAACTGTCTCCCCCATAACTATGACTTTTAATGCCCAGATGTTTCCTTAGCCTATGATTCCTTAGCCTTACCTTCTCTCCTGATATTTCAGTGGCACCTCTATTTGGTCTAAATTCAAACTTGACTTGACCACTCATCTGCCACGGCCACCTTCTTCCTGACTTTTCACCATCTCAGTAAATGGCACCACTGTCCACCCAGAAGCCCAAACCCAAATTCTAGGAGCATCATTGGCACCTCCTTTTTCTCTCCACCCACTTCTAATCCATCAGCAAGTCCTTTGCATTCTACATCTGAAATATATCCAGAATCGGAGCACTTCTTTCTCTTTTATTTTTATTTATTTTTATTTTTTGAGACAGAGTTTTGCTTTTGTTGCCCAGGCTGTGCAATGGTGCGATCTCGGCTCACTGCAACCTCTGCTTCCTAGGTTCAAGCGATTCTCCTGCCTGAGCCTCCCAAGTAGCTGGGATTACAGGCACGCACCACCATGCCTGGCTAATTTTTGTATTTTTAGTAGAGACGTGGTTTCACTATGTTGGCCAGGATGGTCTCGAACTCTCGACCTCAGGTAATCTGCCTGCCTCGGCCTCCCAAAGTGCTGGGATTACAGGCTTGAGCCACCGTGCCCGGCCACTTCTCCCTTCTTTACTGCTACTTGTTTAGTCCAGGTCACTGTTCTCTTGTTTGTATTAATGCATCAACTTCATGTTGGTCTCCAGGCTTTCATTTCAGCTTCACCTCCTTCAGTGCATTCTCTCTACACAACAACCAAACACAAAGCAGATTGTCAGGGACAGATTAATAGTTTCCAATACTATTACCATACAGGTAAATAAGAATCCATATTCTTTACCAAGGTGACATGCCCCCTGTAATCCAGGCGTTGCTACTTTTCCAACCACATCTTCCATTGTCTGGCTTATTTCCTACTTTTCAGGCACAATGGGCTCCTTCCTGTCCTTCATATATGACTAAGCACTGCTATCCCAAGTGTCAATCTTATATATAGCAGGTCCTCGAATAACATTTCATTCAACGCTGTGTTCTAAAATTGAGGAGAAAAAAATGAATTCCCATTGGGGACCCTGTCTGTGTGGAGTGTGTGTTCTCCCCACGTCTGTGTGGGTTTTCTCCATACATTCTGGGTTCCTCCCACATCCCAAAGCTGTACCTGTGAGTTGATCCTCCATGGCCCCAGTGTGAGTGTGAGTGTGAGGTGGGTGTAGGTAAGTGTGGGTGAGTGTGAGTGTGGATGAGTGTGGGCAAGTGTGGGTGTGAGTGTGTGGGGGTGAGTGAGGGTGAGAGTGTGAGTGGATAAGTGTGAGCGAGTGTGGTTGAGTGGGTGAGTGTGAGCAAGTGTGAGTGTGTGAGTGTGGGTGTGGGTGTGTGGGTGAATGTGGGTGTGAGTGTGTGAGTGTGCATGTGAATCACCAGTGATGGGAGGGTGTTCAGGCCAGGCTGGTGCCTGCTGGGAGTCCAAAGCTATAGGGATAGGCTCTGGCCACTCTAGACCCTGAACTGGAATTTTAAAATGCTTTGCAAACACACTTATTCTTTGATTTTACCCACCACCACTACGACTGCCATCACTTACCGATTCACCAAAAATTGCGTAAATAATTCTCTGTTTTTTGACTCTATCTTAATAGTACATTTAGCTCACACATATTTCAATGTTTAATACTGGAAGTGTTTTAGTCTTTATGCATAAGTTGGTGATGTTTTGTGACTAGACATATGCCCCAGGAACGCAGGGAAGGGAACACACACTGGGTCTGTCGGGAGGACGAGGGTAGGGAGAAAATCGGGATAAATAGCGAATGCATGCGGGGCTTAATACCTAGGCGATGGGTTGAGAGGTGCAGCAAACCACCGTGGCACATGTTTACCTA
This sequence comes from Homo sapiens, assembly GCF_000001405.40. Classification (NCBI taxonomy): domain Eukaryota; kingdom Metazoa; phylum Chordata; class Mammalia; order Primates; family Hominidae; genus Homo; species Homo sapiens. Next base: position 187,271,443 of record NC_000004.12, on the reverse strand, counting down.
CGTAACAAACCTGCACGTTCTGCACATGTATCCCGGAACTTAAAATTAAATTTAAGAAAAAAGGAAAAGAAATACGCCCTAGGAATTTAAGTCTTCTTTATATAAGCCTATGGGAAAATTGGTTTAGTTACATTCGTTTCGCTTCAGGTCGCGGTTTCCATGAACCAATGGCTGAGATGAAGTGAGGACTTAGTATATAGAGGATTTGAATGTGTGGTTACTGAGAGCTGCTGAGCACGCGAAACTGGACTGGTTTCCATGGGGAAGGCAAAAATGGATCAAGAAAGAATTCTGTCCTCCAGCTATTTATAATGTAATATAGAGAAAATAAGACATACACGAATTAAGTATAAAGTCGTTTTTGTTTATTGTAGTGGAAGTAGTATAAATCAAGTATTAACAGAAGGAATTTGAGAAAGCTTTTAACAGAGTGCAAGACAAAAAAAATCCATGTCACAAAATAACATGAAAGAAAGTGGAGTGGTGGAAATGAGAGTGGAACGTTTTAAAAACTGTAAATAATAAAATTTTAGAAGCATACAGGTAGGAAGAGGGAGAAACAAAAACAAGTTGGATGTAGATTTGAGAAGATAATAAGTTAGTTTAAAGAATTTAGATTTTAATTAAGAGAAATTAGAGTTTGTGGAAGTGATCTGAGCAGGGCAATTATGCAATTGTCAAAATGCTATGGCAATTTTTTCATGTGCTCATACAGGTTTCTAGACAAGAATCAGATTGTTGTATTTCAGCAGTGCTTAGTGGAGCATTTTATCCTTTTGATTTTTAAGTGATTTAATAGTTATCTGTCAATTTGGAATCTTGGCTTTACATCTCCTGTTCAATAAATCATTCTAAATAGCTAAAACACATCATGCAATTTTTTACTATTTTCCAGTAATACATACACAATAAACAAAAATGACTTTTTACTTAATTTGTTATGCCTTATTTTTCTCTGTTACATTAAGAATGGCCAGAGGACAGAATTCTTTCCTTATTTATTTTTTGCCTTTCCTGTCAAATCTCGTCCAGCTCTTTTGTTTAGAGTAACTCTTGGTAACCACACATTCAAATCCTCTACGCAGTAAGTGCTCACTTAATGTAGTAGATAGGTTCTGACTCACATGTCAAAAAAACTTACTAGTACAAAAGGGCATACAGTTTAAAAAATTATCCTATGATCTCAGTTCCCCAATTCCTTCTTCAGAGGTACTCTCTGATACCAGTTCCTCAGGTATATGTGTGTGTGTTTTAGTACGTTTTTATTCCAGTGAGATACTACTATACTCATGGCTCTGCACTGTGTGTGTGGGGGGTGTGTGTGTGTGTGTGTGTGTGTGTGTTGTTTTTGTTTGTTTCATTTTTATTTTATTTTCATTTATATATATATATGAGACCTCTATATATCATCATTTATAAATTTATTACCTTTCTAGTAGTTGCATGTTTTTATCTGTATGAATAGACTCTTTTATTTAAATAACAATTCAATAAATATCCTTATATATATGTCTATTACAGAATCAATTTCTACAAGTGGAATTGCTAAGTCAAAGAGTGTGAATATTTCAGATTTTGAAAATTCTTACCAAAATTCTCTTGACAGATTCTAGGGCAATATTGTCTCTTACCAATAGAGTATGAATGCCTGGTTAACCACATGTTTACTTACCTAGTAGCTTATATAACTTTTTTTACAATCTGGTCAATAAAAAAGGTATCTTTATTTTGTTTTATGAAAGTAGATAAAATTTTAAAACATTTTCAATAGTCATTTATCTCTGAACTGCCTGTCCATATTCTTTACCATTTATATAATTGGTTTATATTGATTTGTAACAGGTTTAATGTATTTAAAATGTGCTCACATGTCAATAAATTTGTAGCCTCAGATGAAATCTATAATTTCCTTATAATTTACTGAAAATGACTTATAAGGAAATAGAAATCTTAATAGGCCAATAATCATGAAATATAATGATTTAATCAAATAAATAATCAAAATCTACCTAAAAATTACTGAATCTATGTAATTTTACCAAAAGATTTATATTATTCCTAAAATAATAAACAATTTTTACATTTTAAAAATTATTCCAGAAAATGGAAATGGAGAAAGTACACTCCAACTCTATTCAGGCTTGTATAAACTGGTTATCCAAACAGGGAATTTCAAATTCTGGTCATGACTCAGTAACTAGTACTGTATTTGTCCCTCCACTGTAAACAATTTGTAAAGCTGGGGGAAAAAAATGAAGCAACTCTTTCAAGCACTGGACAACAGGCAGTGTAAGATTTTTTGTTGAGTAAAGGGAAACATAAAAGCCCAGTGCTTACCCAAGCTTTTAGTGAGTAGATACCTTCTAAACCACAGTGCACGGAGGACAAACAGAGCACAGTGGTTTTGCTGAGCGGAGTAAGCACAAACTGGAGTTCAGAGATACAGGAATGACTGGAGCTTATCAGGACTCCATAGAGGAGGCAGTTGGACACAAAGGAGTCTTAGACGTCCGAGTGAGGTTTTACATAGGTTCTTGTCTGAGAACTAGGTTATTAATCACAGGTAAATCTCTGTGAGGCCAGCAAAGAGTGCTGTATGGGATCAAGATTTGAATGAGGACACCACAGTGCTGGGAGATAAGAAGTCCTATCCAGTCAGAGGGGAGAAACCTCACTGAGACCCTTGGCCATTCAATTAAGACCTCAGAAACGCCACAGTTTAAGAGAAAGGGCTACATACAGCCCAGAGTAAGGCTGTATGCTTAGGCTGTGATTTAGGACAAAAGAGGACAAGCTTTAAGAAATAATTAAGCTGAGCCCAACAGTACTAAGAGGATCTACCAGTAATTAACTGCCTAAGAGAGAAATTTTAATACTCTTTAAAGAAGACAATAGTAGCCAGACTCTTTACAATGTCATCAAAAATGTGTAATGTACAAAATCAACAATAATTAGATAATCTAAAAAGCAGAAAATTATGCCATGGTCTTAGTCCATTTTGCATCACTATAAAGGAACACCTGAGGCTGGCTAATTTATAAAGAAAAGAGGTTTGTTCGGCTCACAGTTCTGCAAGATATACAAAAAGCATGGCACCAGCATTTGCTTTCAGTAAGGATCTCAGGAAGCTTCCAATCATGGAGGAAGGTGAATGGGGAGCAAACACACCACAAGGCAAGAGAGGGAGCAAGAGAGAGGTAGGAGGGGGCACCAGGCTCCTTTAAACGACCAGCTCTAGGGTGAAGTAATAGAGTAATAACTCACTCATTACTGCAGGGAAGGCACAGAGCCATTCATGATCCACCTCCATCACCCAACCCCTCCCACTAGGTCCCACCTCCAACATTGGGAATCATATTTCAACATGAGACTTGGAGGGGACAAACCTCCAAACCATATCACCCATGATCAGAAGACACAAATAAGTAGTAGAAACAGATTTTAATATAACCTAGATATTGGAATTAGCAGACAGTGATTTTAAAACAGCTATAAGAATGTTCAAGAAAGTAAAAGAAAAGTCAACAAGTAAACAGATGAGAAATCTTAGCATAGTAATTAAATATATTATAAAATATCAAATGAATGTCTAGAACTTGATAAGACCATTTTTTTCCATTGTGCCTTCTTATGTCTCATTCTTTCCACTGTACCTTCTGAGTCTACTGCTGAGATTGTTTCATTTATTGCATGTCATAAGTTGGAGCAGTTTCTGACTTTTGTTTTTTCCTGCTGTTCTACAAAACAACTCCTACCCTTAGAAATGGACTATTGCTTACTTATAGAACAACATACACTTATGTTTAATACTGCTCCCTATTTACCACCTTATTTACAACTTTAGTTTGCATGAATATCAAATGTCTTTTGATGGTTTTCTAACAATTTATACTTAGGCTAGATTCTAAAATGACAAAAATATGTAGAAATTGATACAGAATGAATGTGAACATAAATCTGAATATGTATATAAATATCATTAGTTACAATGTGCTGCTGCTACACACATGCATCAGAATTGCCTAAATGAAAAGACTGACAATACCAAGTGTTAGCAAGGATGTGAAACATATGTAACTGTCACACATTTCTGGTGAGAGTGCAAATTGATAAAGGAGAGTATAAATTGATGTAAACCCTTTAGGAAAGCATTTGGTAGTATCTATTAAAGCCAAGCATGAACACAGTTCTTTTAAGGACACCATCTAAAATAAAAATCCACCAGAACTTTATAGCAGAATGGAGATTATATAAGAAAGGACAATGAAAATTAAAGATAAAATATTAAAAATTTCCCAATCTGAAGAAGAGAATCTGATACCCCAAAAAAAAAAAACAAACAAACAAAAACTGCAGTCACCTGAAGGACATCAAGCACTCTAACATACATAACATTTGCTGTGCCAGCACCAATGATCCAAAAACTAATTGAAAAAGATGATCCAATTATCAACCCAGATCCAAAAATTGCAGCAAACCCAGAGCCAGATAAACGTAAAGGTAGCCATATCTAGGCACAGCATAAGCAAATTACTGAAATTCAAAGATAAGCAAAATATCTTAAAAGCAGCCAGAAATCAAGATATAGACAGGGGAACAATGGTTTGAATGAGTGATGACTTCTAATAAAAAACAGTGATGTCCAGAGGACAATGGAATGGCATTTCTAAAGTGTTTAAGAAAAGAACTACCACTCAGAATTTCTATTTTCCATAAGAATAGTATTTTTTTAAGTAAAAATATTGTTTGAAATGTGAATAAAATGAGTTTCAGATAAACAAAATCTGAGAGAATCCATTGCCAGTATACCAGCACTAAGAGAAATATAAAAAGAATTTTTTAGAATGAAGGGAAATCATATCAAACAAAAATTTAGAGGTAATGACAAATACCTGCAATGATAAATGATATGGTTAGGCTTTGTGTCCCCACACAAATCTCATCTTGAATTGTAATCCCCATAATTCCCACGTGTCAAGGAGAGACCAGATGGAGGTAATTGACACGTGGGAATTATGGGGATTACAATTCAAGAGAATTTCCCCCAAGATGTTCTTGTGATCGTGAGTGAGTTCACATGGGATCCGATGGTTTTATAACAAGCTCTTCCTCCTTCTCTAGGCACTTCTTTCTCCTGCTGCCCTGTGAAGAGGCACATTCCATCACAATTCTAAGTTTCCTGAGGCCTCCCCAGCCATGTGGAACTGTGAGTAAATTAAACCTCTTTTTTTATAAATTGCCCAGTCTTGGGTATTTCTTTATAGCAGTGTGAGAATGGACTAATACCATAAATAAGTGGGTAAATACAAAAGATATAAAGAATATTTATATGCATATTTGGAGGCTCACTTCTGAGTTTTCCTCTGTTTTTGCCCCTCAGATTTCAATAATTTTGGCCACCTACCTTTGCTTCCACAGCTTGGAATAGCTCTTAATGTCTACTGGGGCTATTTCCCCATGCAGGGAATTGAGAAATGCTTTGAGGAAATAAACCAAGGTTATTCTGTGATTTTTTTTCTTTAGTACTCTCTGTGTTGGTTGCTGTCCATTATATTCAAAGAGTTATTTTCTTGCTATTTTGTCAAGATTTTCCTCCTATTGTCAGCAGGAGGGATAGTGAACAGTAAGTCAGCCGCGCATTCTTTAAGGAGAAAATTCAAAGCTGAGGAACTCAACTCTGGATTTCAAGATTTATGATAAAGTTATAGCAATAAAGACCATCTGGTGTGGTGTAAGGAAGAAAAATGCACAAATAGAATAGAAGAGAGTCAAGAATAGACACACGTAGATGGCTATATTGAAGGAAAAGATGGTACTGCAAATCACAGGGAAAAGGACACTCCTTTCAAAAACTGGCACAGGGCTATTGGAAATATATATTTTGAAAAAAAATCTCTACACCTACCTCATATTATGCAAAAAGTCAATTTCAGATGAATCATAGATCTAAATGTAAATTATAGAATGATAAAGCTTCTAGAAGTTAACATAAGAAAATATCTTAATTATCCTGGTGTAGGCAAAGACTTCTTAAACAGAACTTGAAAAGCACTAAATATAAGAAAAATCATTTTAAAATTAAACTTCATTAAAATTACAAACCTCTGTTTAGCAAGCTAAGACCGGTAAGGGAATGAAAAGGCAAGCTACAGTGTGAAAATTGTGGGTGAGGGGTGTTCCTTTTTGTTTCTTTGGAGGGAGTTGCCCACATTGAGGATAGAATACCACTAAATATCTAACAGAAGGGCAAAAGTTAAAAAGAACCACAATACCAAATGTGGGCAAGGTTATGTAGTAATTGGAACTCTCATCCATTTTTTGGTAGGAGGGTAAGTTGGTAACAACACCTTGAGGAAGAGTGTAGTAGAATTTATTAAAATTGACATTAGCAAAACATCAAGAACTCATCAATTCCATTTCTAATATATTCCTAACAAAAGTTTATACCTGTGTTTATTAAAGGCCATATACAAGAATGTTTACATGAGCATTGTTTGTAATAGCCAACAATGTAAACAATAAAAATGTACTTAAATAGCATAATAGATACATAAATTGACAGTCATAAAAAGGAGTACCATACAGTAGTGAAAATGAATAAAATAATGCCACGCACTATAACACTGATGAGTCTCATAAACATAATATTGAGCAGAACGTGACAGATACGATAAAGCAGATAAACAATTTATTCATATTAAATGTCTGTAAGAATTTGAAAAGGCAAAAGTAATCAATGATGTTAGAAGTCAGGATAACAATTATTTTGGGAGAAGATCAGAGACTGGGAAGGAGCATGAAGGAAACTTCTAAGGTTATACTATTCTTTACTCAAATGAAGATTACATGGGGGTGTTTAGCTTGTGAAAATCCTTCTAGCCCTACCTCATGGTGTGTATATTTTCTACATGCATACTGTACTTTGATAGAAGAAAAAGCTCATTAAACCATGTAGTTTGGAGGAACACAGGGCATTGGTAGAATGATGACAGACAAGAGAGAAAAGAGACAGCCAAGTCAGAAAGAGATTTCCTAAAACATTCAAATAAATGAGTGTGTGGAAGTCAAATATATAAAGTGTTCAGTAGCATTACTTCTCCTGGCGTAGAGGCGGAATCGTACACACATGTACACGTATGCCCCTTAGGATACCTCTTGTGTCTCTTAATCTGCAGACATAAAGAACATCTGAGGTTTTTCAAGGAATCCTTAGGCCCCCAGGAAATATCCATGCAAATCAACTAGATGACCTTTGTCCAGTCCTTCCATTCTAATGTTATCTGAGTTTAGAGAGAGAAGCCTTGGTTTCTATTCTCAGATTAGGAAACTGAGGCCCAAGAGTAAATTGCCTAAAGTCACAGGACTACAAAGTGGCAGAGCCAATTTTCTAATGGAGGCAGCTCATCTCTAGGGTTATGCATTGAATCACTACACTGCACTGCTTCTTCCTGAATCACAATTTGGGAGGGGTCCACTTTAGGTGATACTGAGCCCTCCCACAGACGTGCAATTCAGTGGGGGCATGGTATTTGTAAACATGAAATACATACTACACGTGGAGACTAAAGGCAGTGAAATGGATACATGTCTCAGAAAAATACATACTGTATTATTTGTGTGTTTAAAAGTTTACTTAAAGTGTTTTATAGTTATTTTATATCAATGGAATTTTCTTTTAGTCATTCTTTTGAAATTTGTCAGTGTTGAAACATGGCTCAGTCACTTTAACTGCTGTACAGAATTTCTCTGTGATTGAATATTCCACAGTCCAGTTGTCTACTCCCTTATTAATGAGAATTTAAAACTGTTCTTGCTTTTTTTTTTTTTTTACTATGAAACAGTGCTCTAATAAGCAGCCTTATGCCTCTCACCTTGGACATGTGATAAATCAAGAGTCATCCAACTATTTTTCTAAAAGTCCAGATTGTAAATATTTTTGCCTTGATGGACTACAGGGTCTCTATAAGCAACTCCTCAATCTGCCATAATAACTCAAAAGCAGCCATAGATGATACATACATGAATGAGTATGGCCGTGCTCCAATGAAACTTTACTTACAGGCCGGGTGTGGTGGCTCATGCCTGTAATCCCAGCACCTTAGGAAGCTGAGACAAGAGGGTCGCTTGAGCCCGGAAGTTTGAGACCAGCCTGGGCATTGACAAAAACAAACTATTGATAACATCATATGTATTGTAGAAAACCTGAATGCTTTCTCCATGAGTTTGGAAATAAGACTAAGATGTCCACTAACACCACAGCCAGTCAGCATTGTAGCAGAGCTTAAGTTATGCAGTTCACTTAAGCAACGAAAAGGAATGAAAGTTACGAAGTTTGAAAAGGAGGTAAATTTCAGTTATGACAGGATTGTGAATGGAGAGAAGCCAGAAGAATTACAAAGAATCTGTTACAATGATTAAGTGACTATAACAACAAGTTCCTGGATACAAAGTCAATATTAAAAAATCAATTATATTTCTAGACACTAGCAATTGATGAAAAGAAAATAAATTAATATACTATCATTTGCAATAATTTAAACAATAAAAATATTGAGAATAATCAAATGAAAAGTATACAGTACCTCTAGAAATCTGCAGCATAAGGACGACCTAAATAAAAGGAGAGACTAGAGGAGTCAATATTGATAAAATGTCAGTGTTCTACATATTCAGCGCAATTCTAATTAAAATCTCAGCAGGCTTTTTAAAAAGAAATGTATAATATGATTCTGATATGTATGTAGAAATACAATACCCAATGAAATACTGAAATAAAATTGAATAGCACACAGATTAGTAAATGTGAAGACTTACTATAAAAGTGCTGTAAGTTTAAAATGGTGTGGTATTGGTACAAGGATAGACAAATACACTATTGGAAGGTATTTAGAAACAGATGCTCACATAAATCACTGCCTGATTTACAATAAACGCATGAGTGAAATGCAGTTGGGGAAGCAAACATGATTCTTTTTAATAGATCCTGTTGCATTAATATCTTATTGGAAAAAAAGAACTCTAACGCTCACCATACACAAAAATTAATTTGACATGAATCATAGACCTTAATATGCAAGAAAATACAGTAAAGTTTCTGGAAGAAAATATAGTACAATATTTTTATAAACTTAGGACTGTGCAGGACATAAAAAGTCCTGACCACAAAAATAAAAGACTGATGAAATAAACTTTATTAAAATTTAGAACTCCTGGCCCGGTGCAGTGGCTCATGCCTGTAATCTCATCACTTTGTGAGGCCGAGGTGGGTAGATCACTTGAGGTCAGTTCAAGTCCAGCCTGATCAACATGGTGAAACTGCGTTTCTACTAAAAAATATAAAAATTAGCCGGGCGTGGTAGCAGGTGCCTGTAATTCCAGCTACTTGGGACGCTGAGGCGAGAGAATTGCTGGAACCCGGGAGGCGGAGGCTGCAGTGAGCCGAGGTTGTGCAACTGCACTCCAGCCTAGGTGACAGAGGCAGACCTTGTCTAAAAATAAATAAATAAAATAAAGTAAAATTTAGAACTTATGTTTATCAAAGCAGAACTGGTAAGAAAGTGACAAAGATAAGCCATATACTGGGAGAAGATATTTGCAACATATAAATCTGACAAAGCGCTTTTCCCCAGAATAGAAAAGAACTTCTTCAAATCAATGAGAATTTTTTTTTATGAGCAAAAGTCTTGAACAGGAACTTTACAAAAGAGTATATTCCAATGGTCAATAAGCATATGCAAAAGTGCTCAACAGCATTAGTTATCAGAGAAAAGCAAATTCACATCATAACAATACGCCATTATACACCCATGATATGGCTACAGTTATAAAGACCAGTTAACAAGTACTGGCAAGCATTTGGGGTGAATTTTACATATTTCTAGTGGGACAGTAGATCGGTACAACCACTTCAAAAACTGACACATTCTGAAAAATGTTAACATATGCTTACTCTATCACCTAGCAATTCTGCTCCTAGGTATGTATTGGAGACAATTACAATGTTTATTAACAGTACAGTACATATATTAAATGTAATAAACTCTACAATGGAATGGCACACATACAATATAAAGCAATGTAACTGCTATATACAACAACATATACTGCTATATACAATGCAACAATACAACTGCTATATACAACAACATGAATACATCTCAAACACCATGTTGAGTAAATGTATCCAGACCCAAAAGAGTAAATTCTACGTGATTCCATTCATATGAAGTCCAACAGCAAATGAAAGTATGCTATGGTGATAGGCATTGGAAGAGCAGGCATTGGAAGGGGGATTTTGACTGGGAGATGGCAGCATGAGGGAGCCATCCTGACCTCTGAAAAAACTCTACATCTTAAACTTCATAGTGCTTATATATGAGTAAAAATTCATGAAGGTTTGGAAAATTTATACAATTTTAACTTAAAATTTTTAATTGCATGTTTAATCAATTTTTATAATATTTGCAATTAAAATTTTTAATGAACAATTTTTTAACTTTTAAATAATCATTTTAAGTAGTTTTTAAAACTAACATTATCTTGGTTATGTGTAGTCTTTTGTACTCCCATGTAAATTTTGGAATCATTTTTTCAATTTCTGCAAATTCTCCCATGATTTTGACTGAGATTACATTCAGTGAATACAATCAATCTCATCAGAATTGCCATCTTTATCATCTTCAATCTAGGAATGTGATGTTCAGAATCATTTTTAAATTTTTCAGTGTTACATAATATTTAGCATACAAACTCTTCATATCTATCATTTAATTTATTCCTAGGTATTTGGTGTGTTTGACAGCATTGCTTTTAAATGCTGTCATTTAAGTATTTATGTCATTAAAAATGTGTTTTTTAATTTTTTAATTTTTTTTTTTTTGTAGAGACAGAGTCTTCCTATGTTGCCCAGGCTGGACTCAAACTCCTGGCCTTAAGGTGTCCTCTTGCCTCAGCCTCCCAAAGTGCTGAGATTACAGGTGTGAGCCACCGTGTCTGGCCATACATACATACGTTCACGAGACACCCGAAACTGCTTATTTTATGGCAGGTGAGGTTGTTTTTGCTATTGATACTGAAGAAAGCTTTGCTAAAGCTCATTTAAGTTCACACATTAGCTTAAGGACAATGTCAAGTATAGATTCCAATAAGGTGGTACCCAATCAAGTGTGGAAATTGTCAGTGATCACAAAGAATGTGACGGAATAAATGGGAGACAGAGGAAATAATGTAAGTCATTATCAATAAGGTGAAGTTAAAATGCAAGCTTTTACCTCTATATAGATTATAGTCACAGGAAATATCTACATTGCCTAGCTTCATCTTCCTACATATTCATATTTGGGATAAATCAAATCTGTTTTAGAATTCTTAACCATGGCTCAGTACAAAAATATCCGTATGAAGACAGAATAGGTTAGCTCTACAAACAACAATTGACATCGTTGATATTAATATTTATTGATGTTTGTTATGTGCGAGGCACTATTTTAGGTGCTTTTACATATTAATTCATTTCACTATCATCTATGTTTTATTATTCTCATCTTTTACAAGAAGAAATTAGGACTTAGAAGAATTAACTGAATTTCTCAATATAAAAAGCAGGGTTGTCAAATTCCCCAGCCTATCATTTAAATCAAAAACCTACCATGTCTCTATTTTTAATCAAAGAATATAGCATTGGTTCATTGCATACATTTTTTGAGAGAGATACACACACACTGATTGAGAGCAAGATGCAAAGATCTAAATAGGTAAGTTCTGAAGCAGAATTGGAAATACTTACAACATTTCTATGTCTGAAATCATTACAATTTCAAATCTCTTTGTCAGATTTGCATACAGACTGTCTCTTTGAATGAATAAATTTCTCAGCATACAAACAATAATACTATTACAGAACTACCTCCCAGTGAGTATCTAACAAAATTAGCTTGCCTGTGGTACAAATGAGTATTTAAGTTATCAAATACTAAGTACAGACTCAAGTACTTGGAATTTACTTAGGTGGTTACTTTCTAAAGCTTGACTTTTCCTTTTTAGGTATACTCTGGCTCTTATTCTCACATTATCAAGTAATAGAAATTAGGTGTGCATGTGTGTTTGTAAGTGCACTGATTGTGAAGGTGTGTGTGCATGCGGTGAACATGTCCATGCCTCCTGCATGTGAGGCTGACAATGCCCCCAGGCTCCGCCAGCCACGACATTTCTAGGGCAGGGGAGTTGGAACTTTAGTACCTGGTGGCCAATGGAAAAACTACCTTGGATACAGGAATGGATCCAATGTGCTTTTTGGCTACAGTCCAACTCCTTGGGAGGTCACAGTTTTCAAATGTGAGTTTTTAGTTTTACATGTTTACTTATTTTTAGAGGGAACATCACTGGGGCTTTTGGGGGCTTAAACTCTTACTATTTCTTAAACATATTTCTTAAACTAAGGATATTTAGATATTGTCTTCCATGTACAACTTTAAATTCGGTTCAGAAACCCCAGGCAAGGGTATTCTGTGTGTCCTAACCCTTGAAGTTAATGACTTCTAATTAACTCAGCAAGAAGCTAATGACTTGTAAGCACTTGCCAATTGATTCGGAGTATTTTCTTTGTAAGATGAGTCTGGGCCGGCGAACTGGGAAGCCTCTGGCAGAGAGAAGGCACAGGAGGGTGGGGGATGGAGAAGTCATTCAAGATGAGTTCTGGAAGATATTTAGGGCAATGGAAAGTATAGTTGCAGCCTTTTTACCAATTATTTTTAAACTTATGAATGGTATTATAGATAAAGCTGCATGTTTTGGAGATTGTATAACCAAAACACCGTGAAAATCATTACCTTATGTCCGTTCAGCGACCTTAGTGTTTATCATTTGCATCAATTCAGCTACTGAAAGAGGAATAAACACACAAAATTCTATACGAGATGATTGATCCGACTAGATACTCCACTTATACAGCTATATTTCCTTTGCTTGATTAAAGGTGTTCCTTTAGAAGAGAGATAGTACATACATGATTATGAATCAAACACACATTCATTGAGAATCTGCACTGGGGCCGGCCTCCAGGCAACGCCTTGGGTATAAAAAGACCAATGATCTCTAGCCCCTCTCCAGGAGTTGACAGTTTATGGCTGAGTTTACACTGTCCCAGATTAACAAAGGGTCACTAGAGGAAGGAGCTCTATGACAAAGAAATCCTCCACAAGGACAGTACATTTAAAAATACTTGGCCGGGCGCGGTGGCTCACGCCTGTAATCCCAGCACTTTGGGAGGCTGAGGCGGGCAGATCACCTGAGGTCAGGAGTTCAAGACCAGCCTGGGTAACATGGTGAAGCCCGTTTCTGCTAAAAATACAAAAAACTAGTCAGGCATGGAGGCACGCGCCTGTCATCCCAGCTGCTCAGGAAGCTGAGGCAGGAGAATTGCTTGAACCCAGGAGGTGGAAGTTGCAGTGAGCCAAGATCGCACCATTGCACTCCAGCTTGGGCAACAAGAGCAAAACTCTGTCTCCAAAAACAAACAAACAAACAAACAAACAAAACTTGCACAGACCTCTGGTGCCTTCCTACAAAGCACACATACACTTATTTACCCCTTACAATTTGCCATTTACACTGAAGTCCAGAAGGCTGACAAGGTACTCTCACTCTAAGGAAGACTTGGTGAAACTATAGTGGTGGCTGAACTCATTTGAACCACAAGAAATGGTTCAAAGAATGTTCAAAAACAGTCTACAGTCTTCAACTATGGAATAAGATACCTAGTTTAAGACTAACATTATTCAATAGCCTTATGCATTAAAAAGAGTAACTTATGAATAACTATTATTGGTTGCAGCAGAGTGATAAGCAACTGGAAAAATTGTCATTGTTAGTTACTGCACTTGAAGATAAGAAGACATAAAACAATTTACACATCCATGTTTCAATGTGCTATTAAAGAAGAATTTTGAAAAATAAATTAAATAAAGCAAAAAAATCAATGCAATAAACACTATCCCTTTTTTCTCCTTAGAAAACAGTTAAGGAGCAATTCAACCCTATAATTTTTTTCCAACAGAGGAATAAGAAGATGAGAGTTATCAGCAACACTGGGTACTCAGTAAGCCATGGGCCTCTCTGCCTTTAAACATCATCAATAACTTATTTCTCCTTGGTCTTGCAGCAGAATCACCCATGGACTCTTTCATTGTGCCTGGCACTCCTCTTTTTAAGTGCCTGCCAAAATGTCTTACTTAAGTCCTACGGCAAGAAAAAAATAATCAAATTAGGAGAGTAAAGAAAGAATAAGGCCATTGTCTGTGCAGGTACCGTCTGAGCTGGTCTGTAATTTTCCCCAGGAGGAAGCACTGGACTGAATTGGCAGCCCAGAGTCGTGGCTGTGTTCTCAGACTACCCGCCGCCCTTCTGTGTGACCTTAGGCAGGCCTCTTTATCTCACTGGTTTTCTCACTTTGGCTGGTTGTGCACTAGTGCTCGTGCTTGAGTGCATGTGCAAGCTTCTGGCCATGGCTTATCAGACACATCATAGCCTCAAGTTTTATGGGGGGACTATCTCCTTAGTTTGGTTTGGTGGTATTAGTTGATTTCAGTAATTCTGATGAAAAGTATGTATGTATATAACTATGTATATATGAGTGTGTTTATATAAAGATATATATAATAGATTTATACAGTTATAACATATATCCTAATAAGCCTTATAAGGTGATGAACAATTACTTACAGGAAGCACCTTTTTGTACACACAAGTCAGTTTGAGAACCGCTAGAACGATAATCAGGATTTTTTATTATTTTTTTTATTTTTTTTGAGATGGAGTCTGCACTCTGGAGTGCAGTGGCTGATCTCGGTTCACTGCAAGCTCCGCCTCCCGGGTTCACGCCATTCTCCCGCCTCAGCCTCCCGAGTAGCTGGAACTACCGGCGCCCGCCACCACGCCCGGATAATTTTTTGTATTTTTAGTAGAGATGGGGTTTCACCGTGTTAGCCAGGATGGTCTCGATCTCCTGACCTCATGATCCGCCCGCCTCGGCCTCCCAAAGTGCTGGGATTACAGGCGTGAGCCACCGCGCCCGGCCCAGGATTACTGTTTTTTAAGGATCCATGCATCTGATTGCCTCTAAGAACAGAAATTAAGATGACAACTCAGCAATATAACACCAACATGTCAGAAAATAAGATAAACTCATTGATTTTTCTTACAAAACAAAACCAAGATATATCAGGTTTTTGTTCTTGCTTTAGACCAGAGGCCAGCATTTCTCCCGTTTTCTCTTATTCACAACAGCCACTTTTTTTTCTCTATTGCTTTCTATATGATGACTCTCAGTGCCACTAATCCCAAGAGGGGAACCAGTTTTGAAAACACAAGAAAGTCCAACCCAAACTTTTTACACCAGTAAAACAAAGTATGTTATCCTTGCAGTAGAGAGATGGATCACCAATTGATTTTTCCTCTAAACTACTCAGTCCTCTGAGTAAAATTAACAAGAACAGATGTTACTATGCCCTATTGGTGTGGATAAATGTTTATGTAAAGAACCCCTAACAAAGCAGAAAATGCAAATGGTAAGGAATCACAGGCACAGAATCTTTGCCTTGCTACTTCCTCTGTCTGGAGGTAATTTTCCAAGATCGTTGCATAGTTTCTTGTTTCTCATTATTGAGGGTTCAGCTCAAATGTCATCTACAGAGAGTGGCCACTCTTAACTATCCCATCTGATGAAGTGCCCCAGACTCCCCTTTTCCACATTCCCTTGTGTAGTTTTTATAGCACTTTGATCTTTATTTATTGTTGTCTTGTTAATTGGCTGTCTCTCTCATTAGCCTGTAAGCTTCCCAAGAGCTGAGAGCTTGCCTGCCTGATTCACCACAGTTAATTTCGGTGCTGGAATCATGCTTGGCTTACAGTAGGCTCTCATGAATATCTGATCAGTGAATGAATGAATAAATGATATGCTCATTTTCTCATTGTAAAGAAAAGGATTGCATGGAAGTAAAAGGGTGACCAATTACGAACCAAGCCCAAGACTAATTTCACATGGAAGGGCTTATAGTTTACCAGACAATGCTTATTGCACACTTGAATTTTCAGACCTCAGCATATTAATCTCTGGAAATTCTGAGTATAGCAGCCATCTTAGATAAGTGTGGAGAATATGCAAAAATAATAAATAAATAGCAATGGCAACTGGAAAGTATTACTGTGAAGTAAAATCAACAAATCCAGACTTCTTTAAGTACCAACTGGCTCAAAGTTGAATTCCTAAGTAATTGAATTAGAATCAAGTTACCCTTCCTTTATGAATTTGCACTTTGAGATATACTAACTCTGTCAGCATTATAAACTCATGAAACATAGCAATTATGAATTAATCAAAGTAGATCGTAGCAATAAAAATTCATAATCCAGTTCTCACAGAGGTCTGTTATGGACAACCAACCAAACAATACAATACAAAACAATAGGAATTGTTTATTCCAATATATGTTCTAATTGTGTTAAACACTTTTTCATTATTTGATTTTGAATTTTCACTAAAAGAAAAACCTTAAGTAACAAATGGCATTTTCTTGGCCAGAAAGTAAAAATATGAGTTACATGACTTTTATATGTCATATATATTGTATGTTATATGACTCATATGTCATATATTATATGAATTTGAAAATATAATCAAAATAAATGAGCGAAATGATTTTGATCAAATCATGTTTCAATAATACTTGTCCAAAACATTTTCTTTTTTCCCCTATTTTAACTGTCTAAAGGTAAGGTAAAATTTTAGGTAGTAGCTTCAAGTGAGAAAAATTCAATTGCAGACTCACAATAGGCGTTCTTGCTATATTTAGGATCGAACAAAACCCAATGAGTTTATTCTGTACTGTATTAATATAGATGTAGAATAAAAGTTATGTTTAAGTTTTATACCTTTTCTTGGTTTTGCCATTTGGGAACATTTTTGTTTTATACTAAACCCCAGTGATGAAGATAAGTGTAATTCATTCCATTTTCTGTGCCCTCAAAATGAAAATTAGATAAAAATATCATAAGGAAATTTCAGAATCAGGATTCGTTTTACTGTGGAAAGTAGATATATATGGGGAAATGTAGATTTGCTAAACTCAATCATCTTTTTTCTTAAGGACAATCCAGGGTCTCTTTCTTTAATGTAATATTTTTTAAGACAGACTTCCAAGAAAAAGTGATTCTGAAAATGAGACATACCTGTGCTGGAATTCCATACAAAACACTGAAGATTTACCATCAAAAGCATGTCTTTGCATAGCTGAAGGTTTGGGGAAATATTAAACTTGCTCAGATAATAAATGTCAATTTGTTAAAATCAATGACACAAATTGTGAACTCATAAAAAGACTCATTATACAACATGGAGACTTGATGTGTGCCCAGCACAGGTGGACTGAAGGCTCCTCATGAGTATTCAGTAATCACCATGCACAAGTCATTCTAAAATATTTTTAAATCATCAGTTAGAATAATCTCTGAGCCTCTTCCTCACTGCCTCTTTTACTCATTAATCCAGAGATACTTGCAAATCACTTGCAAAATGTTTACTCATTAATCCAGAGATACTTGCAAAGCACTAATATCCTGGAAGATGATCAATAAATGCTGACAGTTGATTCACTGACATCTAAGATATGTCAGGTAAATACCTCAGTCCTGGACGGAAGAGCTTCTAAGCCACATGTGCCTTCTTGCAAGGTGAAGATTAAAATATGGAAATGTATGTACTCTTGCCACCCTCTGAATTTTTGTGTAATTAACACAATCTATGTCAGTTCTGAAAAACTTAGGTAAAACAGAAAAGGTTGTAGCGAAATTCAATATGTAACGTGCAAGAGAATATTATTTAATGGCTTTTTTGACTTATAAAAAGTCTCATTAATTGTACAGTTTTATTTTTACTTTAAGTGTTTTTTTTTTTAACTTTGAAGTTCAGGAGTACAAGTGCAGGTTTGTTACACAGGTAAACTTGTGTCATGGGGGTCTGTTGTACAGATTATTTCATCAGCCAGGTATTAAGCCCTCTACCCATTAGTAATTTTTCCTGATTCTCTCCCTTCTCCCACCCATTAACCTCTACTCTCCGAAAGGCCTCAATGTGTGTTGTTCCCCTCTATGTGACCAGTGTTCTCATCATTTAGCTTCCACTTATAAGTGAGAACATACAGTATTTGGTTTTCTGTTCCTACGTTAGTTTGCTAAGGATAACAGTTTCCAGCTCCACCCAGGTCCCTGTAGAGGACATGATCTTGTTCTTTTGTATGGCTGCATAGTATTCCATAGTGTATATGTACCACATTTTCTTTATCCAATATGTCATTGATGGGCATTTGTGTTGATTCTGTGTCTTTGCTTTTGTTAATAGTGCTGCAGTGAACACACATGTGCATATGTCTTCATAACAGAATGATTTATATTCCTTTGGGTATATATACAGTAATGGGATTGCTGGGTTGAATAATATTTCTGTTTTTAGGTCTCTGAGGAATCACCACACTGTTTCCCACAATGGCTGAACTAACTTAAACTATTCATATTTCCTGAGTTCTCCTGTTTTTCTTTCTCACGCTCATTGTTGAACAGAAATTTGCTATTCTTTTCATGGAACCACTGTTGAAGGCATTGTCATTTGAATATGATTTCCTTCTTTAAAATTAAGTGCAGAGATGATATTATAATATCACATTCTCATGGCACCCTGGTCATAGTCCTGAGGAAATATTGACAAAGTTGTTATTTTTAGATTTGAGTACTCATAATAATATGTGTGAAAATCAGGCTAAATAGCACATTAGAGCCTGTCCCATTAAGAAGGTCAGGAAAAATTAGGTCAAGAAAAAGTGTTAAAATCTTAGATTAAGTTTTTAAATTTCCTATCTGTCAAGTTATATCCACACTCAGCCTTCCATCCCTCTTCTAATTTTTACATATTTTAGAGATTCCTGATAACATAAAAATGAATGAAAAATAGCTCAAAATAGAGTTCAATCTTCAGTTTATTGGGGGAGAGAAACATGGAAATTATAACTAAAATACAAGCTAAGATGTGTAGAAATTATAATCTTCATGCATTGCTAGTAGGAATGTAAAATAGTGCAGCCAGTTTGGAAAATAATTTGGTAATTCCTCAAAATGTTGAGCACAGAATTATTACATCTTCCAACAATTTCACCCCTAGGTATTTACCCAAGAGAAATAAGAACATATGTCTGCACAAAAACTCACACAGGAATGTTCATAGCAATTTTATTCATAAAAGCTAAAGCTGGAAACCATCCAACTACATCCACTAATGAGTAGATAAACCAAGTGAGGCCTATCCATACAATGGAATACCACTCAGTGATAAAGAGGAAGGAAGTGCTGACGCATGCTACAACATTCTAAGTGAAAGAAAGCAGTGACGAAAGACTTCGTATTATATTTATCCATTCATATGAAATGTCCAGAGGAGGCATCTATAGAGAAAGAAGATAGATTAGTGGTTCCTGAGAGTTGAGGACAGAGAGGTCGGTAGAGATGGGGAGAAGGCATGGGGAGCCACTTCTAATAAGTACAATAGATTTGGAGTGACAAAATGGTCTAAAATTAGATGATATGGTTGTTCAACTTTGTGATTTGATACACTGGAGTTGATCAATCACCTGATAACTGTGATCTCTGGTTTAGCAGGAACGCAGATATTCAGCTCAGAAGCAAGAATATGCTGTAGGTGCTGCCGAAGGGAGAACTAGAAAGACAAGAAATGAAAATGTGCCATTAATTTTTGACATCAGCTCCTGGCTACTAGATGACAGGATATCGGAAATGGACACATTTACTTTTAGTAAGCCATTTGCAGCTAATAATGTGGGAACCAAATATCTAGTTTATGTGCAACAACTTTCCCTTGATGCTCCTGGAGACCGTGGCTCACTGACAACAGAGCGGTCTCAATGAACCTGGACATGCCCTAGAATCCTTGAGCAGCCCTCTAGGAAACCACTGACAATCAAGTCGCGTTTGCATGCACGATAAAAATTTGCTTGCCGGCACTGGATATGGGTAATGAGAATTATCTTAATTAACAAAATTATTCTGACCGTATTTCTCCCTTTCATATAAAGACCTACCACCACCAGTTTAAGACTGAAGACCAGCTATTAGGAAATCTATTATTCTTGTACAGCAAGGTTCCAGCTTAAGCAAGCATACCTTTCCCAGTGTATGTGCATTGTAATCCTTTACTGTAAACATTGGATGAAAGGATTTCCTTTTGGTGGTAAAGAATTCCAGGCATCTGAGAGCAAATGGAAGAGTTTATTTCAGGAAGACTTTTTCCCAGAATCCCTGTGAACGCGCACCACGTGTTTGGGGCTAATCCACCTTTTGCAGAAGTCACACCACCTGTATTTCACTCACCAGGCCTGCTCTAGACAAAAAGAATTTGAGAGAAAGTCTGATCTGATCCATTAAAGTATAATACATAAAGGCAAAGACTGCACACAGTTCATTTTATAGATCAGTTCAGAAGTCTATCAAATCTTAACTATCCCTCAATATTCTATAGACCTAAAGTTAAAAGTTATATATATATATATATAAAATCACCTAGTATATTCTTTCATTTCCCCTATTAGCCAAAGTGATGGAGAAAAATCAACCAGCTGTTTCCACAATCTAAGCTCCTGAATCCTTTTAACAACTGTCAGAAGCCTCCTGTCTTGTAAATGCACTCACACACACACTTAGGAGATTATGACAATCTAAGGAAATCATATTAACTTAATTGAATGCACATACACACTTTCATGCCAAGGGCAGAAATTCACAGTGTCTGAAGGGAAAACCTTGTCTCCTTCTCTTTTCTCTCCTCTTAAAGTGCTCCCATTGTTCTTTGTTTCGTGTCATGATACTGCCAAGAACAATGAAGGGTCCGAGATTTTTATCCTACTTGGAAGCTAATAAGTTAGCCTGGCACAGTCTCATGGGTTCTGTCAAAAGTCATGGGACTCACAGGTCAGAGGCAAAGGACTTTATTACTCAAGAACCATCAGTAGCCAGAGTATCAGCATTTTCTTGTCTTACTTCTGCAAGCTTAATTCCTAAAGGGCAACTTAAAGAGAAGTAGAGGACACCTGTACCTGCAGTGGCAATACATTGTATTACAGGAGAGGAACCCTGCCTTTAGGTTCCCCAGTATTTTATATTGTAGGCAGTAAGCCTACAATAGGGCTTCTAAAGGAAGATATTGTTGTTATTTCAGCAAACCTGCTCTTTCCCTGGAGAGAGACACTTATCTTTATCTTCCAAGGCATCTGCTACTAAACAAATCCTTGAAAAAAATAGCACGGAAGACCAGCAGTTACCACCTCTGCTCCCAAGACATGCCAAAATGCAAAAGACGAAAAGAGGATTGTCTCCCAACAGAGATCTACAATGAATTCTTATTTGCTAGTAAATATAGTTTAGTTCCTACTAAGAGCAACATAAACCCAATTAAACTAATAGTGGTCGATAGTTTTCAACATAATGTTTATGAATTGATTGACAGTATTTTTCCCACAGTTACATGATAGTAATTTAATCAATCAATTACTATCATGTAACTGTGGGAAAAATACTGTCCATATATAAATTCAGAAAATATAACATTTCAAAAGAAAATTGTTGCCATTTATCCCTTTCTTACTCCAACAGGGTAAACACATAGAAAGCAGTCAGGGGAAAGTTTTATAATTAGAGAAGTAGCTTCACCCATATACAATCAATCATTTAAACATAATGCAGTACGTATTAGTCATTGATTCGTCTTTGTGACAAATTTGTAAAAAATATGAAAATTAATTTTGTGTGACCCAGAAAATCAGTTTTTTAAATCAACTATGTAATTGACTAAAATAAACATGATACAGTTATGCTACAAAATGACAACTCACTTCAGATTTTATAATCCAAATCTGTAATGAAGTAATAGGATTGCTAACTAGAAATAAAATTTGACATATAATACCCTGTAATATTTAATAAAGCAACTGAAGTGACACCAATATTTTGGCTGTAAATTTGACAGATCTGTAAAGTGCCATCACCCATTCACATGGCTTACATAGAAGCTTTGCTCACTGTTCGGCACAAGCTATGATTCCACTTCCAAGCATATTTCTGCTTATGAAGGATGCTCGTCTCTCACTTTGGGCAGGTGAGCCCTGCCTACACTCGTAGCTGCAGGGTTGGCACCTCATATAGAAGACCCTAAACAAGTAGGGCATTTTTAGGAGTTGCCACAGAATGAATATAAATCTTTCGAGTTGTATATCCATCATTGTTCCAGCACCAACTTGATCCAAGACCACACCTAGTGAGCTCTAGACAGAATTGAATATCTTGGGCCACCTGAGCTTCACGCTGTTGTCTGTGAAAGTAACCATGGCTTGAAATCTTTAAATATATCGCATTATAATACTTTGGCTCTTGTGTTCTCAAATTGTCTATTTCTCTCTAAACATAAGTTTAAGGGAGCACATATCAAGTTATCATAGTTCAACTGAAGACCTTTGAAGAGGCAACATTGTTCTCCTTTAGAGTAAGCCTACATACGCAGATATTCAAATATTTTCTCTCTGTCATGCCCCTTGTTTGTATATTGCACTGAATTTCAGCTCACGTTAACGGTTCGCTTGCCATCGGGCTGACTTGTGTCTTGTGCTAGCACTTTCCTCATTCTTCCATCACAGCACATAAATCTTCACTCTGTCCACATTAGCCCATTTCAAGTCATTCTCTCGAGGTATGGCTTCCTGATCAGCATGTTGCTGCCTGTGCCCTAGCATGGAAGAAAACCAGCATCCCTTCCATCCTTTAGTGACAGTTGGCTCCAGGGGATATTTAACCTTTTAAGCACACTGCTACAACATGCAGAATAATGACCACTTCTGCTTTTTCTCTACTTTATGCTCTTCTGAGCGGCAGAGGTATACGACTAAATGAACCCAGCAAACAAGGCTTATATTTGTCTTCTGTGTAGAGTCATAATTAGTTTGTTCTTTCTTATAAAATGCAAAATGAACAAGATGGATTCAAGTGGTTGCTTCAAGTAATTATGTAAGTAAGATATGTGTGCACACTGCTAAGTGAGTCCAAAATCTTTAGTAAATTCTCTTCAACTATGACTAGTATGTAGTAAGCAATGTTTTAACTTTTAAAATCTCAGTGAGCATGTCTATTTTTTCTTTATCATGCTTAGATTTTATTAACATATTGGCATACAGATTTTTCTGTTTATATTTAAAGTTTAGTTGGCATAGAAATGCTCTAGAAAGGTTTATGATTAAGTCTAAAATCTGAATTACCTAAAGAGCACTTGTTAAAAATTGCTTCAATGCACTTACTGAAACTAATAGTCAACAGCTTGGATTTTATGTACTTCTTCTGCCTAAGAGCTTGCTATGAATTAAGTCTGCATGGCCTGACAATAACATTATCTGAACATTCAAAATTAATTACATTGCCGTAAATATTCTTCAGGAAACTACATAAATCAATGTGAAATTCTAAACGGAGCAAAAGGCTTATTTGCTTCATAATATACCTATTTATTTTCTAAAAATTATAGCATTGAGATTTTTGAAATTAGCCATCATTCCATCAAAATTTGCCTTACACCGCTACCTAACTATAATCAATCAGGAATGAATAGAGAATGTATTCAACATTTATAACCACCACTCAATAATTCATATCTAATGAACCAGAAAATATTCTAACTTGTATTATAATTATTTGCGTATGTGTTTATATTACCTCTGGACTCTACCTTATTGTTGTCAGCCAAAGCACCTAGTGCAGCACGTTGAACATGGATATATATACATTTGTAGGAGAACAGAGAGAGAAAGAGAGAAAAGAGAGTGAGAGAGAGAGCTGTTGGATTACTTTATTAATTATTTTGACATTTGCAGAAGTTAAATATAAGCTTAATTGTAATTAGGCAAGGCTACCATAAAAAGATTCCAATAAACACAACTCTTAATGATTAATAGTATTTTTAAACTTCTGAGTAAAATTTACTTTTAGAATAAGTTGGAACTATGAAGAAAAATATGTCAATCTCTGGGATAAGTTAAGTTCATAGATCTGTTTTCTTGTTTTAATTTTCTAATATTTTACAAGGGCATTTGATGTATTCTAAATTAAATATATTTAAATATACTTACATTTTATAAACAATATTTTCCCCTAATATGAAATCCTTCCATCTTTATTTTCAAACACTTTTATTTAACTATGACTTTTAAAAAGTGGTATTTTTACTAATGGTAATCAAGTTACTTAATAATCATAAATTTTTACAATAAGCTTTTTTTTTAACTTTTGACTCCTAAGAATTTGGATCATCAAAATAAGGAACATTTTCTTTCTTTCTCTTACCTTTGAGGCTTTTCATTTTTCTCTTGTAACTCCAACATCTCGCAGTGTCAAATCAGCATTTTTCTAATAGCCTCAACCTGAATTACCTTTCTATTGACCATTTCTAAATACTGATATCAAACACTGTAGTCCACGCTGTAAATATCTCCTATTGCCTAATCACCATTACAGTTCATAAGTAGTGTTGTTTTTACCTAAAGTTAAACTCAAACCCTATCATACTTTTTCTTCCTCACTTTCCTGTTTGCATCAGTGGCACCTATATCCCCAGTGACACATGCCTGAATAATTCTTCATACTCCTTACTTCCCAAGGTGACAACCATCTTGTTCTCTCAATTATGCTAGCATTTGACTTTTGTTGGGAAAGGATTGGAATCACAGACTGGCAGACTTCTGATGCTTGAAGGTGTGGAAGTATTCACCAGAGTCCTATTTTAAGGTTGTTAGATGCTCTTTCAGCAAGAAGCAGCATGCTACTTAAAAACGCAGCTCAAGACAGAACAACATCAGCAAGATAGTAGATAGAAGTTTCCAGCCCTCATCCCTTCCAGAAACATTAATTTGAACAATTATTCACAAATAAAAATACTTTCACAAGAGCCAAGGGAACCAGATGAGAGGTTACAGCACCTGGGTAGAGCACAGGAATAAGAAAACACACATTGAAGAGGGTAGGAGAGTTTCATATTACTTTTGAAACTCCTCTCCTAAGCCCAGGAAGCACTGTGCTGAGAGATACCTCCACAAAGGTAAAAGAGAGGAAAATGAGAACCTGACTTTGCCACAGACCCTGCTACCAAGCCCACCCCATTAAACCCTGGTGTTAGGCCAGCCCCTGCAGACACGGGCTCCAGGTCAAAGGCAGCAAACTTGAGCAACAATAAAGATTACATGGACCTAACAGACATATATTCGACACTCCATCCAACAGCAGCAGAATACACATTCTTTTCAAGTACACAGGGAACATTCTCCAGGATAGATTATATGTTAGGTCGCAAAACAAGCCTTAACAAATTTAAGAAGATTAAAATCATATCAAGTATCTTTTCTAACCACAATACTATAAAAGTAGAAATCAATGACAGGAGGAATTTTGGAAAATTCCCAAATATGTAGAAATTAAACATGTTCCTGAACAATCAATGTGTCAAAGAAAAAAATTAAAAGAAAATTTAAAAATATTTCAAGACATAAAAATGAACATGCAATATACCAAAATATATGGGATACAACAAAAACATTTCTAATAGATTTACAGCAATAAACACCCACATCAAAAATGGAGAAATCTCAAACAACTTAATGTTACATCTCCAAGAATTAGAATAAGAACAAAGTAAGCCCAAATTTAGTAGAAGAAAGAAAATAATAAAGATCAGAGCAAAAATAAATAGACATCAGAAAAAACAATAAAAATATTAACCAAATTGAGCTGATTTTTTGAAAAGATAAACAAAATTCCAAAACCTTTAGCTAGACTAAGAAAAATATAAGACATAAAAATAAAATCATAAATGAAAGAGATGACATTACAACTGACACCACAGAGGTGCAAAAGGTATACCAACAATATGGATAACCTAGAAGAAACAGATACATTCCTGGAGACAAACAACCTACCAAGATTAACTGATGAAGGAGTAGAAAACATGAATAGACCAATAAAGATTAAGGACATTGAATTAGAAATGATAAAAAAAAAACCCTCAAAAACATCAAAGAAAACCTCATGACTTGATAGCTTCACTGCTGAATTCTACCAAACATTTAAAGAAATTATACAAGTTCTTCTCTAACTCTTCCAAAAAATTGAAGAAAAAGGAATACTTTCAAGCTCATTTTACAAGGCCAGCCTTATCTTGATACTAAAATCAGACAAGAAGGCTACAAGAAAAGAAAACTACAGGCAAATGTCACTGATGAATACAGATGTAAAAATCCTCAACAAAATACTGGCAAACTGAATTCAATACCACGTTCAAAGGATCACTCACTGTGATTGAGTGGGACTTATGCCTGGAATACAAGGATGGTTCATCATACACAAATCAACAAATGTGATACATCAGATTAACATAATGAAGGACAAAAAGTATATAATCATTTCAGTAGATGCAAAAAAAAAAAGCATTTGACAAAATTCAACATTCTCTCATGATGAAAACTCAACAAATTAGGTATTGAAAAAATGTACCAGACCACAATAAAGACCACACATGGACAAGCCCATGGAAAACATCACACTCAATGGAGAAAAGCTAAAACCTTTTCCTCTAAGGCCAGAAACAAGAGAAAGATGCCCACTGTCACCACTTGTCAACGTAGTACTGAAAGTTCTAGCAAATTATGTAAGAGAAAGAAACAAAAAACCTCCAAATTGAAAAGGAAGAAGTTAAATTGTCTCTGTTAGTAAATGACATGAATTTTTTATATAAAAAAACTAAAAGCTCCACAAAACCTGTCAGAACTAACAAATAAATTCAGTAAAGTTGAAAGACATAAAATCAACATACAAAAATTAGTAGAATTTCTATACACTAACAATGAACTATTCCAAAAAAGAAATGAAGAAAACAATCCTTTTTACAGTAGCATCAAAAAAAAAGATACTTAGAAATAAATTTAAGGAGATAAAAGATTTGTACACTCAAAAGTATAAAACATTGATGACAAAAATTGAAAAATATAAATAAATGGAAAGATATCATGTGTTCATGAATTGGAAGAATTAATATTGTTAAAATGTACATACGACCCAGGGACATCTTCAGATTTAATGAAATATCTACCAAAATTTTAATGGCACTTTTCACAGACATAGAAAAAGAAATTCTAATATTTGTTTGGCACCACAAAAGACCCCAAGTAAACAAAATACCCTGGAGCAAGAACAAAGCTAGAAACATCCCACTGCCTGGTTTCAAAATATACTGCAAAGCTATAATAAACAAAACAGCATGGTACTGTTATATAAACAGACATATTAACCAAAGGAACAGAATACACAAACCAGCAACTCATACACTGTTGGTGGGAATGTAAATTAGTACAGCCATTATGGAAAAGAGTATGGTGGTTCCTCAAAAAACTAAAAATAGAATTACTATATAGTCCAGCAATCTTACTACTGGTTGTGTATTCAAAGGAAAAAAAAATCAGTATGCTGAAGAGATATCTACACTCTTATGTTTATTGCAGTACAATTCATGATATCCAAGATATGAAACCAACCTAAGTGTCCAACAACAGATGAACGGATAAAGAAAATGTGGTGTATATGCATGTTGGAACACTAATCAGCCATAAAAACGAATGAAATTTTGTCAATCACATAAATATAGATGAGTCTGGAAGACATTATGTGCAATAAAATAGTCCAGGCACAGAAAGATGAATATTGCATGTTCTCACTCATATGTGAAAGCTAAAAAAGTTGATCTTACAGAAGTAGAGAGTAGAATAAAGAGACTAGGAAGTGTAGTCAGGAGAGGAGGCTGGGGAGAGGTCAGTTAATGAATACAAAATCATAGCTATCTAGGAGGAATTAGTTCCACTGTTGTATAGCATTGTAGCATGACTATAGTCAACAATTTTTGTATACTTTAAAATAGCTAGAAGAGAAGATTTTGAATGTTCCCAGCACAAAGAAATAAGTGTTTGAGGTAATGAATTTACTAATTGTGCTGATTTGATTATTACACATTGTACACATTTATCAAAATGCCACACCGTACTCCATAAATATGTACAATTATTATGTGTCAATTAAAAATGGTAATAATAAAGAATTGTCAGTTCAGAAATAAATGCACCCATTTACAGTCAATTGCTCTCTCACAAAGGCACCAATAACACGCACGAATAAAAGACAGTCTCTTCAATAAGTGGTGTTAGGAAAACTGAATATCTACATGCAGAAGAATGAAATTGTATCCTTATGTCACATCATATATAAAAATCAACTCAAAATGGGTTAGTCTTAAATGTAAGACCTGAAACTCAAAACAACTAGAAGAAAACATGGAGCTATTTGATGTAGATTTGGAGAATGATTTTTTTGATAAAATAGCAAAAAGCACATGCAAAACAAGCAAAAATAGACTGCATCAAACTAAAAAGCTTCTACAAAGCTAAGAAAATCAATAAAATAAAGAGACAACCCATGGAATGTGAGAAAATATTTGCAAGTAAATATATGATAAGAGATTAATATTCAAAATATGCCAAGGACTCTAATAACTCAATAGCAAGCAAATATCATGATTAGCAAATAGGCAATGGACCTGAATAGACATTTCTCAAAAGAAGACATGCAAATGACCAACAGGTATATGGAGAAATGCTCAACATTGCTAATTATCAGGGAAATGCAAATTAAAACCACAAGGAGATATCACCTCATAACTGTTAGAATGGTTATTGTCACCATGTGAGTTGGTGGATATGTTAGCTTGATTGTGGTAATCATTTCACATTGTATATGTATAAGACACCACATTGTATACATTAGATATATACAATTATATGTCAATTATATTTCAATAAATCTGGGAAAAACAATCCTATTGATATTTTCATCAAAAACAATAAAGTAAATGTGCATAGGAGTACACAACAAAAAAGTACAAAGTTTATATTTTGAAAATTACTTTTGAAAACACTTGTACAAAATGTTGAGAACATCTCTGTTAATGGTAGTTACAAACTGGAAACAACCAATGTCGAACAGGAGAAAGGATAAACAAGTTGTTGTAGATTCATACAATAGAATGAATTAACTACTGATACTCTCAACATGGTTGAATCTCAGACATTATACCAAGTGAAGGAACCTGGAAAGAGAAGAGTATATATTATATAATTTCATTTACATGAAGTTCTAGACTAGGTGAACTAATTTATCATTATGGAAATCAGAATAGTGGTTTCCTGTGGCTATGCAGATTAACTGAAAGGGGCTAAAAGAAAATTTTCAGGCATGATAAAAAATATCCTATATCTTGATGTGGACAGTGGTTTCATGAGTGGTTGCATTTATCACAACTCAGGAAGTTGCACAAATAAGATCAGTGCATTTTTTCTTTGTAAGTTTCTAAAGTTTACATTTATAATGCTTTTTAAAAACTCAAGAACTGTAGTATGCCCTATGCCCTCCTGTGTCAAGTCATCTTGACTATTCAGGTAAATACAACATGGAGAAGTTGGATTACATTCAAGATGCAACAGCAAGATGCCTCAAAGTCCTTGTATATCTCTATCAGGATTTAGGAATGTTCATGACCAAAGATGAAATTTGATATCATTCGAGGTAGACCAAAAATTAGTAAATATGTCATTCATAATGTTACACTTTTTTCAA
This sequence comes from Homo sapiens, assembly GCF_000001405.40. NCBI lineage: Eukaryota > Metazoa > Chordata > Mammalia > Primates > Hominidae > Homo > Homo sapiens. The sequence continues at coordinate 187,241,644 of NC_000004.12, read as the reverse complement.
GCTCTTTTGCGAGCCTAGCTGCTGAAGGTATTATAAATTATCAAATATTTATCCACGAACATGAACTATTCCAAATAGTGTGGATTTTCTATGCTTTTCCGGTATGTCATAGAGAGATTAGATTTTTTTTTTTTTTTTTTTTTTTTTTTTGAGACAGAGTCTCCCTCTGTCGCCCAGGCTGGAGTGCAGTGGCACGATCTGGGCTCACTGCAAGCTCCATCTCCCAGGTTCACGCCATTCTCCTGCCTCAGCCTCCCAAGTAGCTGGGACTACAGGCGCCTACCACTACGCCCGGCTAATTTTTTGTATTTTTAGTAGAGACAGAGTTTTCGCCATGTTAGCCAGGATGGTCTTGATCTCCTGACCTCATGATCTGCCCGCCTTGGCCTCCCAAAGTGCTGGGATTACAGGCGTGAGCCACTGCGCCCAGCCAGATTTTTATTTCTTAATCCAAAAGTAGGGTAAATTATCCTGGAAAACTTAAATTGAGAATTCAGATAAGGTTGCTTTGTGATAAGTATCTCACAAGTCAGGTTTTTTTCACTGTCCTAGTTATAGAGGACCTCATGGAATTTGGTCCTATCATGACATTCAAGACATAAAATATACACGAATTTAAAAAATATATAGAACGTTTAGTTCCATGAAACAACACCTTGATCTTCACTTGAAGATTCTCTTTCATGTAGCTAAGGAAAGGAGTGACCAGCTTCTCTCTCCTTTTCTATCTTTTTCAATAGCTATTACTTCTGTTCTTCCAGGTTGGGGCATGAGCGAATGAGGGTGGAAAAGGGGATCAGGAAAATCCTCCTTGAGCAGGTACATTGGTAAACAGGTTTCATTCTCCGAGTCTGGAAGTTGTTTCATGGGAACGCTCTACTACATGGGTGTTACTAGGTTTTCCGCAACCTTCCTCCTGCCTTTCTGCACCCACCCTCCACTCATCAGAGGAATATCTATCTGACTTGTAATTCTTCTCTATTCTGTCCACTTACTTTTTCTGTACCTTTTCAGAATTCAGCAGTCAAGGTGCAGCACTTCTCTTTATGCTTAGCCACATAGGGCTGTGGATGTAAGGACAGGCAGGAGGAAAGGGGTTAAATTATCTACACTAGGATTCCTTTCCCCACCTTGATCTGGCCATTAGCCAACCTTGTTCTATCCATCTCTCTTTGGGTAAAATTGTAAAAAAGACATGCTGAGACAAGATATTGACGGACTGAGCTATATGAAGGAAGGGTAGGTTCACCCATCAGAAGAGCTCCTTCCATTCGGCATTTAAAAAAGGAAATAATGTGGTTTAAGCTTTAAGTTCATAAGTTAATTAAATACCCATTGTATTTTATAAAAACTCAGAGGTTTGTAAATCTATTAAAAAAACAAACCATAGAACAATTTTTCCTCTAACAATAAAAAGATAGATTCTATTTGGTGGGGCAGGGGGAGAGACTGACTTAGTAATAACGTGAAAGCCTAAATGTTTTGGTTTTATACATATTCAGCCATGGCTGTGTAGAGCTGACCTAATTTGATCACTGGTACAATTCAGTCTCAACCTCCATTCTATCTGTCACATGGAATTTTTAAGCAGAAATTGCCTAAGACCTTAAATTTGACTTTCAAGCAACAGTGTAGAAAATCCCACAACGGCTAAAAATGTTGGCACAGGGAATGGAAAAGTGAGCTTTATGAAAACAAAAGGACATACTTCCGAAAACAATTAGACATTCTTCAAAGAACTTCTCTCAAAATTAAAGCATGTGCTGGCTGGATAGAAACCCCACACCAACCATTTCTATTAGAAGGTTAAAATTACACCAATTCAATGCCAGAGCTTTTAGTGCAGTATTGATATTGAAGTGCAATTTTTAATTCAATGGAATAGAATTCTCCAGTATAGTTGAACCCAAAGCTATGGTTAATGTAAAAAATAAAAAGGACACTTGGTGATTTAAGTATTGTGACTAACAGCATATGTTTGTGCATTTCAAGTTTTGAGATATTCAGAAATAAATTGATGATAACTAATTTGTCCACTACAAACAAAAAAAAAAAAAAAGGAAAGGAAGGCAGGTACAAAGGGAGGAAGGAAGGGAAGGAGGAAGAAGGAATGGAGGGAAGAAAGGAGAAAGGAGACTGACAACAGGCAAGAAGATTAGAAGAAAGCTCTAATGTCTTTCTATAACTTGTATTTTGCTTTGTTATTTATAATAAAAAGCTTGAAAACATGCTCATTCAGAGACTTACCAGAAACGATTACATGAAAAGAAAAATCAATCAAATGTATCTTGCCTAGACCAGAAATCCAGTGAATTTCTAATTGTCTAACACCAAATTATCCATTCAGAAACAACTTCTAGGAGAAAAACAAAATTAGTCGGACTCTAAAGCCAGCAGGTCCAACTTCTGAGACTCATGAAGCTATAACAAAGCCCTCGCCAGGTGAGTGCATGGTAACCATGGCCAGCATCTAGCCCATCAAGGCTATGGGGAAGCGTGAAGAAGGGCTAGAAAACCACAGCTCTGCATGGGGACTTCTTATGCTTCTGGTGATGGTAGGTATTATTTGACTACCGCTGTGAAATTCAAATTGAAATTCGAATGCATATGTCCTTTCCTCTATCTTCACATTATCCACTTGTGTGTCTCTATGCTGTACACATAGTTAATCTGTTAGAGTTCATACTTGCCTACAGTCAGTCTGGTTATGAACAGTTTCACTAATTGCTCAATAATTATTATTAATATCTATTTCATAATACAACAGAAACTAAAATCCCTGTTGTTTTAGATGAAGAAATATGAGGCTTAGCTTGTACCATGAACTTGCCCAAGGCCATTTACACAGCTAGTAAGTGTCAACATTAGAAATTGAACATATGTCTTACTTAATTCAGGGCCCATGCTCAAAAACACCATTGCTCTTCATCTTTCCCCCATGGAGTTGGTCTCCTGTTCTCCATGCTTCCCTAGCACCCCCTGTCAGGAGAAAAGTGCTCTCATAAATCAATACTTACTATGATAGGTCCCTGAATATTTTGGTCAACTTCCACTGCCCATCTAATGAATTGTATTTTTAAAGAAGCTACCTAAATATCTAGAAGGGCAATGAGTAATTCTATCAAAAGGCTTTCTATCTGGATGAATGGAGGGTGTAGGGGCAGGTGAAATAATGAGAACTAAATTCCCTCTCTTATCACCTTATGGAAACAACTTCTAACTCCATCTAAGTGGAAGCAAAGGCCTTGTGGGTTCTTTCCTGCCTTTGGACTGTAAGTTGCACAAAAATATATACCCTTGGAAGAGTATGATGACAATGACAGACAACAAGACTGAATACAAAACCATTTCTGCATAATTGTCAAACAGTTATTTTTTATTTACAATTCCTATTAGGATGTAAAATACATCCTAACTCAGTTCTTTAAAAATTAATATAAAATAGCATATATGCCTTAGGCCTGGTAATCTCTTCTATTAATAAATTTCATTTCCAGGAATCAAGCCATCTTCCTTAGAATATCATCAAAAATCCAGTGGTTTTGCCCCAGCCAGTTCATTAGCTTATGTCCACACATGAACTGGCATCCTTAAAATTTTTATAAATTTTCTCTACAATATGTGTTTTAATCAAGTCTTTTTTTATGACCTAAAATAACCTAAGGGTTCAACTGTCTTTCTTTACATAACATTGGCTGCTCTTCTGGCAAAATCAGAAGTCCTTTTACCCTGTCTTTTTTTTGTGCAGCTTTTCCTTGATGACCAAGATCCCCAGGCTCCAGGAACATCAGTGAGACTTCTACCTGAAGTTGCCCTTTGTGATAATGCACACTCTGGAGTTCTCTGTTATTCAATTTCCCCCCTTGGTAGTTTCAGTAAAATATCATGGTGAAAACCCATCTCTACCAAAAATACAAAAAAAAAAAAAAAAAAATTAGCCGGGCGTGGTGGCGGGCGCCTGTAGTCCCTACTCGGGAGGCTGAGGCAGGAGAATCGGCTTGAATCCGGGAGGCAGAGGTTGCAGTGAGCCGAGATGGCACCACTACACTCCAGCCTGGGTGACAGAGCAAGACCCCGTCTCAAAAAAAAAAAAAAAAATCACCTGCCATTCTTCTGATATCCCCAAGGTTGCGACATTACGGATGCTATCTTAGGAGGCTCCATATTCTGAACCTCCCCTGTGGATTACCTCTCCTCTCTGGGAAACGCTGTGGGCCCTGGTGTGGCTCTGCATGTCACTCGCTGCTGACACTCACCCCAGTCGAAGGAGTTGGTGCTGACAGAGAAAGTGATTTGATTCAGGGTGGAACACAGTCACAGTAGTGATGCGTGGTGTGGATGACTACATATAACGCTTACTGAGCACCTATTGCATGCCAGTGTGCTGAGCTCTGTTCTCCCTCACAGTAACTGAATGGGAATGTATTATTACTCTTCGGTAAATTTCAGAAGCCAGGAAAGAAAGCACAGAGAACCTAAGTTATTTGCCCAACATTCCACACAGCAAGCTGGGAGTGGATATTTTAACCTAGGCAGCGTGGTTCAAGAGCCTGCTCTGCTAGCGATCTTACAAATTGCCCATGGCGTTGTGTGGGGAACATACTGAGATGGCAAAGCTGTGGGCAACCAGGCAAATGAGGATGGATGGGACATTTGGAGTGAACAGAGTTCCGGGCATCCCAGACCCTACAGTTGTTTGAAAAGAATAAAAATTAGCGTGAAGGGGTCATCAAGGATGAACACTTTCAAAATTATAAATTCATTTTACTCAGTCTTGGTACAGAAAAATACAGATGGCTGCATAGTTTATGCTGGTCTATGTACATAACCAGCAAAATAACTAAAGCCCTTGGCCTTTGGGAAGATTGCCATTGTGATTCCAGATGCTTAGATGTGCTATGTGGACTAAGCCAGGCAGAGGCCCTTAGGTGAATTAGTACCATTCTGTGAATCATGTCTCAAACATGTAGACTATGTCCTGTATTTTTACTTATTAAGCCATCATGAAAGATAAAGCTGCAGAGAATTCCCAAAGCACCCATAAACAATGGAAAAAGGCCCAACTGTTGTTTTGTTCACATTTCAGTTTTCCCACATACCCCTCTTCTTCTCAAACTGCAAAATTGCTATTCATCTCCATGTTGACTTCAACAGAATGGGGCAATCTGCAGAGATCATTGTCTTCTAGGAGCAAATAGTAATGAAGCTTGCTATTTAAATCTTTTTTTCCATGGATACACTTGAGTATTTAAATTGCACATTTAAAAGTAATGAGCACTTCGTGCTGTTTCCGTCTGCCTCTAACTGCTCTCTCTCATTATCTAAGAGAAAGCATTGAATTCCGAGCTCCTCAAATGAAATGGAAGAGAATTTTTACCGGTTTTTGTTTTTTATTCTCATAATTCCTCAGTTCTCCCAAGCCTTGCCCAACTCTTTTTTGTGGCTTCCATGCTTTTTTAAAATGACAAACAGCTCCTCAAGCTGCCTCAGCAATAATGCCTTCTGCCTGCTTTTAAAAGAGCTGTCACAATTAGTATACTCACTACATATGGGTTTCCCCTACATACTTCCTCCAAATCAATGATATTAACTTTTTGTGCTGTGAAATTCTTTACAAAACAGTCAAGCTACGATTAGTGTATTTCGCTTGTTGCTTAATGTGTGACTTGCTATTCTGCCAAGTCAATGATTTCCAGTCGGAGGTGTCATCATAAAAAAAAAAAAAGATGATTTAAAAATAAGCTTGCTGATGCTCAGTGACCCAGGCTTTGCAGGGCAGGCTGCACCTAACCATGAGTTCTCCTTTTTAACAAGGATGCACCCTTGGAAATCTCAATTTAGATACAATGCCTGTTTCTCAATTAGATGGTCCTTTTTCCTGCCTCCTTGGGCTGGAGTAATTGAAACACAAGGCTGTCACACGGCCTGTCCAGACTGTGCCCCGAGTCAACAAGTTTGTACTGAACAGTGTCCCTCTGGCTGGCAGTCTGCTTGCCATTCTGCTGTGCTCCCCGGGCCTCCCTAAGCTGGTTTTCCTCACTGCTGCCAGGAGCAACGGGTGGCAGCGCACGTCACAGACTTCCTCTGTGCAGAACGATGATCTCCGCGAGGACACAGATCTGCGCTCCCGAGGAAGTCCAGCCACCCCCTCGCCGCCCACCCCCACCTGTCCTAATGACTCTATATTAAACTATGATTTTTTTCTTAATTAGAAGGTATTTTTAAAAAGCAAATCAAGTGTAAATGCTAGAGTAACTCACTGTTTTTTAAACTAAACTGGTTTATAAAAATTAAAATAAGACATCAGAGAAAATAGGTTTTTTTTTAACAACAAGCAATTAAGGGAGCATGAAACCCTGTTGAAAGCCGTTTTTAAAGAGTTAAACCAAAACTGCATGAGTCTATATTCGACGTCTTAAATATAGATGAGATGGTACTTTTAGATACAGAGAGGAGAAACTCTCCCAGATCTCTTTTTACAACTTGCTCAAAAAGGGATTCATGTTGTAGCTTCGTTAATTTTTTCATCACGTTATTTCATATTGTTGTTTTAAAATATATGCCAACTATATATAACGGATAATATGTAAGAATGATAAAAAGGCTACTACCCATTTAGCCACCATTGTACATTATCAATAGCTTTGGTATTTTATTATGTTGAATTTATCAATACTTATATGAAAATATTAATATTCCTGAACAATATTTAGTTTTGCCTAATTTTAGCTTTTATAATAATAAATCTTACCAAATATAAATGTGTATTTGTGCGCATGTGATTTTCTTTTACTGCTCAGTATTATGTTTTTGAGATGCATACATGTTTAAATATGTGACTTTCATTTGTTTATTCTGGTTTTAGAAAACACCAAATTGTTTCCAAGTTTTGCTTTTGTGAAAATGCAGCTACAAACATTGTTGTATATATCTCTTGGTGCATATAGGCAAGAGTTTCTTTAGCTTATATGCCAAGGAGTGGAATTTCTGTGTTTATAGGTAACGTACGTGTTTACCATTACTAGGTAAAGCCCCAAAGACCGCTGATTAATGGGAGTCACAATCTTCTGAACATTTGTACTATCAGATTTAAATTTGTTTTCCCAGTCTGTTGGTGTCAAATGGCAGCTAACTGTGATTTTTACCTTCATCCTCATGATTTCTAGTGGGATTTAACAACATTTTTTTTCATAGATGTATTAGTAATTCATGATTGCACTTTTGTAAGCTACCTGTTCATATTTTTGCACAATTTTCCGTCGAGCTGTTTGTTTCTATATATATTCAAGTTTATATATTCTGGACCCTGACTTTTATCACTAGTATGTGTTGCTGGTCTTGTGTCATAGTTTGCTTGTTTTCTCACTCTCTTTTTGTGTGTTATGATGAACATGAAGTCCTAATTTTAATGTGATAAAATTTAACCATATTTCCTTTACGGCTAGTGCATTTTGTTCTTATTTGACAATCATGTTGCCACCACCAAGTCATAAATATATTATCATATGTGGTCTTTAACATTTGTTAGTGTTCCTTATTATTTAATTTTTTGATCAGTCTGGAATGGATTTTTAGCTAACTGCTCCAAAACCAATCCACCAATTTACAGTTTCATTTCTGTCATGCATCTATATTTTTACACACATGTGTCTTTGTTTCTAGATTCTTTATTCATTGCATTCAACTATTTGGCTTTTCTTGAATTAATATCCACTATATCACAACTACAGCTTTTTAATAAGCATTGTCTTTCATAGGGGACGTCTTCCTGACCTAATCTCCTTCTTCAGGTGTGACTGGACATTCATGCCCTTTGCTTTTCTATATCTATATTTTAATCTGCTTATTTAGTTTGATGACAACCTATTTTAGAATTCTTCTTGGAAATGTCAATAATCTCTGGATCAATTTTGGGAAAACTGACAAATGTATGATACTGAGTTCTCCCTGCCAATGAAATGGTATAACTTTCTATTTATTTAAGTCTTCTTTGATATTTTTCAGCTAATGTTTTATAATATTCCAAAATAGAAATTGCATACAAAATATACTATTTACAGTGGCAGCAAAAATATGTGATGTCGCTTTTACATTTATTCCTATGCCACATATTTTTGCTGCCATTGTAAATAGTTTATTTTGTATGGAATTTCTAAGCATTATACAGCAAACTTGTTAAACCACATTGTTAATCTCTGTGTTACTCTGTTTTCACGCAGCTGATAAAGACATACCCAAGACTGGGAAGGAAAAGAGGTTTAATTGGACTTACAGTACCACATGGCTGGGGAGGCCTCAGAATCATGGCAGGGGGTGAAAGGCACTCTTTACAGGCAGCAGCAAGAGAAAATGAGTGAAAGAGGAAACCCCGGATAAACCCATCAAATCTCACGAGACTTATTCACTATCACGAGAATAGCATGGGAAAGACCGGCCCCCATGATTCAAATACCTCCCTCTGGGTCCCTCTCACAACATGGGGAAATTCTGGGAGGTACAATTCAAGTTGAAATTTGGGTGGGGACACAGCCAAACCATATCAATCCCAGTGCTGTGTAGATTGTTTTGGGTTTTCTCATTGCTTTAAGGTAAAGAGAGTGTAGAAATGCTTTGGAAAAGGCTGGAGGAAGTGCGCAAGCACTTTAGAGCTGAGATGCACGTGATAAGCTGTTTAACACTGATAAAGAGAAGAATGAGAGCAGTGAAAAAGCCACTGGGGTACCTTCATGTGTGGAAGATGTCTGGGTGAATTCCTTCTAAATTGTCCATTTATCACTCAAGTTTGAGCCAAACTATCCAAGAGCTTTTACCATCAGTTTCTTAATTTCTGCTTTCTTCTGATTCAAAAATTAACATGTTGAATAATTTATTAATAACTTATTTTTTAGCTTTTAAAAGAGTAAATAAAATATCATAGAGCATTAAACTAAAACCAAAATATTATAAATTAGGCAAAACAACAGAGTTTTAAATGAATACGTAGTGTTTTGAAAGCATTCTTACATTTAAATTCAATTTTTTATGACAAATATTCATTGAGAACCTTGTATATGCAAGATACTGACCCAGTAGGAAAAGTGTTCGTTTGGTCACTAGTGTTCTTGCAAAGTAAAGAACACAGTGAGTTTAACTAATTTAAGCAATCAATCTTAGACACAGAAACAGCCCTCACCCCTACCTTTGCTTTGTAATAGGTTTTTCACCCTGATTTATTGTGTATAATTACCTAATCCATCTTGCATATGTAGACAAGCCTTTGTCAACCTGAGGTACTTAAATACCTTTGAAATGAAACTCCAACTAGCTAACCATTATGTCGTAATTTATTACCTTTGGTCATCATGTAACACTTTCTAGGGAAAAGTTATACGAAGAAAATACTTAAGAGAATTTTTTTCATTATTAAAAATTCTTTTTTAAACTTCTATTGAAAGCACTATAATATTTATCCAGACCTGACCCAAATAGTTGTAGAGATACAATTCCTGGCTCTACCCTTACGAAAAGCAAATCTTTACAACTATATGACTAACTCCTGAGCATGTACATCTTCAATAATTTTTATCTTCTCACTTGCCCTCTTCTTTCCTCCATGTGGAGGAAAAAATATCTTTCTGAGGAGGAAACACTTGAAGACTCATTTAAATGTTAGCTACTTTAAAAATTTAAATTTTAGATGTTCTTCCATTTAGTTCTTTATTTACTTCTTTGAGTTACTCAAGCTTTTCATATTTGCCACACCTGCTAGTAACATGGGAATATATTTTTATGTAACAAATGCATACGATACTAATGTATTTTGGGTAAAAGTACAGATCGCCCACTGTCGTCACCTATTCTCATTTCATTCTCAGGAATAAGAACAATGTGCTTTGTTACTTTTGAATGTTTTTCTATGCATTTACATACAGATATACATAAATGAATAAAAAGTTAGGCCATGTACAATGTTTTAGTATAAATGGGGTCATGTGATATAAAAATTTGTGCAAAATTATTTTCTCATAATAATATCATAAAAATATTTCCATGTTAATATATTCAGATCTTTTCATTCAACTGCCACACAGTAGTTCTTTATATGATTTGGGATATCATCTAACTATTTGATTATCAATGAAAATGTATAATATTTATACCAATCTATGTGTATATTTTGACTCTCCTGGAGTGAATACTCACACGTGACACCTTTTACATGAGTGAACAAGTATCATGAAGGTACTTGGAGATTCTATTTTCCCAAAGGAAAATTAAAATCCACCAAGACTTCCTCACCTACACGTTCTTGCATTAGCAGAACTGGGGACTCATGGTCCCCGAACTCACACACCTTCTCCCTCAACCTACAGCACACATCCTGAAGACTCCTTTAAATTCATTTATGTGTTTCTCAATATGTCTCCCATCAAATTTTCATGCCCAAGTATTCCATATTTTCCATATTCAATCACCTCTATCAGATCCTGCAAGATTCTTCTTCAGGTTAGCCACAATTTCTAGTAGCCCTGGGTTGCCTAATATATGATACAATTCAAGATACATGGTAGAAAAAAAATTGCTTAAATTTGACTGAACATAGTTCAGCTGAAACCTGCGATTCAACCCAACAATTTGCTCAAAATTAGTGTGTATAAGAATTGTGTCAAAAATGAATGTCAATAGGAACTGATTATTCAAGTATTCTTTTGTTGTATATTGTGCAACCTCACATTAACCTTTTTAATATTCATAAAGACTCATTTCTAAAATGCAAAATGTGCATATTATACATTATATAAATAATTGTGTCTTATTTATGAGGAGAAATGAGATCATGACACAATTTTGTAATCTGTCGTTATTTATTTAGACTATTTTGATGCATATCGTAGAAAGTTTGCATTTTTCCACCCATTAGAACTTTTTAGATAGTCTAATTTTTTTTTTTTTTTGGAGACAGAGTCTTGCTCTGTCGCCCAGGCTGCAGTGCAGTGGCATGACCTTAGCTCACTGCAACCTCTGCCTCCCAGGATCAAGCAATTCTCCTGCCTCCGCCTCCCGAGTAGCTAGGATTACAGGGGCATGCCACCACACCTAATTTTTGCATTTTTTTTAGTAGAGATGGGGTTTCGCCATGTTGGTCAGGCTAGTCTCGAACTCCTGACCTCAGGTTATCTGCCCACCTTGGCTTCCCAAAGTGCTGAGATTACAGGCCTGAGACACTGTGCCCGACCAGATTGTCTAATTTTTAATGCCAATTATCAGCCAATTATTCCCACATTACCTGTTTATTTCTCTATATTTTACCAGTATTTCTAATTCACTCTTATCTAATTATGCCTACTCTTTCACATTTTCAATAGGGAAACATTAGAATGACCTAAAACTCTAACAAAGGTGGATGAGTTTTTTAAAAAAGCTGTTTATTTTATGTCCTTGTACAAAGTTGGAAACACAGCCAAATAAATAGAATAGGCATGATTCTTTTAAAATTAATATTATTAAAGTACAAAAACCTCATTCTTCAAAATTTTATGTCTCTTAAATTAATAATCCAATTTATGATTTGTTTCTCTTTCTATTTTCCCGTATTAAAAGTCAAATGTATTTTTTAATAAAAAATAAAATTAGAAAAAATGAGAGCATAAAAAAAAATGGGATTTGCCAGGCATGGTGGCTTATGCTTGCAATCCTGACACTTTAGGAGGCCAAAGTGGGAGGCACCTAAAGCTAGGAGTATAAGATCTGCCTGGGAAAAAAAGTGAGACCCCATCTCTACAAAAATAAAAATAAAAATTAGCCAAGCTTAGTGTGTGCACCTGAGGCTGAGCTGGGAGGATCACTTCAGCCCACGAGTTTGAGGCTGCATTGAGCTATGATTGTGCCACTGCACTTCAGCCTTGGTCACAGAGTGAGACCCCATCTCTAGAATAAATAAATAAATAATGAAATTTTACTCATCCAAATCATCCATTAACCTTTTTATTATCCATACAAATCTATTTCTAAAATATGAAGTTAGTTTATTACTTATTATACAAATATATATGTTAGCCAAAATAGGATCATATTTTGTAACCTACCATAATTTATTTAGGCAATTTCCCAAATGTTTTATTCCAACATCCTCTTATGGTAAGCAGAGTAGTGTGGAAATCATTTTAATTTGAATTATTAATGTAAAAACAAAAAGCAAAATAATGAGGAATTATTGGTTAAACACAACTAAGTCTGAAACCATATTAGATATCAAAATGAAAAAAGTAGAAAAATACCCCAAAATTGGGGAAAAAATAGCTAATCATGTATGAAGTTCTACAAAGTGTCCCCATGGTGCACCAAAGATGACTAGGATTAAAAAAAAAACTAGTGTCTAGGTATTGTCATTGAGAACCCATCATATTTCTGCCAAAGTAATCTGCTGACCATCTTGCTTTTAACTAAATTGCTTTCAACAAGATTATGCTCTGTAAAGTTTCATTTGTCCAAATAGTTTTTCCTACCTTTTTTCCCTTAAAGATCACATTATATGCCACTATTAAGAGCTGAATTAGGAATCTAGAATCCATTTGAATTTGTCTTTAGTTCTTGTCTCTTTCTCCCTCTCTGTCTGGTCATCTTTATTCTTACATTTCATCATGGATCAATCCCTATCCCAGTTCTGTGACATTCTTTCTGTGAATGCAGATACCCTTTCAAAGATGGCCTCCTTCAGACCATAACTTCAGAAATAATCTAGAGTGATCGTTTTTTGGGTTATATAATATCTAACTTCAAGACTCAGTTTATCTCCTAGTTTCAGGATGTTACCTTCAGTTTTCAAACTAAAGTTCGTGTATCATCATTTTACCTCTTCTTGTCAGATGAATACTAAACATTTAAAGTGAACTTTTAAATAAAACTTCTGGCACTATATAACTAATGAACAAACAAACTAAGCTATTCCATTGCTCATGGCAAAATTTTTTAAGAGTACGGTCCACATCTACCAAGAAAACTCTCCTCTTTATGGCTTCCTCCTCTAATTCTCAAAACTATCTGCCCAATGTTATGTTCACACTAGCAATGTAACAGGAAAAACAAGTTATACAAACATTCACAGCTCTCCTCCCCTGAACCCTAGAGATTCTTGTTTGAAAAGTCATCTATAGGCCTCTCAGCTGCAGCCCTAAATCCAAGTAAGCAGGCTGCCTGTGAGGCTATGCTTGTCTAACAGCTGCACCAGGGCACAGGAATGGTGCAGCAAGCTAGGCTAGAGGGCTCGGGTGAGTAGCATGGGCTGGACATTGTGCATGAGTGTGTTTAGTGAGGGTGGAGACAGAGGTAGGAGCAAGTAGAATAAAGGAGCAGAATGACATCAACACACAAAAATATTTTTATTTATTTTGCGTATGTGTGGCTTTCACGAATGTGTAATTACAGAAAGAGGAAACTGTACCTAAACAGATGTATGGTAAATTTCCTGTGTGAGGAGCAGAGTGAAATGCCTAGGCTGGACTTGTTAAAAGCAATGGGAATACCTCAAAGCTTCTGCAGTCATAGTTGTATTCCTTTTCAATGTGACTTGCAAAGGCTGAGTCATGTGGAGACACAGCTTAGGTATATATAATCTCCCAGTCAAGAACTGAATAATTCGTGCTGACCACTTTCTCACAGGTAAAATTAGAATAAAAACCATCTTCCACCTGATGAGCGAATCCCAGGGAATGCTCCAATACCAAAGGGCAAGCCTGGCTTCCATGCCAAAATTACTGCTTCATCTACCTAACAGAAATTGGCACAGCAATCATCAGCAACCCAACTACATTCCATCTCAAATTTCTCTCAGCTTTACAATTAACTCATCTTTTATTTTGCATTAATCTCTTTCAGCCTAACCACATCACACCCAGCATCTCACTTGAGACAAATCTGTCGTCTGAGCATATTGAAGCCTTGCTGTGACTCGACTGGTTGAAGGACTTGCGAAATTGCACGGTTCTGAAGAGACAACCCGAGGAACGAGGATCCAGCAAGAAATCCCCCCAAACTTGATGGAATTCTTTCTCCACCACTGCTGCAAGAGGACCAGATCTCCCTCTGCCAACAGATGGGGCGGGGTAACACTGGAAATATGTTACAGGCCAGGTTCAGATGCCACAAGAGTAGCCTCAAGATTTTGCACATAACTTCGGAAGAAACCCCAGCATAATAGAAAGGTCTTCTCAAGAATTTTTCTGGATTTACTGTGCAACTTCCCTGGTCCCTTACTTTTCTTGCCACTTTTGTTATTACCCCTCACAAGTGTAGCCTCGTGTTTGCTTTTATTTGATTTGCAATTCTCTGTCTTATAAAGATTGTCCCGGTTCTTAATTTCGTGTTTCCCAAAAATCTACCTATTGCGTCCATTGTGGCATTCCTGGCACCTAGAACAATATTTGCCTCATAGGACATGCATCTATTTGACCTTGCCTTACGTACATCCTGTTCTCTTCTTCACTTTTGTCTCAGGTCCAACAGTTGAAACTATGCATTCCAAGTAGAATCTGGTTGGAATAAAAGGATCTGAACCAGCTTTAATCATCAAAGGAAAAATATGCTGTTTATAATATTGAAATAAAAATAGGGAAGATTTCAATTCTTTGGGATAATTACCCAGAAGTGGAATTGCTGGATCATATGGTAATTGTATTTTTAATTGAGAAACCTCCATACTGTTGTCCACAGCATTATACTATATTGCACTCCCATCGGTGGTGTGCAAAGATTCCAATTTCTCCATATCTGCATTAACACTTGTCTTTTTTTTAAATCACTGTTGTTTTGATTTGTAGTTCTTTGATGACTAGGGGCATTGGGCATTTTTTCATATACCTGATGGTCATTTGTATGTCTTCATTGGAAAAATGTCTTTTCAAGTCCTTAATCCAGTTTTTAATCAGGTCATTCATTTTTTTTTCTTTTTCTATTGCCTTGTAGGAGAGCCTTCTAAATATTGGAGATGACCCTTTATCAGATATATGTGTTTCAAATATTTTTTCCCATTCCATTGGTTGTCTTTTCACTCTGCCAATTGTTTCCTTTGCTATGCATAAGCTTTTTAGTTTGATATAGTACCATTTGTTTATTTTGTTTTTGTTACCAGAATTAAAATCAGGATCCAAAGAGATATTGACATTCTCATGTCTGTTGCAGCGCTATTAATAACCAAGATGTAGAAACAACTAAAGGTCCATCCACAAATGAATAGATAGAGAAAATGTGGTGCACACATACAATGGAATGCTAGTCAGCCTTTACAAAGGAGTAAATTCTGCAATATGTCACAACATGAATGAACTTTGAGGACGTTATGTTAAATGGAATAAGCCAGTCACAGAAAGATGAATACTGCAGGGTTCCAATTACATGAGGTATCTCGAACAGTCAAATTTATAGGATCAAACAGTGGAATGGTGGTTGTCAGGGCAGGGGAAAGGGAAAATAGAGTTACCAATCAGTTAAGCAAGATGAATAAGCTTCAGAGATCAGCTACACAACACTGTCTTTATAATCAACAATAATATGCTATACACTTAAAATTTGTTAACAGGGTAGAACTTATTTATGTTATGTGTTCTTACCACAAGAAAATAAAACTTTTTTTTTCTTTTGAGATGGAGTCTCACTCAGTCGCCCAGGCTGGAGTGCAGTGGTGCAATCTTGGCTCACTGCAACCTCTACCTCCCAGGTTCAAGCGATTCTCACGCCTCAGCCTCCCAAGTAGCTGGTACTACAGGCAGGTACCACCACACCTAGCTAATTTTTTGCATTTTTAGTAGAGGTGGGGTTTCACCGTGTTAGCCAGGATGGTCTCAATCTCCTGACCTTGTGATCCACCAACCTCGGCCTCCCAAAGTGCTGGGATTACAGGCGTAAGCCACTGTGCCCAGCCAAAACTTTTTAGAAAGTATGAAAAATCACACTTTTGTAAAGTGCGGGAAAATCTTTTGTTAAGAAAATATGGCTAAGGGGATAAATGATGTTTGCAATTGTGTACAATGCTCTAGGAGTTGAAGTTTGCGAAGAAACCAATTTTTTCAAATAAGCATTTAATTTATTCATTCAATAATTCTAATTATGTACCTGGCCGTGTTTTAAGTATTAGATGCAGGAATGAAATGACAGATTAAGTATCTTTATTGCATCATGTATTTAAAAGGTGGGAGACAGAAAATAAAGATGTAAACAAATACATATGGCCATTTCTCATGTTAGTAATTGCTATGATGTGATTAAAGCTCAGTAGTTGGATAGAGTGTTTCTAAAGGAGGAGTGGTCAGGAAAGGCTTCTATGAGGACCGAGTGAAGAGAAGCAGAGAGTCAAGTGCAAACCGAGGGGAGATTATTCCAGGTACAGAAATGAGTAAGTGCAAAGGCACAGTGAGCTCAGCAGGTCCTCGGGACAGGAACCGGGAAGAAGTGATGGGGGCAGACAGAGGCACAAAGCAGGCCAAGGTCTGGCAGATGGCACAGGGAATGTTTTTATTCTAACTTCACAAAGAAGTCGTTAGAAGGTAAAAACCTTTCTCCACTCTAAGTGGAGGGTGAAGCTCTAATCTGCTTTTAAAGATCAGGGAAGTTGCTGTTGAAAAGATTTAGTGGGCTCTATTAGTAACACAAAGTCTAGGCTTGATACTCTGAGATTCCGAAACAGATATCCAGTTGTGTAAGAGTTATGATGAATAAGAGAGAAACTTATTTATGTTACATTTTAAAAATTCACACCAAAATAAAAGACAACTTAGAAAACACGGATAGTAGACTTAACAGGAACTCCAATTAATGAATATTTAAATAGCCAATGAATATATTAAAATATGCTGCTAATATAAATATGCTGACTAATGTCATTGGTCAACAAGGGAATGCCCATTAAAAATCACAGTCAATTCCACTTCGTCCCTACCAGAACTGCTAAAAGCAAACTAATCCACAGCAGTAAAAATCCTCTTTAAGTATGTGGAGCAACTAGAACTGTCACAGACTGCTGGTGGGGCTGAAGCCGCTCGAGAAGTCTGCTTGGTACTATCTGCCAAAGGGGTGCTGGGCTGGCTGACCAGCTTGCGAGATGCACCACTGGTTGCTTGAAATTGGCAAAGGTGAAAAGATTTGCACCTCAGAAATTGGCAAGTGCTGTAAATCAGAGTGCTTTTTCTTCTTTTTTCTCAGACTCTGGTTGTTAAACACCATCAGCATCCAGCATCCTCATACTCCTAGCTGGGTCATCTATGATCCAGGCATTTCTATCTTTGGTAAAGTATGGAATATTCATAAAATGGAATATCATACAGCAATGAGAATAAAGTAATAACAGGCAGCATCATGGCTGGGTCTCAGAAACGTAATGCTGGGGCACAATAAGCCAGAAATGAAGGGCTTATAATTGTGTGAAGTTCAAAGTTAGCCTAAACAAACCTGTAGTTTAGGCTAACCACAGAAGTGTGGTATTATAAATCGGAATAGGTGAAATGCTCCCTGGGGAGATGGTAGTGACTGGTAGGAGGGATGAGTTCTGACAGTGCTGTCTTCCTGGATATGTGTGCTGGTTGCATAGGTGTGCTCAATTCGTAAAAATTTACAAAACTGTGCTCTTAGGCTTTGGACAGTTTTTCTATGTATGTATGTTACACTTTAATAAAACAGTAAATATTCGCCAATCAATAGATAGTAAATTTTATTCATTCAGAAGAGAGTAATTTAAAGAAATTCAAGTAACGCATGTCTAGAAAATGGTCACCTGTATATTTTTACAGGTAGAGGAACTAATTTTCTTTAAAATCTCTTGGAGAGATATTTAACAATTTCATATGATTGATGTGGAAAAAATAATTTATATTTCATCCTTAAATATTGGTTATTTTTAAATGTTCTTTAACTTGGGTAATAAAACTTACATTATATTTGATTGTACTTAGATGAGCCTAGAAAAGGAAAACTCCTAGAGCTCTAGTTTTCGCATTTAGTGTGTATAAGAATCAACTGGAGAATTTGTTATAAATTCATACATCTGCAGCTCCACCACGGAAACAAATCCAATAGGTTGGTCATAACCTCGGAATCAACTCTGAAATCATCACCTCACATGACCTAAAGCAAGCGAATGCATGGAGAATAGCTGTGAAAAACTGATCTAGGTGCTAAAAACCTACCCCCGGGGCTAAGACAGATAGATGATGAGATAGATAAATAGATAGATCAATAGATCAATAGATAGATCTGGTGGATAATTTCCAGTGGATAATGGTCCCAGTTAAGACAGTATAGAGTCACTGTACAGATTTAGTTCATACTTAGAATCTTAAATATTTAGATAATAATGAAAAATGATCAATTCTCAGACTTTAAAAATGGTGCGTTTAAATGTCTACACAATTGAAATTATCCCATCATAAAAAGAATTATTAAAATAATATATTGCCATGTAAATTTGGAAAGATATGTTATGATGGAAGCAAAAATAAAACAATTACCAGAATATTAGTAGATACAAATGGAGATGTGTACATTGTTAGGGATATACATTTTGGGTTAAATAACTCATTTTCAGCTGGCAAAATACTCCCTTAAAAATGGTAAATTACAGCTAGAGACACAAGGAGTTTTTGCAACTTTGGTGGGGCGATCTGTTCCCTCAGTTTACTTTTGCTATATGACTGCTTTCTTAAGGCACCATGGAGCTGTAGGCAATTCTGTTTAAATAAAGCCTGGGTTGGTAGGGGAACAAGTGCAATACTAAGAACACACATCATCAAAGGAAAAATAGCCAATGAATATTTATATATATTAAAATTAAAATAATTTCTATAAATGATAGTGAGGACACACATAAATGACAAGATATATAACAATATAACTGATAAAAGCTTGATCTCACACACGTGCATACAAGTATACAAAGTTACAGGCCTTCTCCTGCTGAGCAAATGATCATTATAAATTAAAAGCTCACCTATAAGGAAATAGAAATCATAAGCCATATGCTGAAAAAAAATGTACAGAAACAAAAATAAAAACAATTTTGTTTTTATTACATTTTGCAATTAAAACTTCAAAAATAAATTTCAGTAACGCACAATGCTGCCTAAGCCTACAGCACTATGAACTGGCTCATTTCAACTTCAGAGCAACCTGGTCAAGTGCAACATCGTTGGTCAGAATCAGACTACATGGATAATATTATAATAATATAATATTTATAATAAAATCCTATATATAATTGTCAATTCTGTTAGTAGATGGAAGCATAAATATTACCATGAATTGCAAAAGTCAAAATAAAAATGTATGTTTCAACACATTAAAAGTATAAAATACACAAACATGAATACTAGCAAAAATTAAAATAGAAATTTATAGGATGCAAATACCTTTTCTTTTCATGTGCACAAGTATTTTGTTTTTCTACAAAGTTTCATAAGTATCTAATGCAATAGATAATTAAAATTCCCTGACACACTCTTTATCAATAGAAGAGACTTAACGTTATGCGGGGAAGGGTTATCTTTACTTGCTGGTGTTGAGGAGCCCAGAATCAGCTCCCCATCACCTTCGTGTATCCATTTCCCTGTGGATGGCAATTGCTCAGAGTAATATTGACCTCTTGTCTTCCTGAGATCCCAATCTAAAATCTAGGGGAATAAGATCATAAGACACATTTCAGCATTTCCTTAATGAAGGATTTTTCATTAATCATGACAATTGTTATTAAAACAACTAATGACACTGAACATGGAAAACTGTCCACTATGGCCCAGATTTGGGGTAACACCCGGCTAACTTCTCTGGATGCTGTCCCCTTGCCTCGGCCATACCTAACTCACCTCCCCACTTAGCTGTTGGTTATTCTTAAGTTCTAAAGGATGGGATGCAGGCTATACTCTAACAAATAAAACTATTTGTTCCTGGTTGGGCTTCTGCCCTCAAATCCTATCTGGTCACCAAATGTTGGTTGAACTGGTTGACTGTGAAAGCCTCAAGCATTCTACTTGTCCTTTCTGTTAAGGCCTAAACCAGAACTGAAGAGACCAGGCCCTTGCATCACAGTACCTGATCCCAATCTGACTTTTCTAAATTCTCTGCTAAGAAAAGGGGCCTCAAAAGCAAACGAAAGGGGAAAAGAATGAATCATTTCAGACATACTTTTTGAATAATTTCATCGCCGAAGACCCGGCACCTCCTGGAGGCGGGGCTAAAATGGAGCACTGTGCAGTAAACTTGCAAGCTATGTTGTCAGCAGGTCAGGATTCTCCCTGCAGCTGGATTCGTTGGCAAAATATAGTCAACATTTGTCAGTCTGAAAATTATTTTCCAATAATTGTATAATAATATCTAGTGAGTAGTCTAGCAGCATCTCTAAGTTTTTTTTCCTAAGTATTTTATCTTCACCGTTTTTTTTTTTCTTTTTTGAGACAGAGTCTCACTCTGTCACCCAGGCTGCAGTTCCGTGGCGTCATCTCGGCTCACTGCAACTTCCGCCTCCCGGGTTCAAGCAATTCTCCTGCCTCAGCCTCCCGAGTAGCTGGGATTACAGACGCCCACCACCATGCCCGGCTACTTTTTTGTATTTTTAGTAGAGATGGGTTTCACCATGTTGGCCAGGCTGGTCTTGAACTCCTGACCTCAAGTGATCCGCCTGCCTTGGCCTCCCAAACTGCTGGGATACCAGGCGTGAGCCACCACACCTGGCCCATCCTTTTCTTGAACACAACAATTTTAAAGAGACTCTCACAGTGTCTTAACATACTTCAATTTATTAAGACATTTCTATTCTTAAATAGGAGAGGAAGGTAAAAATCAATTTGTGGAATATCTGATTGGGGACTGCATTAAGAGGAAAACTTTAAAATTCTTGTGCAAATAACATTTGCATAAAATTTTTAAAAATATTGTCACTTTTTTCAGACCATTATATTGTTCAGCTGCATAGTTTTTGTTACAACATAAAAATTAGTCAAAGCGGAGAGAAAGCTTAGAACTTGGAATGTAAGTTATGACTTTGTACTGAGAGTTTCTAAGAGAAATTAATTATGTCTCTCTTAATAGAGGGATAATAAGTCTACAGAAGATAGAGAGAAAGGGCTGTAAAATTTTTGATACTTGAGTAAGGTACCTTAATTCCCAAATGAGGAGCCAGTGACAAGTGCCATAAAATCATGGATAACCCAGTAATGATTTGGTGTGAGCTGGCTTTACTCAAGAAGGAGCAAATCAACATGAATAATAATTGAAGATTAGGGGAAATGTATTTAATCACACTTAACATAAAAAAAAATTTTGATCTAAATTATATATTATTCATTTAAATGTGCATTATTTAAATGTACTGGATAGTGATTCTAGTAGACACTAAATATAGTTCTTTCAAGTTTTTTTGTGTCTTAAAAGAGCAGAAAAAGGACATTGGTTTAAATCTCTCAGTTAATCATGCTTTTAGGAGGTCTGGATGTTAATATGAGAATAGCCCAGCTATATCCTTACACTTGGTAGAAAAATATGGAAATTTGAACTATAATTCCCAAAAGATTTAAAAAAGTCCTTGAGATGTAGCCAGCAAAGTACACAAAGATATTTTTTAATGGTCACTAATTTTGTAATTCAATAAAGCACACATTATATCCTCATAACATAAAAGTACTTTACTGATGACATAAGCCATCTTTTTCAAGAAGTTATCTAAGATTCTTAATATCCCTTCTTTACAATATATATTTCATCTTCAGATTTTTTTTCTAAACAAAGTGCAGTGTATCTTAGAGTCTACAGAAAACACACTGGTATACAGTTTTCAAATCTGCACAAGAAACTGCAGGCAAACTAAAGTTCTAAGCTAATGAAATGCCTAGATACAGTCATTTGTTAAACTTTCAAAACAAAAATGCAAAAACAAATCGTAGCTATGCTTCAAAGCAATTAAATTACAAATGTTGTCCTGTTAATTTGTAGGAGTTTTTTGGGAATGTGGAGGTAGTTGGGTAGAAAAATTATTATTAGAACATTTGCTTTTGTTAACAGTATTTCTCTTTTATTCTGTTATATAGTGGATGATATACACAGTGGCAAAACAAAAGTAAATTGCTTAAAATATGTAATGAAAAATGTCACTATATCTTCCCATTTAACATTGTTTTTGTATATTGGGTGTAGATTTCTGACATCAAAACTTGGATCCTTAGAAAACAAAAGTTTTAATTAAAAAAATCCTTATGACTTACAATTTGCACAATAGTTCTTTTGTTGTACTTTATATCTTATTTACAATAAAGAATTTCCTTTGGTTAAAAAAAAAAAAGATATTTTTTAAATGTCAGTGTAAATACATCCAAACTGTCTTTATAGATTTCCAGCAAGATCCGTTTACAGTTTAAATAATAGTGTCCTTTCCAAAAATCTGTTATAACTTCTGAAGTTTGTAAATACATTTCAAAGTTGTACTGAACTGCTCACAAAGGACTAATTAATTACCGAGAACATGGTCTTTACGGCCAAGCTACTCCGCGTTCATCTCGCGGCAGCCACTTGCCACTTGGTAACTCTAGACAACTACGGGAAGCCCACAAATACTAGCCGTTGTGACGATCATCCTTTATCTTGAAAGCGGAGCTTCAGTCAGTCATATTTCACACTGTATGTCAGGGTGGATGGAGAAAGCTGACTGCATTCTTGAGCTTTTCCATCTCCGTTGTTTTCTTTACTGCGGCCAGAGATAAGTCGGAAATATGTTCCCTATGATTTTGAATTTACATTTTTAAGACTCTGTTTATTGGCCGGGCGCGGTGGCTCATGCCTGTAAACCCAGCACTTTGGGAGGCCGAGGTGGGCGGATCACTTGAGATCAGGAGTTCCAGACCAGCCTGGCCAACATGGTGAAATCCTGCCTTTACTAAAAATACAAAAATCTTAGCTGGGCATCCTGGTGCGCGCCTGTAGTCCCAGCTACTTGGGAGGCTGAGGCTCAAGAATCGCTTGAACCTGGGAGGCGGAGGTTGCAGTGAGCCGAGGTCGCGCCACTGCACTCCAGCCTGGGTGACAGAGTGAGACTGCGTCTCAGACAAACAAGACTGTTTATTATTGCCAAAGAGGAATTGGTCTCATTGTTTGCTCCCACGCGTGGCCATTCCCTACGTCTCCCAGCAGCTCTCACCTGTCATGTGCTCTACGTTTAGTTCAACACATGCTGATTCCATGAGCTGCATCTGGAGTTCCAGTGTTAGAATAGGGGCCTTTTTTTTTTTCAGAGAGCAGATAACCAGCAATAACTTAATTTGCCTAATGATGTTCCATGTTCTTAAAGAAGAATCTATTTTCCCTCAGCCTATCACATGTGTCCAACACTAAAAGTGAGCTAATTTTAGAGGACAGAATCTCCTACTTAGGTAATCAGTACATCTATTCTCACGTCTTATTTCTGTTTCTATATTTTTCTTAAGTATTTTCATGTCAACTGCTAACTGTTTGATTTATAAAATTGCAATTTCTGCCAAGAAAATACCAAAGTCATTCCTTATGAACTTTTAGAGGTTGGGTCTGTTTGTAGGTGAATTACGAAAATATTATTTTCAGGTTCATATTGAAATTTAGGTTCTGTGGAATCTTAGTAATAAAAATTATTTACCCTCATAACCTGCACAGAGAACTAAGTACCTATTTTTTTTAAAAAAATTTAGATCTACTTTATTTGACAAAAATTATGCATTTATTAGTTTCATCAGTAATGGTAATTGAGTATATTTGGAATATTTTATTCTATCTGTAGACCCAGACATTTTTAATCTAATTTCATTCATTCTAGTTAATAACAATCAAGTCTTAAGCATATTTCTTAAATTCTCTCCCTTTATGTTCTTAGTCTGTGTATTGAATAAAATAATGTGAAATGTCATAGAACTGTTATGATGATTCACTGAAAAGCTTTGCTCGTTCAATGCTAGTTCCCTCAAATCGAACATTTTAAAACTATTTTCTATAATTAAAATCTTTTTGAACTAATTATAGATTCACATGCAATTGCATGAAATGATACACAAGTTTTGTTATACCTTTAACCAATTTTCCTCAATAGTAACATTTTGCAAAACAATAGTACACTATTATAGCTAGGATGTGAAATTCATACAACCCACAGATCTTGTTCAAATTTCCGATTTTGTTTGCACTTCTTTGTGTATGTATTCACATTTTTATTTTAAAATAATTTTAAACTTACAAAATTTAAAATAATAGTACAAGAAGTTCTTTCTTTTTAAAATCATTTTAAATTAAGTTGCAACCTTATGCCCCATCACCTCCCAAATATGTTAGTATAAATTTCTAATAAATGAGGACATCGTTCTACATAACCATAATATAACCACCAAAATCAGGAAGTCAAATGGGTATATTACTACCATCTAATCCATATAGTTGATTCAAGCTTCACCATTTTTCCAATAGAAAGAATCCAGTTATATTAATATTCAGTTGTTGATATGGTTTGGCTGTGTCCCCATCCAAATCTCATCTCAAATTGTAATCCCTTTGTGTCAGGACCTGGCGGGAGATGTTTGGATCATGGGGCAGTTTCCCTCATGCTGTTCTCGTGATAGGAGGGAGTTCTCATGAGATCTGAAGCTTTAAAAGTGTGGCAGATCCTCCCTCACTCTCTCTTTCCTGCTGTCATGTGATGAAGGCATCTGCTTCCCCTTCCCCCTCCGCCATGATTGTAAGTCTCTTGAGGCCTCCCCAGCCATGCAGAACTGTGAGTCAATTCAACCTCTTTTCTTTATAAATCACCCAGTCTCAGGGAGTTTTTTATAGCCATGTACAATCGGACTAATACAGTTGTCATGTCTGTTTAGTTACCCTCAGGCTGGATTCATGCCTTCTCCCTCTTTACCTGACTGGTGTGTAAACTTGAAACTTTTGAAAATTAGAGGCTAGGTATTTTGTACTGTGTCCTCCTATTTAGGTTTATGTGATTTTTCTTCATGTCCAGATGCAAGTTGAGCATTTTGAGCAGAAATATCAGAGCAGTGATTCCATGTTTTCCTCATTGTGTCCCCTCAGGTTGCAAACAAATGCACTTTGTCCCATTACTGGTGATATTAAACATGAGCACTGGATTAAGGTCATATCTTCCAGGTTCCCTCATAGTAAATCTATTCTCTTCTACCTTTGGAATTGGAAGTATTTTGTGCAGAGGTACCTTGAGACTATCCAAGTAGTTTGTACCTCATCTAACTTTCACCCACATGTTTTACATGCCTTGATGTTTTTGCTGAATTGCTTAAATCAGAGATAAAAGGAAAATATTTTACCTCTCTCATTCATTCATTCATATCTGCATAGACTCATGGATTCCCATCTTATTCAACTGGTTATAATCTGTCACTGTCATTACTTATTTGACAATCAAATGATCCCAGATTTGACAATGTCTTCTCAACATAGTTTTATAATTTCGGGACCATTTTCTTATCTTCCCATACAAAAAGGTGTTTCTGGCCCATCTGTACCTTCCGTTCCCCAGCTCAGGATTCAGCGAGCTCTCCAAGGAGCCATGAGTCCTCTCAGTGGAGAATGGCATTTACAGACCACGGAAAAGATGTGCCGACTGCTCTTGAGGTGTCACTTCTCTCTGACTCTCAGAGGACAGAACTAGGAAACAGATGAATTATATTGCATGTAATTATAGTATCTGTTTATCTCTCTATTGAAATCCACACGATATTTCCATTTCCAGTCCAACATTAACGGGTTCATCCCAGTTTTCTCCTTTTCCATATTGGTGATTCTCGGCACCAGAGTACCAATAAAGGTACTCAACGCCTGTCAAAGCCATCATCTCCCTCAGCACCCTCCGTGGGCATCACCCCGTCACACCCTTTGTGGATGCCGTCTTTCCTCTCCCAATCACCAACAGCCCACGCTGCACCCCTGCCACCCTTACCCTGCCAGGCATCGTTCCCACGGTCCACAGCGGCTGGCAGTGTGACTCCACCATGCACCTAACTCAGACTCTGCCTCCCGCTGCGCAGATGACACCCTCGCCTGAGGGCTGCTCAGCTAAAATAATAATAAGAAAGGGATGGAGGCCGGGCGCGGTGGCTCACGCCTGCAATCTCAGCGCTGTAGGAGGCCGAGGTGGGTGGATCACAAGGTCAGGAGTTCGAGACCAGCCTGGCCAAAATGGTGAAACCCTATGTCTACTAAAAATACAAAAATTAGCCGGGCACGGTGGCAGGTGCCTGTAATCCCAGCTACTCTGAGGCTGAGGCAGGAGAATCGCTCAAACTTGGGAGGCGGAGGTTGCAGTGAGCCAATATGGTGCCACTGCACTCTAGCCTGGGCGACAGAGCAAGACTCCATCTCAGAAAAAAAAAAAAAAAAGAAAGAAAGAAAGAGATGGAGAGGAGGAGAAGGAGGAAGGGGGAGAGAAAGGAAATGAAGGAAATAAGGAAGAAAGAAAGGATTTTGTTTTAAACCAAGGAATATATTTATCTCCATAGAGATACGGTATGATTCTTCTCTTTCTAAGGGAATGTGCTTGTGTCAGGGAAAAAATGTAGGAAATGAAAAAGTTAATTCAGAATATTTAAAATAGGCCAAGAATCATCCCCTGAAAGAGTACAGAGCTATGCGAATTTGATTTTAATTCTCCGTAGCTGACGGCTTTGTGTTTTCTGTATTCTCACATGTGGTGGTACCCAGCACCCCCACAGCCTGTCTCCCATGTGGTGGCACCTGAACCCCCACAGCCTCTCTCACATGTGATGACACTGTCACCCCCACAGCCTCTCTCACATGTGATGACACCTGAACCCCCACAGCCTCTCACACATGTGATGACACTGTCACCCCCACAGCCTCTCTCACATGTGATGACACTGTCACCCCCACAGCCTCTCTCACATGTGATGACACTGTCACCCCCACAGCCTGTCTCCCATGTGGTGGCACCTGAACCCCCACAGCCTCTCTCACATGTGATGACACTGTCACCCCCACAGCCTCTCTCACATGTGATGACACTGTCACCCCCACAGCCTCTCTCACATGTGATGACACCTGAACCCCCACAGCCTCTCACACATGTGATGACACTGTCACCCCCACAGCCTCTCTCACATGTGATGACACTGTCACCCCCACAGCCTCTCTCACATGTGATGACACTGTCACCCCCACAGCCTCTCTCACATGTGATGACACTGTCACCCCCACAGCCTCTCTCACATGTGATGACACTGTCACCCCCACAGCCTCTCACATATGATGACACTGTCACCCCCACAGCCTCTCTCACATGTGATGACACTGTCACCCCCACAGCCTCTCTCACATGTGATGACACCTGCACCCCCACAGCCTCTCTCACATGTGATGACACTGTCACCCCTACAGCCTCACCCAGCTTGCATCCAGCTGTCAGGCAAAGCTTTGAAATGCACTTGCATATCGTAAATATGTGAAAGCCAGGTCCCTTTTAGATAAATCAATACCTGGAAACTAGGTGCGTGGTATTTTTATTTACTATTGATCTTTTTCTAAACAAATGCTTCCCCAGGGACCCAGATGATTCAAACTTGCTTTATTTCTTATCAAGCTTAAAGCCTCAATTGTGAATTCAGTTCTTGACCTATTTATCCCCTACCTACTTGCTCCCTGTCCCCACCACACTATCTTGCTCTAGACGGAGTGCACTACTAGTTCTTGTTTTATTAGAAACAAAAATATTGGCGGGGTGCTGTGGCTCACACCTATTATCCTAGTACTTTGGGAGGCTGAGGTGGGTGGATCATTTGAGGTCAGGAGTTTAAAACCAGCCTAGTCAACATGGTGAAACCCCGTCTCTACTCAAAATACAAAAAAATTAGCTGGACATGGTGGTGGGCACCTGCAATCCCAGCCACTTGGGAGGCTGAGGCAGGAGAATTGCTAGAACCTGGGAGGCAGAGGTTGCAGTGAGCCGAGATTGTGCCACTGCACTCCAGCCTGGGTGACAGGTGAGATTCAGTCTAAAAAAAAAAAAAAAAAATTGAAAGCAATGACTTTTCATTTGCCCAGTAAAAAATGTGCTTGATGGTAGACTGATGGCTGAAGTATGGAAAACTGAATCAAAGCTAGGATTCTTTGTGTTCTTTCTCCTAACGTGAGGAAGTGGACAGGCTCTCAGAGGCAAACACAAGTAGGCCAGTTTGTCTGACAATGGATTAGAGGTGCAAAAAGGCAGGAGAGCTTATACACAGAGACCAAGAGGAGACTGCAGAGAAGTGGGATTAGGGGCCTGAATCTACACTCCTGGCAGGTTTTCCTGGTCATTCTAGTGATGAGACACTCAGAAATTCAGTCAGACTTTCTTTAGATTTCCTTCCCTTTCAATTTGTTCGTGGCGAGGTGTTTGATGGAATGTCTGGAGTAGCAGCATGGGAAAGTGTCATAAAAATGGAGGAAATGAAACGAAGCGGGCCCAGTAGGAGCCTAGCACGAATGCACAAGTTCCTGTTCATTGCTGTTCTTTCCAGATGTGCGGAATTTTCTAGAAATGGAAGAAAAAACAAAGAACAGTTAGTGGTGTCTAAAAATATATAACTTAATTCAGTGACTGTTATGCTAGAGAGGTGTTTTTCAGAGGTACTCCCTGGAAAGAAAATTCATAGAAAAAATCATATTTTGGCTTGCCTGGCAACGTTATTTTCCACCGTGGGGACCGTGGCTGTTTGCTCTGGCTATCATCCGCCCTGCTTGACAGAGTATTAGCCCTCTGAACACATACTAAGAACAAGCTCCAAGAGCTGCACAGTGTCCCTGCTTCAGCTATGAGTTGGCTGACGGTTGCTGCATATTAAAAAAAATAAGATATATTGCTGTGAGGTGTAGCGGAATATTTTCCGTATGAATAGAGCCTAAAGGGAAATGTGGAAAAGAATCACTAATGTTTTAAAAAAGTGTTTTCTTTGTATTTAAGTTGTTTGAAATCTTCCCTTTCTCACACTCTGCGCTGTGGACTGAGGTTTACCAGCTGCTGTTGAGGGGTTTACCCTTGTGGAGGAAAGTCGCTTTCTCCATAACTCTGTATTTGAATGCCTCTCAGGATGAGTGATTCAACTTGGCTTGCTGTTTTTCCTCTTTCTAACCCCACTCACACTCTGTTTTCCTTATCTGAAAAGGGTAAAACTTATAACTTAGTCCTTGAAACAGTGATATTCATGAAGTTACATATGGCCCCAACAAACTTGCCCGCTTTCTACTTCTCACGTTGTTTTGAGTCTCTCACTTCCCAGCCGAGTGTCTGAAATAAAAGACCACATAGTTAGATCTAAGGAAAAAGGGAGCAGAATCCTGCAGCAGCAAGGTAGCTTTGCCGTTTCTCCCCATTTAGAATGTTCTGCTCATTCACCCGGCCACCTAATATCTATCTACTGAGATGTACTAGCCATAAGGTAGGGTATTTGACATCTTAGGGATATAAAAGTCTAAAAAAGACACAATGTCTGTCCTCAAAAAATTAGACTCTAGTATGTAAGAAAAGGTATTTTTAGAGTAAAGAATAACCTAAGAGATATAAGAGTGCTAAACAGAATAGATCAAAAGACATGTGGATAGCAGGAATCAGATAATTATTATAGTCATTGTATTTTATGAATCAGGGAATTATTTTATGGGGAAAGTCCTATTTGATTTGGGACAGGAAAACTGGCTGAATTTCTGTGGGTAGAGAGAGCATGGGAAGAAAGGAACTCAAACCAGGAGGAATGGTGTCAACATTATCACTGAAAAGAACTGACAAGTATTCTGCTTTGCTTGTGACACTTGATTTTACACGCAGGGAACTTGGGGACTGCAAAATCATCGCATCTTTGTCATGTTTCCCATAATGTTCACGCACGATTGTGCATACTTCATTTCTCATACTGTTCATTCCAGTCCTGCCCCTGACTCCTTGACAATGTCCTATGGAACCAAGGAAAGCTTCCCTTTGTCCTTCTCCAATGTAGTCTGCTTACGTTGAAGTTTAAGTCTAAACTATTGCCTCCTGAGGACTGAGAATTGTGCAGAAGTGATGAGGGTGTATGCAGCTGTGGCCCCCAAGTAAATTTTCAAACACATAGCTTCAGCACTGAAAGGAGAACTGGGGACCTGGGTGCTCGGACTGCCATATATCTACATACACATTTTTTTTAGACAGAGTCTTGTTCTGTTTCCCATGCTGGAGGGCAGTAGCACGATCACAGCTCATTGCAGCCTTGAACTCTTGGGCTCAAGAGATTCTCTCACCTCAGACTCCTGAGTAGCTGGGACTATAGGTGCACACCATCACGCCCACCCAATTTTGTAATTTTTTGTAGAGATAGGGTCTCATTAAGTTGACCAGGCTGGTCTCAAACTCCTGGCCTCAAGCGATCCTCCCACTTTGGCCTCCCAAAGTGCTGGGATTACAGACACGAGCCACTTCTCTGGGCCCTTCTGAATGCTCTTAAAGTTTTTCCACAATTACCCAACCCCTGCTTAGATACCACCAGTCACATAGAACTCAGTATTCTTACAAACAGCCTGTTCATCCTTCTGAAAACTCTCACTATCAGGCATTTATTGTTTCACATATGGAATGAAAATGTCATCACCTCCTGCACTCCACTCTTCTCTCCAGGAGGACTGTTTTCAAGAGCAGTCAGGCAACGAGAAAATCCTCTTCCGCTACAGAGATCAACGATTCTTGTATTCACTGATTACAGGTGCTATGAACTAAATGAGTGTGTCCTCCCAAAAGTCATATATTGACATGCTAACTCTCAATGTGATGGTATTTGGAAGTGGGGCATTTGGGAGGGGATTTGGGTTAGATGAAGTTATGAAGGTGAGGTCTTCGTGATGGGATCAGTGTGTGCCCTTATAAAAAGTGGAGGAGACCCAGAATCTGGGGTGCTCATGATGGGATCAGTGTGCGCCCTTATAAAAAGTGGAGGAGACCCAGGATCTGGGGTGCTCGTGATGGGATCAGTGTGTGCCCTTATAAAAAGCAGAGGAGACCCAGGATCTCTTTCTTTCTCCATGCGCCACTCAAAAAGACCAGGTAAGGACATAACCAGGAAGAGGGCCCTCACCAAGCGCCCAACAGCCTGGCAGCCTGACCTCAGCATCCCAACTCCCAGAACTGTGAGA
Organism: Homo sapiens; assembly: GCF_000001405.40. NCBI lineage: Eukaryota > Metazoa > Chordata > Mammalia > Primates > Hominidae > Homo > Homo sapiens. Next base: position 187,210,504 of record NC_000004.12, on the reverse strand, counting down.
AGGTCATGCCTGTGGTTCAGAGCCGCAGTCGACAACGTTTTGTTACAGCAGCCCAGGCTGACCAAGACCACAGGCTCCTTGCATGGCGAGAGCCACATCCACAGAACTCCTCCTCCTCTCCAGCCTGTGATCTGGAATGCTGAGTGCATCATTTTGTGTTTTTACCACTACATAACAAAAACCTCCAAAATGCTTTCTAAAAATAAAAATCTTGCAATTAGGAATGAATCATGAGGAGATAAAAGAATTCATTCAACTCTCTTGGCAAAAAAACGACGCCTTTATAAACCTCTTTTTATTGTGACTTGTTCTCTGAAGGAACAAAATAGCTTGAGTTTATGGAGCCCTTGTTCCAGAATGTTTACAGCTTGGGTTTAGAAGATGGCGAGAGCGGAGGGGGCCAGAGTGACCACAGTGACTGCACTCTCAGGAATTGTTTACCACAGCCTGGGCTGCCAAAGCCTATTTTGTGAAGGGAGATAATATTAGTCAGGATGCTGGAGAAACCACTGATTGTAAAAAGCACTGTTGACTCTCTTATTAAACAAAAGAGCAAACCTACGCCCAGGGACCAGGAAGCAAAATGGCTCCAAATTTTGCTTTGGCTACAGGAGCATGTCTCCATCTCTAAAGAAAATAAAGAGAATTGCTCTGTATTTCTCAATGTCTTGGAGAGAAATGCTTGTCTGTTGCCAAATGTTTAGTGGAGCCCAGTCGACCTACAGAACATCCAAAATCCTTTGAGTGCTTTTAAGTCAGACTCCAGGTGACTACAGAAACTCCTTTACTACTACAAACAAGTTACTAGGTGCCAAATTCAATGGCCTCTTCTCAGACCTATTCTCCTTATTTGTACGGGGTTGGCCACACCCTCTTTGAAGCTCTTTCCTCCTTTTGGATGTAAATATATCAAGAAGAGCTAACCTAGCTGCAATTCAGAGCTTGAGTGTTAGTGAAGCTAGTTGGCCAATGACATTTCTAGAAATTTTTACAAAAACTGATAGGAAGACATTTTGCTGTTTGATTAAAGAAAAAGGATAGTCCGGGTGCGGTTGCTCACACCTGTAATCCCAGGGCTTTTGGAGGCTGAGGCGGGTGGATCACGAGGTCAGGAGATTGAGACCATCCTGGCTACCACGATGAAACCCCGTCTCTACTAAAAATACAAAAAATTAGCTGGGCATGGTGATGGGCGCCTGTAATTTCAGCTACTCGGGAGGCTGAGGCAGGAGAATTGCTTGAACCCAGGAGGTGGAGGTTGCAGTTAGCTGAGATTGCGCCACTGCACTCTAGCCTCGGTGACAGAGTGAGACCCTTTCTAAAAAAAACAGGAAGAGAGAGAGAGAGAAAAGGAAGGAAGGGAGGGAGGGAGGGGAAAAAGAAAAGAAAAGAGGATAAAGTTGTATCTTTGTTTGCTGTTTGTTTAATTGGAGAAATGGATGTGGTGTGTCTTTTACCTGGGCTTGTTTAGAGTTCCTGTAGAAACAGGGGTCTGAAATCCAGCTCTGGATCACAACCCTGTACAGGGTAGAGAGTGAGGCATTCTCCAACTTCATGTACAAAGTCTCACACACTTGTCTGAAACCTTAAGATCCAGTAGCCTTGGGTCCATCCTTTGGATGGACTTTGGCATCTCATAGTTGGTACCTGGAAGTTGCATAGTGCTGAGTCACCCTTTAGGCAGCTTCATGAGCAAAAGACAGCAAGGAGGAGCAGCCCTATCAGGAAAAGAAGAAGATAGATTCGGTGTAGGGATTCTTCACAAAGGGAAACGCCCCCTTATAAGGACTCTCAGAAGTACTTAAGTGGATTTTTCAGGGAGCCAGGAGTCCTGCAAAACCAGCTGAAAGCACTTACAAAAACTGTGGTTAATGGCTGGGTGCGATTGCTCAGGCCTGTAATCCCAGCACTTTGGGAGGCCAAGGCAGGTGGATCACCTGAGGTCAGGAGTTCAAGACCAGCCTGGCCAATACTAGTAAAAACACAAAAATTAGCCAGGTGTGATGGTGCGTTCCTGTGATCCCCACTTCTCAGGAGATGAGAAAGGAGACTCTCTTGAACCCGGGAGGAGGAGGTTGCAGTGAGCCGAGCTTGCACCAATGCACTCCAGCCTGGGTGACAGAGTGAGACCCTGTCTCAAAAAAAAAAAAAAAAAAAGTGGTTAATGATGTTACGTGATGTTACTTAATGTCAGAGGCCATGGAGGCCTGAAGACACACAAATTACATAGGACTTTTTGTTTCTATTCATTTATTTACAGATGAATATCAATAAAAATAAATAATTCAATAAAAATAATTTATGAGCTCATATTATGGGTCAGACACTATTGTAGGAGCTGGGATCCACCAGGGAAAAGACTGCCAAGACAGTCAAGAGTGCCCTATTGGCTTCCACCAACTGGCGGAGACGAATGATAAACAAGTTAATAAATAAACGTAATGTAACTTCAGGGGGTGATCAGGGCTATAAAGAAAAAGGATGCCTGGCTTGATGGCTCATATCTGTGATCTCAGCACTATGGGAGGCTGAAGGCAGGCAAATCCTTTGAGCCCAGGAGTTCAAAACCACCCTGGGCAACATAATGAGACCCTGTCTCTACAAAAGTACAAAAAATGTAGCTGGACATGATGGCTTGCACTTGTAGTCCCAGCTCCTTGGGAGGCTGAAATGGCAGGATGACTTGAGCTCAGAAGCTCGAGGTTGCAGTGAGCTGAAATTGCACCACTGTACTCCAACCTAGATGACAGAGCAAGACCCTGTGGAAAAAAAGGAAAGGGGAAAGAAGAAAGGAAAAGAAAAAGGGGAAAGAGGAAAGGAAAGGAGAAAGAAAGAGAAAGCAAAGGAAGGGAAAGGAAATAGAGAATGGTTATAGGGAAGTGAATGTGATTTTGTATATTATTGGGTTATTTTGTGTGTTTTTTAAACATCTACATAAATATCAGTTAGTTTTACATTTTTACTGAATATTAGACTCTGACATATTTATATTTTAGTATTTCTAGGTATTGTTTATTTCTTCTAATGAATGACAGCCATCTTATAGATAAACCATAATTTGCACAGCCATTTCCACTTTCTATGGCTATCTTCTATGAAGATAGCCTCCAGCTACTGCCGAATTGAACGTCTTCACACATCTCTGAGCAAAGTCGTTCTGGGGTTTACTCCCAGAAATGAAATTATTGGGTATAAGGCATATGCATAATGTTTTCACCAATATGCCAAATTTGCTCTCAAAATGGTGGTCTCAGATACACTCTTACTGGTAGGATATGAAGGTTACTGTCTATGTATTCCTGCTAACATGTGATATTAACTGATTTATACCTTGGTCAATTTGATGGGTATATATTGATGTTTTATATTAGTTTTAATTTCCATTTATCAGATTACCACTTATGTTGAACAATTTTTTAAACATGTATTCACATTTTTAGTTGAATCTTATGTGAGTTGATTATAACTACTATCCATTTTTAATTGATTTCCTATCTTTTTCTTGAAAGTCAGAAAAATCTAAAGCAAAATATCTAAGCCTATAACCTTTGTGTTTACTTTGACTATTTGTTCTCTTAGCAGACAATTCACCAGGGGTCTGTCATATTTCTGCACTTTTTGCAAGCAAAGACATTGACAGTTTTTGTGCTGTACCATCTTTTCAAGGATGTGTGTATAGTAAACAGCCTTGGATGACAGAGACACTGCCTTCATCTGGATTAGAGGGCATATTTAATGTCCAGTCTAATAAAGATAATATCTCCTTCTGTGACAAAAGTTGGGCAAGTTTATTTGAAGCCTTTTTAAAAATATTGGGGTTTCCTGAACTTGAGGTTTTCTTGCTGTTATGTCAACCCACTGTTAGTGGAGCATCTATCTAGGACCATCTTCATTGCTCCAGTGGACCTTGGGGGCTATGAGAAACCAGCTGAACATGAAGCTCATGCTGCCTGCTGGGCCATGAGTAATAGAATTCTTTGTCTCTGACCCAAGAGTCTCGTATCTTCTCATAGCATCCATAAAACTATGGTACTTTAACTTGTCAGTGTGCAAGTAGAATAAAATCTCAGACTCCTCACTGTTCCTGGCAGTTTCTCTTATTTAAAACAAATTCATAATTTTGATGTAATAAAATATTTGTTAGGAGTATTTCATAAATATGTACCATTTCCCACACACTGCATCACAAGGATCTGTTCCTATATTTTCTCTCATAGTGTTATATATTTGCTTTTAACATTTAGATCTATAGACTATCTGGAGTTTATTTTTTTAATATGATGTGAGGTAGGAATCAAAGTCTTTTTTTCCACATAATGAGCCAATTTTTTAACAGTATTTAATAAATATATTCTTTACCATTGATTTTTTTTAAGTGAGTTCTCACTATATTGCCCAGGCTGGTCTCTAACATCTGTGCTCAAGTTATCCTCCTATCTCAGTCTCTTGTACCACTGATTTCTTGATGCCAGGTCGACCATATTTCAAATCTTTATATATAAAAGGGTATAGTGAACATGTTTTTATTTCTGATTTGTCTATTCATCTGTTTCTATGCTATTACCATGCCCTTTTAATTAATATACTTTTGTAATATGTCTTAATACAATAGATTGGGGCTTCTTTTTCAAAGTCATCTTAGCTAAGTGTTGACAATTGTTCCTCACTGTATTTTTTTAGATTCAGTTTTTCAATTTTTCCAGTAAAATCTAGCTAGAGTTTTTATCAGAAATATTGAATTGAGTTGGAGGGAACTGACATATAATGATGTTTCTTTCCACTTGTTTTGGTTTTCTTTAAAGTTTTTAAATTGAGTTTTAAAAACATATTTATGAAGCAAAAGCTAAAATGCATAAAAATGCATTTTATCTGTTAAGCTAAATCTAAGGTATTTAATTAAATGGTATTAGTATACTATTATATTTAATTTACTGTTTTTAATGTAAATGATGGAATGGATTTTTATGTTGATTTATTTCTTGGAAACCTGAGGAATTTGTAATGCCATGAATAATTTTTTGGGTAGATCTTCTTGAATTTTCTATTAAATGATCAGAGCATCTTCTAACAATGATGTTTTATCTCTTCACTCCTATCTGCATTGGCTAGAACCTTCAGTATCACGTTACCCCTTTCAAGTATTCATTCAAGGATTACTTTCTGACCAATTTATTTAAAATTGTAACTTTTCCCAGTACCCACTATTCCTATTTTTGTTTTATTTTTTCTTCATAGCACATATTACCTACCAATATAACTTATATAATTATTTTACTAATTACCTATTTCTTCTACTAGAATGTAAGCTCTATGAGGGTAGAATTTTTTGGTCTATTTTCTTCACAGCTGCATTCCCAGTACCTAAGAGAGTGTCTGGCACATAGTAGATTGTGGCAGACTGCCACGGTTACTACTTGAGCCTGTCACTATGACAGTTACTACTGTTACTACTTGAGACCATCATCACAGAACTGAACAAAGGAGGACGAACGCAGAAATGAAAACTTAAGACAAAAGAAACTGTTTTAAAGAAGAGGCCAGGGGAAGAAGAGGAGGGCTCCCTGCTTCTAGTGAGCAAAGGCAGCCACCGCTGCTTCTCCTGCCCTTCATATTTTTTGGGTAGAAAGAGCAAGAAGGAGCTAACGATTGATCAGCTGCTTGATTGATCATGGTTCATATTATTGCTAACAGGCTTCAGATGTGCCTATTCACAAGAAACACTTGTGCCTGGGTCTGACTGCCCTTAGCATTCCTTCTGGGTGGCCAGTGCAGTTTGTCAGTTTGCCAACATCCTGCTTTCATGAGAACAGTTCCCTGTTTGCTCATATAGCCTCCGGTGGTATACTGAGTTGATCAAGACCCTCATTCTTTCGGCCTCCAACAGTAGACGACCAGCAAATATTTGCTGAATGAACAAATATTGGACAGGAAAATGAAAGGGGGTATTCTTTTCTTATTCCTGAGATTAAAGGGAATGCCTCTAAAACATGAATACTTTTAGTAAACATAGCTTTTATGATGTTAAAGGTTTTTTTTCTGGTCCAAGTGTTCTACCATGCCTATAATAAATAAAAGTTTAACTTTATCAAATGATTCTTCTCCATATATTGCAAAAGAGGCAGCATAAAAGACTGGTTGAAAACCTGGACGCTGGAGCTAGATTGCATGTACTAAATCTTAGCTTTTCTGCATATTAGCTGAATGACCTTAATTGACCTAATTACATAATCTCCCAGTGCTTCAGTTTTCTCATCTTTAAAATGTGGGTAATATTACCTACCACATATGGCTATTATGAAGATTAAAGGAGTTAATATTTGTAAAGCCTTACACCAATGACTGCTGCAGTGAAAATGTTTTAATAGTGTGGTTAAATATCTACTCAAATAATCATGGAATTTTTCTCCTAAACTCATTAATATGGTGATTTACTTTGTAGAGTTTTCTTTAAACTATGGAAATTTCTACATTTAAGGGATATATCAGGCTTGATCCTATTAAACTCATTTCTTTGCTACTATGTTGGATTCAACTATGTACAATTGTATTTTAGAAATTTGCAACTTGTTTAGAAATAAAATTTACTTACCATTTTCTTTTTTTTTTCCGTGATGCTTAACTTTAAAAATATCACAGTAGTCTCATAAAAGGAGTTAGGCAGTTTTTAGTCCTTTTATGTGTTCTGAAACAACTTATGTAAGACACAGATTGTGTGTTTCCTGAAATTTTGGAAACGCTAACTTGTAGAACATTCTGTACCTAGAGCTTCACTCGTTGAGACAGAAGTAATGAGAGAATGGTTGACGACAAAGATCTCAATGTAGAATCCATTATTTTGTTATAATCCATTCTTTTGCTAATGGTATCTAATTTTAATTCACTGCAGTGAGAAAACATCGTATACATAATGTTTATCCTTTATATTTTATGAACGCTCTCTTCTGGCCTCATACATACTGAATTTTAGGGATATTAACATATGTTCTATTATTCCATATGTATTTGTGTTGGTTGGTGCGTAAATTCTCTGTCTCTCTCTGTCTCTGTCTTTTTGTATGTATATATTACATATGTATAATTACATATAATATATATACACACACGTTACAATTCTAAGTAGAGATTCTTTGTAATAAATTATTCACCAACTACCTGAAGTGTTCGACCCTTGAAAATAAGGGGTTTGCAACTCAGCTCTTCAGATTTCTATTCCTAAGGTCTCTAGAAATGTATATGTAAGATACACATATAACATATATAAAGTTATACATACATAATATTAATAAAGAAAAAATAAAGCTAACTCTTGCACTATTCTCTGTAAATTAGTACCAACAAACAAGTGTTTGTAAACTGTTCTTCATTCCAAATATGTATTCCTTATTCCCTTCCCATTTCCACAGGGAGTCAGCCATGTAATGATCATACAAGTGTTCTAGCTGAACAGTGATGCTCATCATTAACCAGCAAGAACAGGGTCCATATCAGCCAAATAGATTCTTCACTGGTGCTCTTGCTTTGATCTAAGACAATTCAAGATAAATAGGTAATTCAGAATGCTCTTCAAGTTTTAATTCCAGGATAATTTATTAACTGCTTCTTCATGCCTGTAACTGCACACACTATATACTTGTCACTTTAACATAAATTTTATAAAGTCCATAAACTTATTTAATAATATATATATACACACACACACACACATATATATATATATATATGCTTAGAGAGCGGGGAGAGGGGGTCTCACTGTGTTGTCCAGGCTGGAGTGCTGTAGTGCAGTCAGAGCTCACTGTTTCCTTTAAGTCTTTAACTCCTAGGCTCAAGTGATTTTCCTGCCTCAGACTCCTGAGTAGCAGAGACTACAGGCATGCATCACCATGCCCAGCTTTTTAAATTTTTTTGTAGAGACAGGGTAATCCTATGTTGTCCAGGCTGCTCTCAAACTCCTAGCTTCAAGCAATTCTGCTACCAAGCCTCCCAAAGCCCTGGGATTACAGGCATGAGCCACTGTGACCAGAGTAAATGTTAACTTCAAAAACATTATCAATGGCTAAGAAATTAAAATAGTGAATGTCAGTGATTTCTAGAAAATGTTCATCTGTATTCCATTTGGTTTAGAATTATTTGAAGATTTAGAAAAAAGTGACATTCCACAATTTTAGATCATTCCTAAACATATAAAATGTCCTCAAAAATTTAAGTAGGACAGGAAAAAAATTTCAAATAGAATACTACTAATGTTTAAAACTTAAGTATGATGCAGTTCATATTAATAAATTTGATATAATTGTTCTGTATATCCAGAAATGATAAAAACAGAAAGCCAGTTTGCTTTTCATAACCTTGAACTTCAACTTACAGATTCCTGTTTTTGTTTTTGATGATGGGAGATTGTAGCAGTCATATCCCCTCATGACCCCAATTGTTACCATCTCCTGGTGGTCACACATTCATGTAATCCCTCTCACTGAGTGTGGGCAAGACCTGTGACTTGCTTCTAACCGATAGATGATGACAAAGGTGATGGAAGCCACTTCTTTGATTATGTTCTGGAAGACTGTAGCTTAGCAACAGGACTAACATTCACTGTTGTGGGCCTGGGAAAGTAAAGGCCAGTGTTGGAGAAGCCTGAGTGGGTAGGAACTGCCGGTGATGTCTAGGGCCTGAGGGCAGCCTCCAGCAGACTCCAGTGAAAAGCCGAAAGTCTTCAGGCATACTACCTGAAGACAATGAATCCTGCCAAGTCCCTGAAGGAACTTGAGAGCAGATTCTTCTCCAGTTAATCCTCCAGATGATGGTGAAACCTGAGAAACCCCTTGAAACTCTGAGCAGGTGACCCAGACCAGCCGCACCCAGATTCTGACCCCTGGAAATGGTAAGATACTAAATATGTGTTTTAAGTTGCTAAGTTTGTGTTCATTTTTTTATGCAGCAATAGAAAACTAATACATAGATACATGTGATCAGTGGAGCAGACTATCATTTTGGGGATCTAAATTTTAAAATTTCTCTGACTTAGAGAATACTAAACATGAAAGATATCCTTACAATCCAGTGGGATGAATATGATGATCGGAAATACAGCAATTCTCCAACTGCTGAACCAAAACAAAAGTGAATTGCTTGACTTGAATGGACCTCAAAATTGGAAGGCTAAGAAGGCTGTTCGCATAGAGATAAAAAAGGTCCTTGATCAGTGGCTCTTGATAAAGCCACTGAATAGAGGTTCACAGTAAATAATGGGGTAAGGGATGGGAGAGGCTTTCCTAAGATTTTCTCAATAAAACGTACGTTATAAAATAAGTTTATTTTACTTTTAATAATAATAAGGTTATAATTGTGATTCATCCTAAGGAAAAAAATTAATAAGATGTTAGGGGTTGAATTGGGCATATATTTTTTTCTGATAGTATACAGGTATAGAATTTCTTACTTTATGTTTGATATTTTAAATAACATTTGTAAATTTTTGTAAAGAATGTCAAGGTTTCAACAATTTTCCATGATCTTTCTGAATTCTTTGGTGGTGGAGCCATTCTATTTAACTTAGCTATTATTCATCAGTGCTGTTTTTTTTCTCTTTTCTTCAGTTATTAGCTGGTCTAGACTGATAAACTTCCATTTGTCACTGAGTTTGTTTTGAAATGTGCAGTTCTTTAATATTACTTTTATTGATTTCATGAAATATTGCATCCTTTATAGTAGTCACCTTTTTACCCTGCAAAAGTTTTGCATTATTTTTCCATTATATTGTTGCATAGCTGCCAGTTTGCAAAACCACACCCTGTCTCATTGCAAAGACAGTTTGTAATCTATAACCATAAATGTGAAAACTTTAAGAGCTGGGATTTTTGTCTGTTTTGCTTGTAGCAATCTCTTACAAGTCCTTAATGCAAAAACTTCAATTTCTATTTTGAAATCTGCTATACTTCCTATTTCTATTCCCAATAAGTCCACAATTTCCTTTTCTATTGATCTCTATCAAGATCATTCCCAACCCTCTGGAAAAATATACATACTGGTGTTAAGTTCATGAACTGAAGTTTCTTGTAGGGGTGTAAGGGAAGGATTATTTTGAACCTTCTTGGAGTTTCAACCCACCTTATAGAATAGCCTTGATGAACCAAAAAAGAGGAGGAAAATTCCATACTTTATTGTCAAGTGTCAACTAATAAAACCAATAAATGTATGAATCTATTTATTGATTCCCTATTTTTATAGTTCAGATTTATCAGATCTACAACTTATAAACAAGATCAATCAATAAACATATACGTTGTGTATAATATCATTTCTTTTTCCTCAGCAATCTTGTTACTGAAACACCAGGGGTTCAGTCTAGGTCCTGCTGCTCATTGCACAGAAAGCCAATCACTGAAACAACAAGTATTGCCAAGGAAGAAGGCTTTAACCAGGTGCTGCAGCCCAGGAGACAGGAGCTCAGTCTCAAATCCATCTCCCTGATGGGCTAAAATTAGGAGATTTATATAGCAGGGAGAAAAATGTAGCAATGTGTGAGAAAACAGAAACGCAGGAGGGGTAAGGAAGTAATCATGGTGGATGAGGGGTCCGGCATCTCTTTGTCTGGATGTCATGATCTGGTGAGTTTCAGTTCTTTGACACTTTTTTTTTGAGAGCCCTGGGGATCCTTTCCTGAGGAAGAAACTCAGATAAAACATGTAAGTTTCAAACTTTAAGACCAGGAGGGTTAATTTCTATGTTCATCTAAAAAGCAACTGTTGGTAGGACTATTAGATCAGTTTCAATCTTCTTCTTTTTTCCATTTCCACGTTCACTATTTTTTAGTATCTGGCACAGTGCTTGGCACAAAATAGCTTCTTAATAAATTGTTGTTGAATAGACTGATCAAAATAATTTTTATCTCTTAAAGTACTGAATCAATTGTATGTGCTAGTAGCATTGAACTTCTTCACATCACCTTGAACAAAAATGCAAATTTAAGTGTTAAAAAAAAAGTCACAGAAGAGAAGCACTGCAGGGAAGTGTTGCACTCCGCACCGTGTGTTGAAGAAGGTCAAACGGCATAACTCTATACAGCCAATTCGCATTTAGCATGCACATGGAATCAAAGATTCTTCTTTAAATATCGACATAAATACACAGAATTTTCTGATGATTAAATATGAGCAATAACAAGGGAAACTTGATTACCACTTAAAACATTTGACTCTGAGTCTGGGAACAGTCCAAGGCTTCCGACTAGATGAACTTACCATGAGTGTAGTTCATTAGGTTCCTTGATTAGAACACAGCGAGGCCCAAATCAGAATCTGAATTCCTGTGGAGACCACGTTATCGGCACTTGATACCATGGCCAACTCCTAACTCTAAAGAGCAATTCTGAGTCGTTGGTCTTAAGATGATCTGAGTGAGAAGAGGATGCAGTTTTAAATTAAACCTGTCATTACCACTGGGGAGACAATCGCAGCTGTAAAGACTTTCACTCTGCGCTCTGAGGACTTCTTTTCTGCAATTACAGCTAATCCAAAAACAAAACAAAACATTAAACAATCTTTTAAGTAAAGTGCTGGGATGGAATTTTTCTTGAGTACAGTTCAACTGAAAATGTATTCACCAGAGCAAAGTTATGACTTTATGAAAAGCTAATGCTAACTCATTAGATTTACTGGTAGCATTGGTAGAAATAGTTTAAGGTTCGGTTGTCACCTGCAAAATAAAAATGGCAGCTATATTCTTTACTATAAGACAAAAAAAAAAAAAAAAGAATTATGGAATTAGATCCCAAACCCAATTTTAAGAGAAATTTTCAATCTAGGAAAAGTGAGAGTATAATGAGTCTTGTTCTCTTTCACCTCCGTGGAACAGAAAAACAACACAGTGTTTCCTTTGTTTTTCTTATTGCTGTTGTTTGTTTTCTTTTGTTTTTAGCTCAACTGCAAATGGATTTTTCTCATCAAGTAATACAAAAATATTAAATTCTGGTTGTTTTAGTCAGAAAGAAGAATATTTCTTATTGTGATGGTAAGCTTAATATATTACAAATTTAGTATCCCTAAGCCAAGAAAAAAGAAATAGTCTAAGCAATTACTTGTCATTGTCAGACTATTACAATTCTATCTTTTCCTGGAATAATAACAGAGACATTAAAGATTATTAAACTTTCTGACAAATATAAGATAACACAGATCAACTTAATTCAGGAAATTTCAATCATAAAATATCACAAACAGAAATGAAAAAGTGTAATAAAATTGTTAACAAAGTTTAAAGTAAAAGTTTTAAAATAAAAATAATCAATAAAATATTCATTTGTATTTAAAGCTTTTTATTTATTTCACTGACATTTATATTTGGAAAATGATATTTTACTATAAAAATAAAATGTCTGATTATTTACTGAATTATTTTCTACATGAATGATTTGTTATAAGTGAACATAGGCTAAAATTTCAATCATGGCTTTGATATTTTTGATATTTTTGAAGCACACGAATTATCCTGGGTGCCTCTGATGTTTCCTCATGATTTGTTTTTATTCATGGCCTTCTACAGGCTTTGATATTTTTGAAGCACACAAATTATTCTGTAGAAGGCCTTTCCTCATGATTAGTTTTTATTCATGATTAGATTCAGTTCATGCGTTTTTGGCAGGGACACTAACAGAAGTGATATTGTATCCTTCTCAGCACCTGATATCAGGGGACAACACACAATGGAAATACTTTAAAGAAAAAAATTAACCATTATTCTGCAACCTTGATAAATAAATTAGTTTGTCTTTTTCAATGAACATATGTTTTCTTGTCTAATCACAGCATGATATAATTTTTTATTCTTTTCCAATATTAAAGCATTTTTAATGTTTTTGTGTAAGTTCATAATTTCCTTGTAATAGTTGCATAATATTCAGCTAAGTTGATGTATCATAATTTATTTAAGCAGTTGTTTATTATTGAACATTCAGGTTGTTTCAGATGTTTCATTATACTTGTTATTAAGTGAATAAAAACTATATGTCTTGCATACTTTTAATGAAACTATTATCAACCGGACAAAAAATTGTGGCAAAATATTTTGTGAATGTACATTAAGCTCTTCTCTATTCTCAAGTCTCCAGCAACTGTCCTCCTATTCTCAACCAAGTGACCTCCTAATGGAAGCTTTGCAGCAAACAGGGTCTGGCAGGAAACATGGGTGGAATCAACATGCATTCATTTCCAATCCTAGAAAATAATTTTAAATGTAGGCCTATTGATAGTGACACAGCCCTGTCATTGTTGTTGATGGACTATAGCATGCTTTTGTACATAAATCAGTTTGGAGAAAAGTGTAGTTTAAAGGGCTTACATGTGCTGAAAAACTTTTTAAAAAGAAAGAGAGAGAGAGGAAAGAAAGAAAGAGAGAGAGGGAGGGAGGGAGGGAAGGAAGGAAGGAAGGAAGGGAGAAAGAAAGGGAAAGAGAGAGAGAGAAAGAAGGAAGGGAGGGAGGGAGAGATTGAGCTAGGAACACACCTGTAACCCCAGAGTTTTGGGAGGCCAAGGTAGGAAGATCACTTGATGAGTTACAGACCAGCCTGGGCAACATAGTGAGATCCCATGTCTACAGAATTTTTTTTTTTTTTGAGATGGAGTCTCACTGTGTCACCCAGGCTGGAGTGCAGTGGCGCGATCTCAGCTCACTGCTACCTCCACCTCCCTTGTTAAAGCAATTCCTCTGCCTCAGCCTCCTGAGTAGCTGGGATTACAGGCGCACGCCACCATGCTTGGCTAATTTTTTTGTATTTTAAGTAGAGGCGGGGTTTCATCATCTTGGCCAGACTGGTCTTGAACTCCTGACCTCAGGCAATCTGCACGCCTCAGCCTCCCAAAGTGCTGGGATTACAGGCATGAGCCACTGCGCCCGGCCCACTAAAAAAACGTTCAATTAACTGGGCATGTTGGCACATGACTGCGGTCCTAGCTACTCAGGAGGATGAGGCGGGAAGATTGTTTGAGCCCAAGAGGTCGAGGCTGCAATGAGCTGTGATCACGTTATTGCACTCAGCCTGAGTGACAAAACGACACCTTGACTCTAAAAAAAAATTAAATTAAAATAAATAACATTATGAAATACTTAGGTGTGTAGCAAGAACTTTTACTCATGCTTTCTCCAACTCTTGCACTAAAAAATAAAATACCCAAGGAAACTTTCTGCATACTTTACACAAATGGGGAGAGAACGGTGTCTCACATAAGGCAGCTATTGTAAATGTAACCAAACTACTATCAGGTGAGCAGACGTGGTCAGTTGCTTTCCTGTAGTGAAGACTTGCAGATCCTCCATGCAACAGGAGAGGTCCCATTAGTGCCACCAGTGAGCCATTTGGATGAGCTCAGAGACCAAACCTCCCATCACCCAAGCATTCTAATGTAATGTCAGATCCCCATGATGGAAAGATAGAGGGACAGAAGAAGAAGAAGACATCATTGATGTCTTCTTAGGCTGAATAGTTGCCTAGGTTCACAGCAATTAATTGTGACTGCATTTCTAAAACCTGCCCAACAACCACCCACATAAAGGGCCTATCAGAGCATCAACTGCTGAGTGGGCAGGAATTAGTGTAGCTCTCACTGGTTACATCAAGGCTTAATTTTACTCTTCCCTGTATCTAGCCAGCTCGTCATTATCTGCTGTAATGGATCTCACAGGGAAGGGTGGGAGCAGGTAGCTGTGACGCAGATAATACTGAAGAGCAAAATGTACCAAACAGCTCTATTTAGGCTTTCATGTACGTCATATGATTAAGAAGGAACTATGTTTATCTTTCTAATTATGTTTTGCTTAGACTATGTTTTTCAAATCCCCATGCCAATGAAAAAGCTATTTCATATTGCACAGATAGCAGGAGAAACTACTTAGGTTTTAAAATATTCAAGATAAAATTCACAAAATTGGTAAACTACAAACCTGAAGTGTTTTTCAAGAAGGTGGCCTCACCAATGTTCCCACTGCATTGGTGTCAGCCTCGTTCACCCTTATGCAGACACCCATCCCTCTCCCCACTCCCAGTCTTTCTACTCTTCACTCCCGGAGCCAGCAGAGAGGTGGCTGTGGAGGCCAGGGCTGAGTTTCCACCACTGACCTGACCCACATATAGTTCCAGTGCTGAGGCGTGGGCTGGGTGAGGGTGTTCCCTCCACATCACCACTGATCCCTCTAGGATTTCAACAGGCCTGTGAGTATGTTAACCTCCTGGAAGAAAGAGTCCAGACTGAGGTGCAGGTGGCAGATGTTTGCTCTGGTGATCCACGGACTGGTAGATCCAGATCACTGCCATACCCGTGGATGGCCTTCCAGATAGCCATAAGCATAGGAGAAAACGAGGCTTCCCCAAGTGAGCCTGTCGCAGTGCCTGTTCCACCTAGGCTGATGTTCTGAGGGCTCCATCTTGACTTCCTGGCACTGGAGACCAGCTGCAGCTGACTCTGAACAACAGCTCTATTCATCTGCACGCCGCCAACTGCCCCCCAGTTTCCCCATCCACGCCCCAACAACCACCCTGTTCCGCTATCAGGAACCCTCTCTGGTCCTCCCCTGTCCCAAAACTACAGTCCATCTGGGTCTCCCCTCTCACGGTCCCTCCTCAGCTGATGGGGCTCTTAACTATGAGTTCTTCCTCTTTTTCCATTCAGGTCTTGGAATAAACTTTATTCCTTGCCTCTGCTGTCAATTCTAAGAATCTCATCTGCTTCCAGTAAAATGCAGCTTTTGCAAAGGAAGTTGTTTTACCTTTCAAAAGTATTGATGGAGGGGATAAGCTTCGGAAACCTATTTTGGAAGAAAAACGAAAACGCTAACTTGTCTGTTTTCTCTTTGCATTTCTGGTGTCACAATCCAAACTGCCCTCTGCTCGGCAGTGTGGCCACCTGTCCTTCCAGGAAATAGGAAGTCACCTACAAGCAAGTTAGAAAGGAAATGCATGGAAGTAAACATTGAATCTCTGATTCAGTACAGATGATCCTGAAACAGATCTCTCATGTTGTTCCTCTGTTTCTGACCCTTTAGTGTCCTCTCAGCCTCCGTGGCATTAAGGCCGCCTGCCTCCATGCTCCGTAACCACCACCTTATCTTTCAGTTCAGCTTGTGTCACTACCCCTACTGGGCCAAACACAGCTGCACCATTTTCTATGATCCAAAAACGCCATGTGTTGAAGGCAATAGACTTCTAGGATATTCCTGTTCAAAGACTATATATAGACTGGGAAGCCTGACTGTAGACTCCAGGGCCATATCCATCAGTACAATATCTTGGTCAAGTTTCTAATTTGAAACTTAATTTTCCTCAAAAAAGTTTAAACTAAATGTTACCACCTGCCCCATCCTTTCAATTTGTTCCTTTATGGATTAAAAAAAAATGCTGTATCTGAAAATCTCATAATAATGAGACATTGCCCAGGAGTTTCTGTGACTGTGTAGCTCCCTGGGTCTGTATCATAATTGGTGGAGGCTTAGTAGATTTCTCCTCTCCAAGCCCTTTCTTAGCCCAAAGGGAAGGTGATTTTTACTTCAGATAAGTTCATATTTTCCATGTCAAATAAGGCACACTAGCCATATATTTGACACCTTTAAATATCAACTTTACAAGGTAAGAGTGGGAGAATAAAAATATACCAGGTTAGTCAGTGATTCTATATAATAAATGTTTCCCACTCAAAATTATCTTTTAACAAATGATTAAGTCGAATATCTATCTTTCAGGCTTTATTTCCACCATGATCCCCCTGTGTACCTATTATAGGTATTTAGTGCATGTTTCATGGAAAAGAAATAGAACATGTCTGCTTAGGGACATTTCAGAAAGCCACTTTCATACAACCAAAATTACACGCTCTGGGGAGCTCAATGAAATGAACGTCATTTTACCAAACAATGGCCCAGTGAGGGCAACTTTCTATGTGGGCCTTTTCCATGCCCTCCTGAAGCATGCTACTTGGCATTTTTTATTCAGAACATTCAGATAAGCCCAATCAAGACAATGTCGGTTACAGTTTTAGTTATTAAACTGCAGGCCACGTGAACACCTTGGTGACATGGGAATGCTCTAATTCCAACCCCTGACCATGTGAGTCACAGTCTTCCCATCACAGCAACAATCTTTGACCATGCAATCAGCTAGAACTTAATTCAGTTCAGGATAAATGTCAAAGTCTGAGCCTGGGCGTTTCTCTAGTGTGACACCACTGAGGATTAGCCCAGGCTAGATTCTAAGTTCAGAGATCAGGAGCCAGAGGAGAGAAAGTCCAGGGTAGGAAAGGGCAGCCAAGAGAAAGGCTGGCTTGCATGGGTAAGTCTGCTTTATCCCCTTCACAGCTATGAAATTCTGAAAGACTGGCTTACTTTGGAAAATTCATCGTTCCTTTAGTACACATTACATTTTGCCAAAAAAAAAAAAAGGTTTATGTGGAAAATGTCTATACAAAAGTCACCATGGTGTACATTGTAAGTGCATACATATTATATAAGGCATAAGGAGAGAAATAAAATATGGCTCCTATTTCTTCCTTTGGGCAGACTCCAAGATCTACCCCCCACCAAGCACTCGTCCATTCAGTCCCTACTTTGTTCAGCTCCTTTTGGAAGCAGTGAGATGGGCATGCCTGAGGTATACAGACGTCCTCAGGAGGTCCTGCGCTGAAGCACTTTGAGAACTCTCTATTGCGTGAGCAAGAGCTATCTTTCCTGTGAAGGGGAGAGCACCCACAGAACCTCCCCACCTGGGTTGAGAGCCCACCGAGGGACAGGTGAAGAGCCGAAGTCCTGGAGCAGGTTGCCTGGTTCAGTCCCAACTCTGCCACTCACTAGCTAGACCAGCTGGGGATGTTACCTAATCCATCTCTGCCCTTAGATCTCCTCTCTCACTATAACAACAGCACCTTCCTTATAACACATTTTAGGAATTAAATAGTGCTGTGTTAGTCCACTTGTGCTACGGTAACAACCACAGACTGAGTGACTGAAATAGCATGCATTTATTTTGTCACAGTTCTGGAGGCTGAAAGCCCAAGGTCAAGATGCTGGTAGGGTTGGCTTCTGGTGCGATCTTTCTTCCTGGCTCGCAGACGGCCACCCTCTCGCCGTGTCCTCACATGGCCTTTCCTCCGTGTGTGCACACTCCTCATGTCCCTTCTTCTTACTGGTCCTATTGAATCAAGGCCTTACCATTAAGACCTCATTCAACCTCGATGACCTCTTTAAAGCCCGTGTCCAAACAGTCACGTTAGGGGTTAGGGCTTTCACATATGAATTTAGGGGGACACAAGTCAGCCCCTAACAAGTATATATACAGTGCCCGGTACACAGTAACTTCACAATAAATGCTACCTCTTATTATGTGATGGACTTTTACTGTTCTCTCAGACATGTATGTGAGTGCCAATGTTTCTTTTTTTTGGCTGATTAAAATTCTAGTTGATAAGCAAAGGCAAATCTACATGAGTAAACGCCAATGAATGCATTTATCCAAAATGACAAGGAGGATAATTTTGTTACTAGTGGGATGACTTAAACAGGACATATGCACCTTACCCATTTATTCATGGAACACATGTGAAAAGGCACTCGATGCTGTCATCTTGTGTAATACACTGTAGGTGATGTTATCAAACCATGACATACGGGCCAAATCCAGTGCATAGCTTGCTTTTGGACAGCATGTGAGTTAACAATGCTTTCTTGCATGTTTAAGAGTGGCAAAAGAAACAAGCAAGCAAGAAGACACGTGGCCACAAGAAGAATAGGTGACAGGGACGTGATGTGGCTCACAAAGCCTGAAATCCTTCCTATCTGACCTTTACTGAAAAAGCTTGTGGACTCCTGCTCCTGGAAGTGGTTTAGCTCTAGCTAGCCCCCCAGATAGATCCACTTCTTGCCATGTGAACACCTCAGCTGTCCTCTATGCTGAGCAAAGTTTCATTTGCTGCCCCCAATGTTTTCTTTTTACCTTATTTATTTTGGGGAGGAGCAGTGCTGAAGTTTCTGCCATGCCTCACCACTTCTGAGAAACCAGCTGAGCATGGCTCCACCTTTTCTTGGTTACTGGGACCCAGTCATGGCCTCAGATGCCAGTGAGGACCTGGGTCTTTCTCATTAGTCTCATCCTGAGATCTCTTAGGGTTAGGCTATTAGGCTGGAGTGTTCTTTCTGACTGTCGTTGGTCTGTCCATCTTTGAATCCTCCTTCTCTTCTCCTGCTTCCAATTTTCCATAAGCTGGGAAAAGAAGGGGAAAGAAACAAATTATTGTTGAAGAACACTTTCTTTTTTTTTTTTTTGAGATGGAGTCTTTCACTGTCGCCCAGGCTGGAGTGCAGTGGCACGAGCGGCTCACTGCAAGCTCTGCCTCCCGGTTCACGCCATTCTCCTGCCTCAGCCTCCTGAGTAGCTGGAATACAGGCGCCCGCCACCACGCCTGGCTACTTTTTTTTTGTATTTTTAGTTGAGACAGGGTTTCACCAGGATGTTAGCCAGGATGGTCTCGATCTCCTGACCTCGTGATCCACCTGCCTCGGCCTCCCAAAGTGCTGGGATTACAGGCATGAGTTACCCTTCCTGGCCTGTTAAAGAACACTTTTTATATGTCAGGTTCCACTAGATTCTTTTCATATTTAGCTTCTTTAATTCTCATAATAAAACTTTATACACAGATGTAACTATTTCTGCTGTATGGATTAAGAAAATGGACCTCAGAAGAGTTAATTTGCTTGAATTCAAGCCCAAGACCTTCTGGCTCCAAAATTCAAGGCCTTTCATCACAGAAATCAAAAGGCCTGGCTCAGTTGAACTGTATGTAACATAAGGGGAAACACACGAAAATGACACTTTTCTAAATAAAGTGCCCAGGACTCAAGTGTTCTGAGACATCTGTTTTGTTTTCTTCTTAGTTCTTAGCTGTGTTCCAGATAGTTTAGTTTTCTGACAAACAACTTCCAAGTTAGTGCAATGTTGTGGTAACACTTTGCTTGTTCAAATATATCCTTGGATACCATTCATTCAATACACTCATTCAAATGTAAATGTGAGAAAGTACATATATTTATGATTCTAGAGAAGGCCAAAAATGAGTATGGTCATGGGATTATGAATATATGTATGTACACATATTTATGTGTGTGTGTATGGAGATAATGCACACAAACACATACACATGCATGCACACACATGTGCACACAGTGTCCTCTGTCATGCACCCTGGAGACTCTGAACACAGCTTTCTGCTTGCTTCTGTTCCACTCTGTCATTCTTTCCCCTGGGACAGGTTTTAACTTAAACTCCTGAAATATGCCTGACTTCCACTCTTCCTCTGAGCCACCTAAACAACACAGGACCTTGTGCATAATGATGCCTGCCTGAAACCAACAGGAGAAATGGAAGCATTCTTAAGGCATATGTTCACTAGAAAAGAATACGGTTTAATAAATGAATTATTTTGAAGTCTTTTTGAATTACCTAATACCAAACTACCTAATTGGCTAAACACTTTAATATCAATACTACATAGATGCAATATATGATTGTGTTGCACAGTGGCAAATATTTGAATAAAAAGACAAAGAGCAAGGTCAGCACCATAGCAAATTCACCATGAGATTCAGCGCCAGGCAAAGTCTGACAGTCTCCCAAGGGCTGGGCGGAAACTCTGGGCTTACGCAGGAATTGTAGGTGTAAAGGCAAGAAGGATGGAGCACTCATTATTTCTGTCCTGTGTTTTTCAAAAGCAGCTCACAACTGAAAGTCAGTGAAGGCTATGTACTGTAGAGGAAATGTATTTTAGCTGTCTTTGCACAATTTTTTCCTCGTGACAAGCAGGTGGGTCTCATTGTCCTCTCTTGCCTTAAGGAAAGTTTGGGTTCCAGGTAGAAAGCAGAGGGTAAAGACATTCCTTTTCTGGATTTGGAGTCCCAAAAGCCTGAGCTCTTTTAGGGTGCTTTGCTAGGGGAAGCCAGTGGAGTGGGCATAGGGGTATTCAGAGATGCTAATCAGAAAGAGAGATGGGCCAGGCATGGTGGCTTATGCCTATAATCCTAGCCCATTAGAAGGCCAAGGTGGGCAGATCATTTGAGCCCAGGAGTTCAAGAACAACATGAGAAACATCGCAAAACCCTTCTCTACAAAAAAATACAAAAATTACCCAGGTGTGTGGCATGTGCCTATAGTCCCAGGTACCCAGGAGGCTGAGGCGGGAGGATTGCTTGAGCCTAGAAGGTTGAGGCTGCAGTGAGCTGAGATCGTACCACTACACTCCACCCTGGGTAGCAGGGTGAGACTGTGTCTCAAAACAAAAAAGAGAAAGAGAGAGAAAGAGGTTATTTCCTTATAGAAAGGCATAGAAATTGACAAATTTCCTCAACAGCAGTGACCTGTGCCTCAACCTAAGGGAAGCCTTCAGAAAAGTGACAAGACTTCAAAGGGGAAAGGCTCTGGGGTCCACCAGAAGCATAAACTCTAGGCGCTGTGTCTCCCAGCACCAAGAAAGTTGCCGAAGCAGCTGCATGAGAGGTACCACTCTCAGGGATAAAGAGGATACTGGATATCACCATGACAACCAAAAGATAAGAGCATTCTTTCCCCATTTCCCAGGTACCACAAGAAATTCTCATGTTCATGCTGAACCTAAAGAAAGAGAGTGGTACCCAGAAATGACTGAGTTGGAGTTTCAAAGTCAAATCATTTTGATTTAAAAACAATTTTTAAAAATGGGATGTATCTTCTACCGTTAGGTTGTGGACCAAAGTCTCATTCAAGTGCGTAGCTATGCACCTGTGGGTTCTCCCCATATGTTCCCATCAAAGGATTCTTCCAGCCTCCAGGGAGTTGTTGCTGCTGTGGACCAGGGTCAGTGTGATTGCAGTCAGAGAAGGCAGCAGCCTGTCTGAGTGGCGCAGGTCAGAGGCCCTCAAAGTGGCCCCGATCAGCAGGGCTTCTGCTCTGCCTGGCATAAGGAAATAATGGCATCTCCTTCGTGCCTCCCAGTACCCCCTTACAACTTCAAAACTCCACAAAGGGCACCCTTTAGTATTGTTATCAGCCTTCACTTCCACATTCCCCAAAATTGTCTAGCTTTAAATAACATGATCTTTAAATAACATGTGAAGACAGAAAAACCACTAACCACTAACTCACCTGCAAGCAGCACCTCAGCAGGGCCTTGGGCACGAGGCTGAGCTAGTCACACTCTTCACCTGCTGGCAGCACCTCAGCAGGGCCTTTGGCACGATGCTGAGCTAGTCACACTCTGTTTTCTCTGTCCTGCTACTCCTCTCAGGCATCTCTTATTCTCGTGGCCCCGTCCCTCGGGGACCTTAATGCTGCTCTTGGCCACCTTTCCTGGCGGCACCTCTCCCTCCCTCAAATTCTCTCTGCTCGCTCCTTGCTTCTCAAAACAAGTGACTTTGTTGAATCTAATTCCCTTAGGGCATTATCCTGGGGCAAAAAGGAAGCTGAGAAGTAAAATAGGGAAGACAATGCATTAATCATGACTCTTCAGGTTCTAAATGTTACAAACACAAACTGAAATACCTCACAGAATCCAAGAAATAGGTTGATTAAAAATTAGAAGGGGCAGGATAAAGTCAGGCCTAAAAACAACAAGAGCACCTCCCCATCTCTCACCTCTGCTTCTGTCTCTTGTCCAGGAGTGCAGCTTTCTCCTTATGAAAGATGTGCCCTTACGGCCACCGCCAGCTCCCCAGTTGTACATGTGATAGTTCCCCAAACTAAAAGGGGACTGATTCTTGGAGTTCCTGTAAAGCACACACACTCAGGCACGTACACTTGCAGGTACCCATGCACATATAACCAAAACACACAGAGAAACCCAGGAGGATTCTGATGGGCTTGGCTTGGGTCATATGTCCATTCATAAGCCTACTTTGAGCAGAAGGAAAATGAATTACGATTGGGTCATGTTAGATGGGGTGGAGCGGTTCGGTAAGAACATGCAATTTCCCATTACAGCCAGGTGGCTACATGGAAGTATTTTCTGGGAGAAAGAATTCCTAGCAGATAATCACGTATAAATCTATATGGAACCATTTTTGGCTGCCTTCTGAGCCAAACAATTGTTAAGGAAAAGCTAGACCTTTTTTTGTGAATTTAGAAGTGCAGATTGAGAGCAATACTAAAGGGTGCCCTTTGCAATTACATTGAAGTTGTAAGGGGGACTGAGAGGCACAGAGGAGATGCCATTATTTCCTTACGCCAGGCAGAGCAGGAGCCCTGCTGATCGGGGGCCACTTTGAGGGCCTCTGACCTGCGCCACTCGGACAGGTTGCTGCCTTCTCTGACTGCAATCACGCTGACCCTGGTCCACAGCGGCACAAACCCATGTGAG
Organism: Homo sapiens; assembly: GCF_000001405.40. Lineage (NCBI taxonomy): Eukaryota > Metazoa > Chordata > Mammalia > Primates > Hominidae > Homo > Homo sapiens. Next base: position 187,187,153 of record NC_000004.12, on the reverse strand, counting down.
ACTGGAAGAGCCCTTTGATGGGAACACATAGAAAGAACCCTGACCACTTATGCACTTGCATGAGACTTTGGTCCACAGTCTAAAGGTAGAAGATATACCATATTTTTAAAAATTGTTTTTAAATCAAAATGATTTGACTTTGAAACTCCATCTCACTTATTCCTGGGGCCCCTTCCACTCTCTAGCGTTCAACATGAATATGAGAATTTCTTGTAGTATCTAAAAAATGGGGAAAAGATCTTCTGATTTTTAGGTCATCATTGTGACATCCAGTATTCTTAGTTCAAATCAGTGGGAACTTTCCTCCACTAGCTGAGGAACTTTCTGATGCTTACAAAGACGAAGTATACTTTTGTAAGTTAATAGGATTGAAGGAATCAGATTCAGCCATAATTGCAAGTTTACTTCCAAATAAAAATGATGTTTTGGTCTTTATTTTTTCTAAATATACACTTGCCCAAAGCTGAAGAGTGGGAAATCCAGAAAAGAGAAGAATAAACAATAATGCTGTGACATATATCCCTCCAGAAACTCTTCTCCACCTAGATTTTTTAAGAATAATTTGTATTTTTTATTGATGCATTTTTATCAATGCATGATAGATGTACATAATTTGAGGGTACACATGATAATTTAATATAATCATATAGTTAGTAAAGATCAAATCAGTGTTCTTGAAATATCCATCACCTTAAATCTTTGTTTTTTTCTTTATGCTAGAACCATTCCCAATCTTCTCTACCTATTTCAAAATGGACAATAGGTTACTGGAAACTGTAGTAGCCCTACTGATCTAGCTAACATTGGGTCTTATTTCTTCTATCAAACCATATATGTGTACCCCTGAATCAACTTCTTTTCATGTACACATGTAATATTCAAAACATTTAAACACCTGCCAAGCTTAGGCCCCAACCAATCAGAACACATGTTGGCTGATGGAGAACAGTAATTCCCACCACTGAAACCAAGCCCTCCAAGTTAGGCTTTACCTGGTGGTTGCTTTGCCTTGAGGTGGTCCAGGGCTGCTGGATTTCAGGGAAGCCCTGTGTGTGGGTAGTGGTGATGGTGGTGGGGTTCTTGGTGCACTGGCTGTGCACCCATGATATGAAGGTCATTTGATGTTTTAACCATTGGTATGACCATCTGTGCCCATATGTACTGATGGAGTTAACAGCCTGGAATATACTCAAGGTGCTTCCTTATAGTATGCCTTTTCTGAACTTAGCAAAATCTAGGGAACACTCTCCTACAGCAAAATATATTCCTATACATGAGAACTTTGTGACTGGTCTTTGGTGACGAGGAATGGGCACACCAAGATTTTGATGCCGTCAGCTCTTGCAGCAGCTAGTGGGGGCTGTGCCACCAGTTTCCAAAACAGTCACTTCCAGCCAACTTGAGTGTTAACATAGAGTGTGATTAAAAACACTGTCATTCACTTTATGGTTCATGACGTGAAAAGGGCTGAGAAGAACCACTTTACAACACAGCTTCTAAATGGGAACATACGGCCCCATGACATGCTGTAATGTGCTTCGCTTAACCAACCCCCTATGTGTGGACTTTTGAATCATTATTTTCCTGAATATTTTATTTTATTTCTAATGAATATACTTATACATGTATCTAGTTATTTTCTTAAGATAATTTCCTAAAAGAGGACTTTTGCTATCTTGGGGCCTATGTAAGGCTATGGGCAAAGATTATTCAATTTCCCTACCATTTTATGAGTCCCCAGGTATACAGACTCCGGACCTAGACTGCCCGACTCAGCATCCCTCTCCCTCACCTCGTGAGATGTGTGACCTCAGGAGCACCTCTATCTCCCTGCTGAAAATGGGGATAATCATGATATTGACCTCACTTGATTGCTGTGAGGATCAAATGAGTTAATATATATGGAGTTCCTAGAGCAAGTCCTGGCTCCTTGCCCTGGCTTATTAAATATTAGCGACTTCAGTAGTACCAGTAGTAGTATTTTCACGCCTGCAGAAGATGCAAGACTATCTCTTTTCCCTCAGTCCCAAAGGCATTGGATATTAAATACTTTATACTCATTGCTACAAAATAATGGGTACATACAGATTTTCCTTTTAGAAAAATGCTGATTACTTTCGAGATTGAAATTAGGAGACCATAAATCTATGATGGACGTGTATGTTTTATCTTTTGCTTATTTTCTATTAGGCTGTTTGTTTGCCCAATTCAGGGACATTTTAAAAATGGGGAACTGTTCTGGGAGTCCGAGGCAGCCTCTTACCCCACACCATGTAAAAGGAAGAATGGAAATACCCAAGGAATTGGAACCTCACTGATGTGCTCTCGATACAGCTGCAGTTTTACAGCCGCGCCTGCCCACAGTAATCACCTGGGAAACTGTAAAAGCTGCTGATGACTGGGCCACACCCCCAGAGACTGTCATTTAATGGGTCTGATTTAATTACTTGGCATGGGGATTGTTAAAAAGCTCCCCAGGCGATTCTGATGTGCAGCCAGGACTGAGAACTGTGGTTTAGGTGGGTACTGATTAATTCGGGGTCAATTGGGTGTGTCTGCAAGGCTGGGCACTGGAGAGAATTGCTTTCATAATAGCTCTCCAGGCCAACTGAGTCAATTGCCACAGTGTAAATTGGCTACAAAGCTTTGGGAGTAAGACTGAAGCTGAAACATTCAATCCAGCTAGACAGGGCAATATCCTGAAATGTTTGCTCTAAACAGTTTCTTTCACTTTCAACATTTTCTTTTTCTTAAAAATCAACTCATAAGTTACACCTGCCTTTTGGTGGTGGAAAAGATCAGGACATAGCAGATACATCATGCTCTTGACTAATGTTTCTTCTGTGTTTTGCTGCTACTGATGAAGTAAGCAAACACACAAAAAATTAAACCCACACAAAAGGGACTGGATAACATGCACCATGTTGAGTAACAATTTTGATGTTTTGTCTGAGTCCTGAGATTCAGTATTTCAAGGAAAGAATAGTATACTTGGACTAAAAACTCTAATCTGAAATTGTCCTTGAACTGGGAATATTCAACCACAATGTGTTTTCAAGGGAAAGATTTAGGGCAGCTTCAAAGAACTCAGAAATCAAGAAGATGCTGACGTATTAGGAAAGCCTACATTATTTGCTTCTGTGGTTTTGAAGATGTAAATAGAAACAGCCATGGCAAAGAAGTTCTATAATTAGCTTTCATCCTGATTCCCAAAGTTGCTTATTATAGAGCTTTTAATAGTATATAAAAACCACTGTTTAAAACTGTTGGGTTGACTTTTCTGGTACTCTAATGAAAAAAATTAGTATTTTCGAGCTTTGTGGTTTCTCCAAAGTCATGTGCTAAACAAGTAGCGGTCCTCCATTGCCGAAAGCTGTTTTGGAGATGGTGAATGCTCTGGTAATTTTCTTCTCCCCAGGCATAGTTTTCCAAAGTCAAGCCATGAGTTTAAATCAGAAATTAAATGAATTACTGATCTAAACTCGAGTGTGGTTATAGAAAGACACTGGTATTTAGGCCAAACAAATGTGCTCTTTAAATACAGTGGCCATACCCAGTTGTTCTTCCAAAACCACAACAGAGAACAGTCTTGCTCAGTTAATCATACCTCCCCGAAGAAACCGCCACCTAGAAGGGCTTTTTTTCGGAACACATTCAGCAGCAGAATAGGGCAACCGCATCCCACCCTGAAAAAAGAAATCCTTGTCATTTCCCTCAATCCCGAACTGCCGGGCAGCTCTCCTGAGCTCGCCAACTGTGCTAGTGTATTACTTGTTTTAACGCTTCACTGAATTCTTTGTAGGCCTAAATCCTATGGGATGTGGGTCAGCTCTGGAGAACATCTTGAAATACGCCTCCACCACCCCAACCAATCTTTATCCAGTGCAAAATAGACCAGGTGGGAATAAGAGAAACCAAATCACATCTGTAATTAAAAGAATGGAATTGGTGAATAGTCAAAGGAAGTTTATGGAATGTTTGAGTTTCCCTTTAACATTTTGCTGACAAGTTTTGGGAAAAAATGTTAACAGCAGTCATGACAGATAGAGTAAAATAAACGAATCGGATTGAGTCAGGATTACATTATTGTTTACATAACAGAAAAAAATGTTAGTTCTAAATGAGACTCTTGGGTGCTCAATCAGAATAGCATTACCTGGTGTACCTGTGAACGCGCTAGGATAGTTTTGGGGTACACATTAAGGAAATTAGTCACATAAGATGAGTCTGGGTTTCTCCAAGAATTCAGAGTGCTGTTTTATGATCACTATGAGATTCTCCTGTCGCTTGAACTTACCCAACAGGAGCTCAAAAGCTTCCAGCAGTGCTTCTCAACCTTTGCCATTTACAAGCAATCAGAATTATCTGGGGCGTATTTTAAAAAACTTTTTAAATTACTGATACCTAGGGCCCACCCCACAACAGATGCATCAGTATCTCTGTTGCAGGCACTTTCAAGAAGTATCCATAGTGTTTCTGATGCACAGCAGGTGAGCACCTCTGTGTCAAGCAGGATAAGAGGGATTAAGAGTCCCACAAGAAACTAGCTTTGCTAAGGGTTTGGGCATGAAAGATTTTTTTTTTTAGGATTGGTGCAGATGATCTCAGCAGTCCCTTCAGGGGATCTGAGATCAAATCATTCAAGATGTTTTAAGGAACAAGATTGGTTATAGAAAGGACACTCTAATCAGGAGTCTTTGAACATCAAAGTGATGTACACTTTAAAGCATTATTCCAACCAACTTTTTTCTGCAATAATTAAGTTTGGAGATGACTTTTGTTTTTAATGTTGATGAGTTTTACGAAAAAAAAAAGTATGGTAATTCCTTCAATTAACTTAGAAAAATTTCTATTTTATGTAAATAGACCCTTCATATAAATATCTTTGTTTTTACATTTGTTCTATTAGAAATCATTTCCAAAAATGTTTTCATGAGAAACTATTTGCCAAAGTATGATCATGCCATTTGTCAATATATTTTACACTATTTATGTGATGAAAAGGAGCGTATGTGGGAGGGGGAGTTTGGGGTACTGTTTATGGCGCTCCTCATAGGCATCCTTTTATTAATAATTGATTTCTATTCCCCCATTTTGCTGTTGGAAAAAACTTAAGTTCAGTTTGAGCGAAGTCTCCAACACCATCTAGTTAGTAATAGTCAGGACTTAAACTCAAGTCTGGCTGACTCTGTAGTTAACATGTGTTAAATTGCTTTATATTAATGCAATCAATCGGGAAGCAAATGTCCTTTCTTAGACCTTAAAAACATATCATTTAATACTTAAATCCTGGAATGTAATTCTGTGTTTGCTGCAGAGCAATAATGATGTTACAATTTGATATCAAGTAAAACTTTTTCATCGCTCCTATTTTCCTATTATTCATAAAGGACTACAATAACACCAGGGAGTCCAACTTTTTAAAAATCACCATCTTCTGCAACTGTGTTTTTAACCACAGAACACAGTTCTGTGAAAAAAAAAAAAAAGACAAAAGAGTAAGGTAGATGAGGCCAGATTATTGCCTTGATTACGGACAAAATTTAGGTTGAAGGATATTGGCTTAAATCTGGAGGAAAGTGGGCCTCCTAAAATTGAATCCCAGTTTTAAACAGACTTACTCATTCAAGCACAGGCAGCCCCTGTAAAACTTGAAGGAACAGAGATAAATATATGCCCTCTATGTCCAAACTTAACTATTAAGAGACAATGAAGAGGAAACGTCTAGATTTCTCCAAACTTATAATCAATCAGCTAAGTTATTCCACCAGGAGTGGAGAAAGTCAAAGATTACGACAGCCGTGGATCTCCCTTCACCTGGAAAAAACCATCAGGAGTGGAGAAAATGTATTGTCCCCGGACAGAAAACTGTGCCAGGAAGTTTTTCATATGCTGAAGAAAAATACATAAGGAAATGTCCAAAGTTCAACTTTATTCGCTGAGTTTCAGAAAAAAACAAAAGGCTAGCAAAACAGCTACCATATTCACATATTTACAGTCCAGTTCACTAAAGAGGAGAAAGAGAAGCCCTTGTGGAAAAATCACTTAATATGAATCTTTCCAGTGTGCACTAATAAAGCAATTATTAAAGTGGCGGTTGAGAGATGACATGAATCACTAACAGTGAGTATCAGAGAGGTTAATAACTGGGACATTTCAACTATACTTTCAAGAATCACATTTCTGCTTTTATTTCCTCCTTTTCACTTGTAAAATTTCGTTTCAATTATCTTTGAAGGAACATTCTTTACAATGGAAACTTTAAACTCCTTTTCACCATAAATCCTCACTTCTGTGATGAGACTGAGACACTGCAGAAACGACAGCGCTGACCCCTTACCTTTGCTTGTACAACACATAGTTTTAGGATCAGTTCCTTTGATTACTCTTTAGTGTGTTGGAGAGAACATTTCCACCTTTCAATATCTGTAAAAATGCAGAGTATTTGTCATTATCCCCTATTTAGCAGATAGCCTGTTTACACCAGTACTCAGCAAAATTATTTTAAATACAAATTTGTTTTGTTAAATAATTCATAACAATTTCTTACTCTTCATGGGTTTAAAATGATGTATAATAGTAAGGCAGATTTCTGAATAATTTAGGCCAATCTTCCTACCCTATTCTCCTACAAAAGTTTTTATGTCAGATTCTCTAAATTTGAACCAATATCTGCCTGATCTAAAATTTCCAAAATCAGAGAAATACTGAAGCTGGAAGGCACGGGGTCTAATGCCCTCATTTTGTAGATAAGGAAACCTGGACCTAAAAAGATTAAGTGGAGTGACAAAAATCACAAAACAAACTATTTAATAGAGATGGAACTAGGGTTAAATTCTTCTGACTCCCTGAAAAGACTTTTCAATACCAGTTGTCTCATTTACAGTTTACTTCTTTAGAGCTAATTTCTAGTTAAAAATTCAAACTCCTGGATGATATTTCTAAATCCCAGTTGCTTAGTTTTACACTTTAATTTGATAGCACAGTTTTTATATGTTCTTAATATGGTGTGATTCTACAGAGAAGGGAAATGGTTTTTTTATTGCTCTTACTGCTGCTTTTGTAGCACACACAAAAAAAGTCACAATATCAAAAATCTTCCAAAGCTTAGGTTTACTCTATTCAACTCTAATTTTAGTCCACAATTCTAACTTTGTGAAGGGCATGCATAGGCCCTTTCCATTCACTAAACGTTTCAGTGCTTGGGTTTGCTTCCCCAGACTTGCTCATTCATTCAGAGGTGACTCTCATTACCCGCATTTTGCAAGGGTCCCCTTGCAGCTTCCAATGTTACAGTCACATGGTACACATCAGATCAGCTCAGATTACAGAGTTAGGTACGGTTACGTTTACTTACTTCTCTTTGGTAAAACGCTAAAATGTCCCTGTCTGTTTATTATATTAGAAGATGGTTAAGTGCCTTTCCTGAATAAGAAGCCCTTATGTTCCACTTGGCTGTGAGTAACTTAAAAGTCTCTGGAGATGATCATGTCTGTTCTCAGAGGTTCTCCCTGCAGACTGATTGTGTAAAACAAATCTGCTTCTTCTCTGGACACACTTGGAAGTCTTTCCCCTCTCTTGTTCCCACTGATTTAAAAACCTGTTTCTCTGCTCCAGATCAGAAGAAAATGTTACTTTCCTAGTCAAAGATTTTGCATTGACCAAGGCTAATTAGATAGTCCAATTTATCTTTCAAAATTTGAAATCAAGTTTTATTCCCCTCAGCAACAATTTCCACCAATATGGTGTGACCATGTGATTTCCCCAGTAGACAAGCATATGAATAAAAGAAGAGCTGTTTAGAAATATCTTGATAGAAAACGAACTGTGAAATTCATAGCATATGTCTACGCCGTGGGAAACAACTGCTTCCAAAAGAAATGAGCCTAATTTTCTGACCCACTGGTGTGAGAGTGAGTGGACTTGGATCAAGTGCAAAGGAAGCCATCTGAGGATCTAGGGCCCCAGAGGAAGGGAACACGCTGAGGACCCTGCCCTTTGAACAGGTGAAGGCCCAGCTAACTTCTAGGCTCAGGACTAGGAGGAGATGGAATCATTATCGATGGTCAGATTGAAATAACTCTGGTTAAAATAGTCACATAATTGAAGCAGGATTCCAGTTTTAACATTGAATTATTGATTCATTCCTCCCTTCCTTCTCCATGTACAAACGCAGCCTAGCAATCTGAATTTGCAATTTAAAATACACTTTCTAAATGTCCGTCTGTCTCCCCTCCCCCTCTTTTTGTCTTTCCACAGCTTCAGCCAAAAAAAATAAAAATGGAATGGAATTTCTCAGAAACTATTAGGGAGCCAAAAAATATGCAAGATGCATTAGGGTTATGTCAGATCTAGGATCTAAGGAAAATAAGACATCCAGGAAATGTTTAAAAATCAGATCCCATCTAAGAGGACGCAGTCTTTGGATTGGCGCCTTCATGACCAGCAGGAATGATGCAGGAAGGATTATAGAGTCACTCATTCCCCAGTCAGATCTCACTTTTCCTGACGGCAAAATAAAACCGTGTCTCCACACAGCAGTAAAATTCATATTGCACTGATCAGTCGGGTTTTTATTGCTGATTAGGTTTCCTGAATAAAGAAAGTTCAGTAGTAGCCTTAATGAAAAAGCTTCCAATTTGATGGATGGGGAGAGTTTGAGCCTCATTTACTAGTACTATTTTGGTTAAGGTCTTCAAGATTTTACCAAATTGTCCTTGCAATAGTTTCAGCATATGCAACCGGCTGTTTTCCCAGCAAAAGAGCTATTGGCCTGGAAGCCCCACGAGCACTGCAGAGTGGCAAGTGGAAGGTCACAGACACTGCAGTGCACGGGAAAGTTCAGCAGGGCTGGACTGCAGCCTCATCTGTCCATGACCGCTGCACCATGCTGAGCAATTCACTTCATTTCACGGGCCCTACCTTCCTTCTCTGTAAAATGGGAAGTTGGCCAGGGGCCGTGGCTCATGCCTGTAATCCCAGCACTTTGGGAGGGTGGGGAGGCTAGAGTCCAGAAGTTCAAGACCAGCCTGGGCAACATAGTGAGATCCCCATCTCTACAAACAATTTTTTAAAAGTTAGCCGGGTATGGTGATGTGTGCCTGTAAGTCCCAGCTACTCGGGAGGCTGAGGCGGGAGGATTGCTTGAGGCTGGGAGGTTGAGGCTGCAGTGAGCCAAGATGGTGTGACTCCACTCCAGCCTAGGCGACCCCATCTCTTAAAAAAGAAAAATGCCAGGTGAAACCACTATGGCTCTAGCAACAGGAGAAAGCAAATGTTCTGATCACATTGAATCTGAGTTGTTTCCTGAGGACACTTCAGCCAAAATAACCACAATAAAAATAGCGTAGCATAAGGAGTTTCTACAGTAACAAGGGTAAAATAGCCAGAAGAAGTTCCTGTCAGATTTCTTGCACATTCCTCTGTTTGTTTTCATGGGAAAAGCTATATTTTTACATAGAAGCAGCAATATAATTTGCTATTGAGATACCAAGGTTCATATGTTTGTTCATAGATTGTTTATTATAAAAAAAAAATGTAAAGCCTGTTCACTCTAATCTGTGTGTGGTGGGGGAAGTTGGGGGCGAGGCAAGGACTCTCAATAGTGCCTTTCAAGTGAGCTCCGAAATAGCAGGGAACGATGCCTGGCACAGAGTAGGGCTCAACAGTGTTTACTGAAGAATACATTCATATACCGAAGAGCATCATGTTATTCATAACTTTGTTAGCAACTGATTGCATGACAAACAAAATGGGAAACATTAAAATATTTTAAATGTTATATAATTTATTTTTTGAAATGACTGAAAAAGAAAATAAATGAAAAAAAGGGGAATTTTTGCCACGTCGTGGATGAAATAGGCTTTTAAAGTGATAGTCAGAGCCTGACTTTTTTTCTATGATACAATATATTACAAGTTAAAAAAATGACATAGCTGCAAATTACTGAAAGACAGTCCGTCTGCAAGAGGAGCACAGCTCGCAGATAGAAACCACTGGGCCATGGAGAACTCCTCAGGCAACTTTTAGCAAATTACCTGCTGGCATTTTCTACAACATACGGCTGCAAGGCAGATGCGGAAAGTCTGCACTTTCCCTTCAGGCTGGAAGAGACGTCCGTCCTCTCATGCGCACGTGGGGTTGCAGGTAGGGCATAGAGGGTGGGCACCAGGAAGGACGCCATGGGAGACAGCCTGGGGACCCCTTTTCTTTTTCCTCGGGAGCAACTGCCCCATGTAAACCTCTCCCCTCTGTCCCTCATTTCTCCTCCCTTCTCCCTCTGTCTTAAATACTGGCTTAAGTGGGAAGTGTGGACAGCAGCCCCTGACCCGGCTGGCACCGAGGACATGGTCAGAGAGCAGCCACCTTCCAGAAAGCCCTGTTCCACCGGGCGCTGGCTGCTCCGCAGAGAGCCAGCCACGGGCGGCAGCCACGGGCGGAGTGGACGGCCCTGGACCCCGAGACGGGGGCAGAGCACCTTCCCGGCCCCGCCAGCCTCTTCCATGACCCCTCTGTCCTGACTCCTCCGTGACCGATACAAGACACTCAGGTGCCAGTCCCAGGAAAATCCGCTTCCTCCAAGCACCAGGGCTCCAGGCTCCCAATCACTCTCTTCTCTTTCTTCGTTATAAACAATTCGCTTCAGGGATCCCGTCAGTCCGTTATGTGTTCACGTGATACAGTGATTTGCCCGTGAGGATGTGACAGCCCACAGATGTTTGTATACTGAAGGACATCTGGTGTTCTCATTCGTAATATGTGGGGGATGCTGCTTCTGAGCAGGGGATTTTATGGCACCAGAGTCTCTGATGTCTTCAAACTATTCAGTAGGAAATAAAACATAATGAAATAAATTAACTGATTTATGTTTTTTAATCTTTACCCAATGGAGAGGTAGGGTTCTAATTTCTAATTTTTCGTAACAGACTGAAATTCAAAAAGGTTGAGCAACTTACTCAGATCTACATAACTCCATATTCCAAATATTATACATTTTGTACTTCATCACATAAGAATTTTCAGTAATATTCAGAATAATTAATTTTGAAAGCAAATGCAGAGTCTTTTCTATGTATGATGTTAGGACACAGGATCATCATACCTAAAATAGCAGGTGCTTGTAAGCTAGAAAGACCTGAGATTGGATATCAGCCCACCTGTTCTGAGACTAAGGGAAAGGCCTTCAAGCCTTCTGAGAATCATTCTCATCTGTGTGACGAGGGATTATGAATGTTTACCTGAATAGCTGTATTTAAATACTCCAACGAGTAGAAATAATCCTTGTTTAATGTTTCATATTTTTGAGAAGAAGAAAAATGGCCTGTTCTTTGGGAACTTATGTTTTTAAAAAATTACTAAAAGATACTAACAACTGTTATCATAAGTGCCTGTTTATTATATCTTCATTTTAAAAATATATATCAATCATAATGGTAGAATAATTTCAAAAATCTCTCTTGGAAACCCAAAACATACCAGTCTGGTGTTAAGACAAAAAAATGGAATGTTCTCCCAAATGAGAAAAGTAACTTCTTATTCTTGTGCAATGAAAAGAAAAAATTAAAAAAAAAAAAAGAAAATTAACTTCATAGGTTTTCACATAGAATGCAAACCCAGGGGTAATGCTGAAGAGACTCTGAGTGCTTCAGGGTTACGTGGAGGCTCGTCTTTCAGCCTCTGCAAGGAAATACTGGAGACACACAATAGGCAGGTCCTTCATGACCGAAAACCTTGCCTTCAGCTTTGCTTCCTTTCCACCCATCCCCTAGTGGCAGCAATTTATGGAACTGTCCAATACATAGAACTTCTGAACCATAAATAGAATTCACCAGAAGGAGCTTAACTATTTAAATGAAGATCATAATTCCCTCCCAGAGACATCATACATTTAAAAATCCATTCCATATAGCACGTTTAAAAAAATTTTAGAGACGAGTGTCTCACTGTGTTGCCCAGGCTGAACTCGAGCTCCTGGGCTCAAGCCACCGCCCTGCCTCAACCTTTTCAGTAGCTGGGACTGCAGGGATGTGCCTGGCCACACGTATTTTCGAGCTCCTTGTATGTGCACAATTTTTGGTGGCCATTAGAGAAGATGCAAAAATGATTAAGTGAAGGCAAGTTCCGGGAATTGACGTGGGATGGGAATGGCAGCCTAGCACACAGTGCCGTCAGCCTGGAGTGGGTGGTATAGCAGCTCCCCTCTTCGGCAGTTTCACTTGCTGGCCTTTCAGTTATTGGCAGGCAACCGAGAGTGAGATCACATGTGCATAACTTTTATTACATTATATTGTTATAATTGTTCTATTTATTATTTTATTGTTAAACCTTATCCTAGGTATGTATGTATACAAGAAGATATAGTATGTATAGGTTTGATACTATCTGCAGTTTTAGGAATGCACGAGGGGTCTTGGGACCTATTCCCCAAGGATAATGGGGATAACTATATAAACAAGTAGCATGGGATGGTAGAGGTAGGAGCATTGCTGCCTGGGCCACTTAGAAAAGGCTTTGGAGAAAATGACATTTGAGAATATATAGAGAATGGGAGGAAGGTATAATTCAGACATAGAGAGCAATGTGAGCACAAGGGAAGTGTAAATATGAATGATGCTCTGAGCAACAGCAGCAGGTTTTCTAGTTTGACTAGAGCAAGGAATACATGGTAGCAAGAGGTATCATTGTGTTAGGCAGAGTAAGGTCCCCCATTTGTGTCCATGGGCCAGACCTGGAACCTATGAAAATGTTATGTTTCATAAGGGGAAGTAGAGTTGCTATAAGCTAACCCAAATATAGGGAGATTATCTGGGCAGCCTAGCATAATCAGGACGGTCCTTGTAAGTAGAAGAAGGAGGCAGAAGAAGCCAGAGAGATGTGATGTGAGAAGGACTGACCTGCATTGCTGGCTTTGACAATGGAAGAAGGGGCCCCAAGCCGGGGAATGCAGGCAGCCCCGGAGGAGCAGGAGAAGACCAGGAAATGGATTTTTTTCTCAAGACTCCAGAATGACATGCAGCCCTGAGAACACCTTGATTTCAGCCCAGTGAGACCCACATCATGTGTTTGAGCTACAGAACCACAAGATCCTGATCCACATCACATGTCCGAGCTACCAAACTGCAAGATTGCGATCTGTGTTGTTTTAAGCCACTGAGTGTGTAGTCGTTTGTTACAGCAGCCACAGGAAACTACCAGAGAGGAGAGTGGAAAGCTTTACCGGGCAAGACTGGGAGGGCTCAGGTGCATCGCAGCGACGTCTGGACTTTATTCTAAGAATGTAATGCGTGAAAAGGGAATCACACGATGGATTCTGTGCTTGGAAAGCTGAATTTGCAGGCAACGTGGAGAGTACCCTGGAGGAGAGAGTGAGGCTGAAGGATGGAGGAGCACTGAGGGGGTTGTTGCAATGACAAAAGGCACTGAGTTGGTGCCATCGGTCTAGAGATAGAAATAGATCTAAAGACATAGTCATAAAACAGGGTGTCGAGCTAGTGCCACAGATGTCACATGCCTATTTCATATGTCCAGTGTCGTAGAGCTGGAGGTTCAAGGAAAGTCTCGGTAGCCAATTTGAAGGCTGGTATAGGCCTATTTCGCAAAGCTCAGAAACCAGAACCAATTCAGTTTCTCTAAAACACTAACCAATTTGTCTCCCTTTTCAGGTTTTATTATTGATAGCATTCAGATCATGTTTTCAGTCATTCATGACTATGTTTTAAAATTTCTCCCAAGATAAAAAAATCATGCAAAATAGCAACTTAAGAAAAGATTGGTTTGGTCAGGGCGTGGTGGCACATGCCTGTAATCCCAGCACTTTGGGAGGCCGAGATGGGTGGATCACAAGGTCAGGAGTTTGAGACCAGCCTGGCCAATATGGTGAAACCTCGTCTCTACTAAATATACAAAAATTAGCCAGGCATGGTGACAGGTGCCTGTAGTCCCAGCTACTCGGGAGGCTGAGGCAGGAGAATTGCTTGAACCTGGGAGGCGAAGGTTGCAGTGAGCCAAGATAGTGCCATTGCACTCCAGCCTGGGCAACAGAGCGAGACTCCATCTCAAAAAAAAAGAAAAAAGAAAAAAGAAAAGATTGGTTTGGCAATGCAGTCTTCTGTAACTCAACAATATAACACAGATGGCTGGACTCAGAAACCTAGGGGTCCAGCCATACTGCATAGAACTCAGAGGACAACCGGAGAATTTCATGTGTGATCACTTTCTCAGCCACAGCCCAGCCGGATTTGTATCAATACGACTAGATATCTTATTTATCTGAATAAACCCCATTCCTGCAAAGTATTTGGAAATAAGAAATCGACCCCTTTTATATTAGTTGCTTTCACTCACTCATCTGGAAAAAAAAAAAATGGACAATGGCTAAAGGCCAGGCCTTTGCTTGCTGGGCATGGGCGGTAGCACTTCCCTGCCCTGCATGTGCTGAGACTCTCGGGGAGGCCATGAGAGAGTGCATTTTTAGAGGGTGTGTAATAGAGGCGTGCACTAGGCACAGGAAAAGCACAGAGCCCAAAACTCAGGCTGGAGAATTAGCAAAGGCTTCTTGGAGGAGATTGGTTTTGAAGGCTGTATGGGAACCGCTAAGACAGAAGGGAGGGCAGACAGAACGCAGAAGAAGATAGAGAAAATAAAGAACAGTGGAGCAATATGACGTTTGTCCATCAGCCTATCCCGCCACTGAAAGTTCCCCCTGGGAATCTGGCACTGTCTCTCCTCCTCCACCCCTCCCACTTCCCTCAGGGTGATCAACACAATGATAAGAACACAGTAAGCCCAGCTGAGACTTTCACCAGGACAGTAAACTGGGCACACATATTTATGGCCCTTCCTACTAAAAAAAAAAAATTTAAACAACAGTTTTAACGTACCACATGGAGTCAATTAAGACAAAATAAAAATTGCAAGAACTTGCAGGATGACATCAGCAGGCTGAAGATTTTTTAAATTCTGGAAGTGCCCACGAATCAGATCAATATAGCTCAGCACACAAGAGGAAGGAGTACGGTTGCTCAAGCGAGACTGCGTGGGTTAGGACCTGGATCTGCCACTCACAAGCTGTGTGACTTTAGACAACTTACCTAACCTCTCTGTGCGTCAGTTTCCTCATCTGTACAATGGGAATGATAGTAAGGCCTATTGGCTAGGATTTTCATGAGGATTAAATCCAATGATTCATCTAAACTGCTTTGAATAGCGTCTGCTACATTGTAAGCACTGGATCCCTACTTTCTATTATTATTTTTACATTAGTGAACAAGTTAGAACAGAGCGAGCTACCACTCAGAAAATGCTGGAGGAAGCTGCAGTGCAAGGAGCTGTGTTACCCGAACCAGGCGTACACATTTGAAGGGACAGCTGCAGGTCAGCAGACACTTAAGGAACAGCAGTACAGCAGTAACACAAACGAGAAGAACCACGGGAGAGAAACAGAACAACCCCACTGCAGGAAACACAGCTAATTGAGGGAAAAGAGGAGACCATTAAAATAATGCCAGCAGTAACCTCAAAGAGACTCAACAAGAGGAGATCAACTCTGACAGACACACAAGAAAACCGTACTAGGCTTCTATAAAAAGAAGCAGTAAACACTTTTTTAAAGATTATGGAAATTAAAGAATAAATAAAAGTATGTGAAATAAAAGTAAAGGAAATGCCCCAAAGGAAAGAAGAGAACAAGAAAAATTTTAGAGTTTAGAATATCATTGCAAGGAAACACATCCAATAGGAATTAAAGAGAAAGAGAACAAAAATGATGGGAAGCAATAATCAAAGTAATAGCTGTAAAAAAGATATGCATCTTGAGATAAAATGCGTTTGTCAATCACTGAATAAGATGAAAATTTAATTCAACTTGGAGATCAAGAGTGTGAGATTAATTTTACAGAACAGAGCATAACTGCCATTAATCGTCAAAATTTAAAGTCAAAACAGCAGAAGCTGGAAGACAAAGCAGAGCCCAAAATTTCTTTCTTTACTGAGCAAGAGGACAAGGCATATTTCTAAATTCCATAGGTCAAAAATAGAGTTAAGTATATATTATATGATGTTATAAATATAACTAATATATAAACTTGAATTTTTAAAATGTTCTGTAAGAAACTGTAAGGAGGAAAGAATAGGAACTAAATTTCCCATCTGTTATAGCATGTAGCTGATGTTTAATGCTGGTCAACCAGGAAACAAGTGAAAGCATAATATTGAATTAGGGCTTATAGCCACCAAAAAAATTAAAATTAAAAAAATGGTGAAAGGAATTACATCTAGAAAGAAGGACTTGGAGATGGAAATGGAAAGAAATTTAGCATTTCAGTTTGTAACCTTCTCCACGATTGAAATTGTTGATACTCTCCATGAGGAATCAGTTTTAGAATAAATAAACAAATATGCATGTGTCTAAACATATGCTTCCAAATTGAATTGAAAATACCTAGTATTATAAATTCCAGTTGCGGTTGCAATGTGATAACACAGCCAGCCATGCTTCTCTGTGGAGGACGAGATAGTAAATATTTTAGGCTCTTCGGGCCAGGCTGTGTCTGACAAGCCCTCAGCTCTGCTGTGCAATGTGAAATCGGCCGTTTAGAGAAAGCGTCATAAGTGGGCACAAGTGTGTTCCAATAAAATTTCATTTCTGGACACAGAACTTATATTTCAGATAATTTCTGTGTGTCAAGGAATATCATTCTTCTGATTTTCTTTTACTGATTGAAAAATGGAAAACCCAGTCTTAGTTCATGAGCCATACAAAAATAGGCAGTGGGCTGGACCTGCCTCATGCACCACAGTTTGCTCTGAAGAGATGACAGGAGGGAGTCCTTTGCCTGCCCAGCGGGCTCCCCACATCCCTCCTCTGGGACTACGCCCTTTTCAATGAGGAAAGTGTTCCCCAGACCTATGCTGGGGCTGATGGACCACTTCTCTCTAGCAGCAATAGAGGAGAGACAGCAGCCTGCCCCATCAGTAAACCCCAGGCCCCTGCCCCAGTTCTTGATTTAGACACGTGAACAGGTCAGACCAGGAACTCTGGTGAGATGATCAGAAGAGAGGCACTCACTCCCTTTCTCTTGCTGGGGTTGCTAAACCATAAGGACAATGGAAGCCTACAGCTCCCTGCCACCACCTATGCAATTATGCAGGATAACCTTCCAGAGAAGGATGATGTGATGGTTAATTTCATTTTATCATCTTGGCTGGGTCGTGGTACCCAGTTTTTGGTCCAACAACAGTGTAGATGTTTCTGTGAAGGCATTTTTTAGATGTGATTACCATTTAACTCGGTAGACTTTGAGTAAAGTACCTGACCCTCCATATTATAAGTAGGTGAACCTCATGCAATCAATCAAAGGCCTTCAAAAAAAGACTGAGATCACCTAAGTCCAGTTAGGCTTTCTCCCACCACTCTGACTGATCTCCCACACCTAAGGAAGAAGGAATTCCATCTCCACACTGCCTTCAGACGCCAGCTACATGGACTCTTCCTGGGCTCCCCGCTGCCATCCTGCCCTGTGACATTCAATCCCCTCTCAATCTCTCTCTCTCTTTCTCTTTTCATATATATATATAATATATAATATATATTATATATATTATATATACTATATATTATATATATTATATATAATATATAATTTATATATTATATAATATACATATTATATATAATATGTATATTATATATAATATATATACACACATATATTCATATATATACATATATGTACATATATTCATATATGTACATATATACTCATATATGTACATATATTCATCTATATACATATATATTCATATATACATATATTCATCTATACATGCACACACACACACAGTCTATCCTATTGATTCTGTTTCTCAGCCCAAAATCAAGAGTCAGGGCAAAAGGGTAATCTTGATGATAATTTTGAATCAGATCATATCATATCTGAATCTGTCACTCTTGAATATCCCAACTGAAGAGCCCATAGATTTTCTTTTTAAGAAAAATAGTACTAGATTGATTCTATTACAAACAGTTGATGGATTCTTGATTGATACATAAGTAATTCAAGCCAAAAAAATTGCTAATGGCATTTTATTTCTTATATATATATATATGTTTGACTCCAAGGTCAAAAAAAAATATATATATATATATATATATATATTTGACATGGAGTCTTGCTCTGTCATCCAGGCTGGAGTGCAATGGCACCATCTTGGCTCACTACAACCTCCGCCTCCTGGGTTCAAGCAATTCTCCTGCCTCAGCCTCCCAAGTAGCTGGGATTACAGGCGTCCACCACCGTGCCCAGCTAATTTTTGTAGTTTTAGTAGAGACAGGGTTTTGCCATGTTGGTCAGGCTGGTCTCGAACTCCTGGTCCAAGTGATCCGTCTGCCTCAGCCTCCTAAAATGCTGGGATTACAGTGAGCCATAAATATTTTTATTAATAAAACACTGAAGGTATGTAAGTCAGAAAACCATTCAAAGGGGCAAAAATAACATTCATATACACATACACCTATATAAACACTACTTCTATATTCAAAGCTGCCAAAAATTCCAACCAAACAGGACAGACCCCTAGGCTTTAATGCACTAGAATTGCTTCAATTCGTTGCTTTTCAAGAAAGATTTTATTTCCCCAGCTGATCAGAGAGCACACTTGGAGAAAAATCTGTTGATATTCCCCTTGCTGAGTCTTAAATAGCCCGAGTATGTGTGATATATCTTTTGTAGTGAGTACTTTAGAGGAAAAGCATTGCTTTTAAATCTCATGCATGCCCCAAATGTAATGTGAAGTAAATTCCACTGTGAATGAGCTCCTGCCATGTCTAAAAACTGAATTGTAATATGCAAGGTTTCTCTGAGACAGGCCATTTTTTGGTGTTCTTAAAAGCAGCAAAGCTAAGAGGATTGATAAATTTTAAATCTCTCCAGCAGATTTCATGTAAAGCAGCAAGTTTATATCTTTGTGCAATTTTAGCAGCAAAGACGTGAGTAATTCAACCTGAGGTTTCTCAGGAACTCTATTCAGTCCAATTAAAAGGGCAGGGCACCTCTTAACACAGCGAAGCCATGGACAGTCATCATAATGATGCCTCGCTGGAGTTTTCATTCAGGGTCAGAGATGAACCTGGTTTCAGAGGGTGGTCTCTGAAGGCGACCGCCTTGTTTCCAGCCCATTCTAAAATTATCAGAGTGATAATTAAAAGCTGCAAATCAGACAAACCTGTCTGGCTGCTGACCGCTGCCAAATCAAAGCACCCGTGTTTCCTCTGTGACCCTCTCATCCCTCGGTGTTGAGGGTCTCTTTTGAACTCAGAAGAGCGTATCCCCTTTCCTCAGATCCTTCTCAAATCCATAGGAATAAAATGAGAACGGCAGTGTCAGCTCTCATTTGTTGAGCAAATACTCCACGCCGGGTACTTCACCAGCTTTTCCTACATGATCTCCCTGCATTCACATCATAACCTCGTGAGTGGAGTCTTATTTCCAATTTAAAGATAGAGAGGTTGAAGGTCAGCAAGGTCAGTGAACTGGACTAAGATCACAAAGCTCTTAAACAAGGGAGCCGAATTCAAACCCAGAGCTGCCAGCTCACCACGCCTGTTCTTCCCACTGCTCCATGCTTGCCTGAAAAACTGCCTCTGGGCCCTAAGGCTGAAGCTAGGAAGGAGTATATTATCATAAAGACACGGAGGCTCTGGCTTGCTTTCTTCCTCCACACCTCAGATCACTCCCCGAAATACTAAAGCTTACTCAATAACCCAGAAAAAGCCTTCCCAGAGGCACTTCCGCGCAACTAACTGAAGTTAAGGCCTCCACAGCCAAGCCACTCTTAACTCACCCGCAGAGGCCACCCATCCACCTTTAACACAGTCCCATGGCTAAACCGAAAGTGGCCCAAGGGACATTCATGTTCACAGATAAGACTTGCAAATATTGGCCCCTCAGTAACAGTCACACAGGCTGCTATGCATGCCAAATATGAATTGAAATATGCAAAATAAATAGCTGAACATACAAATTGTTTTTCAGGAAAAAAGCCATTTGCAGGTGCAAATGCAAATTGAGACTATACAGGCATGGACTGTGCAAATAAGGTGTCAGGACATCCACATTTCATCTCTTCAGCGCCAAGAATTTTAGAGCTTCTCTTAATGTGTGTGTGAATATTTCATGTGTGTGTTTTGAAGGAGGTAGAGTATTACCTTTCTTAAAATTCTCTATGAAAGGCAGATTACAGCAGGAATTAACTTCTTTTCAAATGTATAAGCTTTTCTGAAATATTGAACCTTATTCTCATTACCCAGTGTGTTAGGAATGGGGTAACCTGTGTCATTCCTCCTTAAGAGCTTTTTCCCTTTAAAATGATTTTATTGGCTTCCAAAGAAACATTTATTTGAATCATTCGATTTTATAGGTTCTTCTATTTTCCTTTCCAAGGTCTTATCAGTTACATGCCATTGACACTGACTGGGTGGTTTTAATGGTTAAAACGACTGGAGAAGACTGCATTACAATGTTAAATTCCACAGTCTTAATCATGTATATTTTCTTTCTAATTGTGGCAAAATACCCAAAACATAAAATTTACCATCTTAAACATTTCGAAGTTCACATTCAGTGGCATTAAGTACATTCACATAGTACTTAATCTTCAGCATTCATTTCCAGAACTTTCTCATCTTCCCCAGCTGAAACTCTATACCCATTAAACACTAACTCCCATCCAGCCTCCCCTCCTTTCCTGAGATCCACCATTGCACTTTCTTTATCTATGAATCTAAGAGCTTCATATCATTGGAATCACGCTGTATGTATCCTTTTGTGACTGTATTATTTCACCTAGCATAATGTCCTCAAGGTTCACCCATGTTGCAGCATATCACAGAATTCCCTTCTTTTTTAAAGCTGAATAATATTACCTGGTATTTATATAGCACATTTTGTTTATCCATTCATTCGTCAACGGACACTTGGGTTGCTTCCACCTTTTGGCATCATGAATAATGCTTCTGTGAACACGGATGCATAAATCCCAAGACCTTGCTTTCAATTCTTTTAGGTATATACAAAGAAGTGGAATTGCTAGACCACGTGGCAGTTCTATTTTACAGAACTGCCACGCTGTTTTCCACGGCACCTACACCATTTTATACTCCCACCAACAACGCACAAGTATTCCAATTCTCCACATCCTTACCAAAAACCTATTTTCTGTATTGCTGCTGTTGCTGTTTTCAATAGTAGTCATCCTAATGGGTGTGACGTGGTATCTCATTGTGGTTTCGATCTGCATTTTTCTAATGATTAGTGACGCTGAGCATCTTTTTAATGTGCTTATTGGCCATTTGTGTATCTTCTTTAGAGAAATGTTTATTCACGAACTTTGCCGATTTTTTAAATCAGGTTGTTTTGTTGTTGTTGTCGTTGCGGAGTTGTAAGAGTTCTGTATATAGTCAGGATATTAACCCCTTATCAGATATATGATTTACAAGTATTTTCTTCCACTCTCTGGGTGGCCTTTTATTTGCTAGCGCTCTTGAACGCACACAAGTTTTTAGTTTTGATGTACTCCAACAACAGTCATGTGCCACGTGACGACATTTGCCTTGATTGACTTCAGCTGGGCCATGTGCATTGATCAACTCAAATGTTTTGCTGCTCTGCACATGTTCACAAAGGACCATAAAAGCACTCCAAGTATTCATTTAGGGGTTACAAATACATTTTAGCAAGTAGGCAAATTCACAAAAATCAAATCCACAAATAATGATAATCTACATGTATACACATATAACACATACACACACACACAGACATTTTACTTTGCTTCAGGGATCTTTGTCTTTCTGGCATCCATTGAGATAGGAAGAATGTAATGTGCAGAAACAGTAGAGAATAAAGATGAACATGCTCAGGCTGGGTCCCCTGTCAGGGCCTTCGATATTATTTATTTGGACCTGCCCTCCCCAAACTAATTTGCTCTCTGTCACCCATAGACATCATTTCAGGAAGCACGGAGAAAAAAAAGATGTGTATTCTAACTCTGAAATTATATTCTGCATGGTTGTTTGGTCCAAATCACTGAATTTTCCAAAGAGAGGTCAGGTTAAATCAAGTCTCTAGGCTGTTTAACAAATACTGGCTATTGTGGAGGTAGATGCGCCTGACTAGCAAAACTCAATGTCCTTAAGCATTCACAACACATCCTTTTGGTTCTTTGGCTGGTTACCATGCAGCTTACAATAGGATGAGGCTGTCTGAACAACTACTATGACATCTGGCCAGTGTGGCCATAAGGTATTTCACTGGAAATTAGCGGAAATGCTGTGTGGCTATGCTCATTTCTTTTGAACTGCACTAATCTGGGTGCACAACTGAGGCCCAGCAATGCTGAACTTCTCAGCAAGACTGAGATCCCAGCCTCTGAGCACTGAAGGCTGAAGGCAGACTTAGGCCTACAGTGAATCCAGGTAAAAAGGGATCTTGTGGAGGCTCCCGGCTCTTCCAGTTGATTTCTCCTGTTGAGACTCTCTCATGCCTTTCCAAGCAAATGAGTTGATTTTGTTTAAAGTTAAAATAGGGTTTTATGGTTTTATGTTGGCTTTATTTCCTATTTCTAGCGTTTACAATGAATGCTGTATATCTTTATGTATGTTTGCACATCTTTGTGTCAAAAAATACAAATTATATTCATATTGCTTTTCCATTTTTCTTTATTCTATGTGTAAATCATAGAACTATCTCACTACTTTCTTTGAGGCTTGTGACTCCTCCCAGGGGAATAGACTGCGCCACGTATACCTCTGGGACAAACCTACATCTTTCGCACTTGTATCCCAGAAGCTAAAGTAAAATTTTTTAAAAAGTTACAATGCAAGGATTCCACAGTTTCAGTTTTTGTAATCTATCTGCCTAGGCCTGGAAAGATGATGTTCCGAATGAGGACGTAGAGGGGAATACACTTGGTGTATTCGCTGCAGATAATAGTTTTGTATGACTTTCTCGTGTGATCTTGGGCATGTGACAAAAATGTTTTGAACTAAGTTTCAGTACCAGGAAAAGGACAACAATGTTTACCCCACAGGACTGGACAACTAAATGAGGACTTTCCTGCCCACTGATACTGACACGTACCGCACTATTCAGGTGTCCACTATTCAGGTGAGTGGACAATTCATATGTAATTTATGGGATTTTCAAGTGTCATTTCCACTCCAGGGTTTTTGCCTCACCTGCTGTTATTAAGAACCTTGGTTAGGTGTAACTCCACTGTAAGCCTTTGAATGGCAGTAAGTCTAGAGTCTTCAGAAGATCTCCTTGGGCTATTTCTAAGTCAGGCTCTGGATGACACACAACTAACCATGGAGACGTGTCCCATATCACACAAGTGTTTGTTTGTTAATAAAAGCTATGACTGGGGCAGAATGGCAAGGGAGAGCAACAGAGTCCCAAAAGGAACTGTCATCAGGCCTTCCAGCAGGACTTTCATTTCTACTTAAAAAACAACAACCAAGGATAATTTTTGACAATTCAGCTTCATGGTTCATGTCAACATCTGGTTCTGACAATAACCAGAAATATTACTTCAAGGGTTCCTAAGCACCACATTTCCCAGTTTTATATTCACTATCTAGAATAACTCTTTGGAACAATTTTTAGGTATTATAAAATAGTTTTTAAAGATGATTGATCTTATCCATAATCAAAACAGGTAAAATATCATTAAAATGAGTAGGACTACATTAATATACAGAGGTAGATTGTCATTGTAGATGCTTTAAGTGCAAGGAAAGTCAACGAGTAACGAATTATTCTAACTTTTATTTGATTATTTTCATTTACAGTTCTGGCACTGACACTTATTTTTAAAAAAAGATTTTAATTTTATGTAAAGATTGAACATCACTAAAATAACTTAACAAAAGAAAAAAAAGAAGAAAGAAGAAATAGACTGTACCTTCAGGTCTTCTTGTGGGCTGGATTTTGTCCCAGTCAAAAAGATAAATGTTCAAGTCTTAACCTCCTCTCCTTATGAACGTGACCTTATTTGCAAGTAGGTTCTTTGCAGTTGTAATCAAGTCAAGACGAGGTCATACTGGATGAGGGTGGCCCTAATCTGACTGGAGTCTCTATAAGAAGAGGGAAATTTGAACACAGACACACAGGGAAGAAGACCTCACGGAAGCAGAGATTGGCGCAATGTATCTGCAAGCCAAGGAACAGCAAGGATTGCTGACAACCATCAAAGGCCAGGAGAGGCAGGGAAGGGTCCTCCCCCAGTGTCTACACAGAGAACGTGGCCCTGCCCTCATTTTGACTTGTGACTTCCAGACTCAAGAGCTGTGAGAGAATACATTTCTGTTGTTGTAAGCCACCTATTTTGTGATAATTTGTTATGGCAGCCCTAGGAAACTAATACAGCTGCCTTCTCTGGAAATGTTATTGGTTGCATAGTGCTTTGTCTCTTCCATTCCAGAGGATAATTCTGTAATTGAATGTAGTAAGAAGTCATCTATATAATTTTCTCATTTTATAGGTAAGGAAACTGAGATCTAAGGACAACATTCGTAGTAGATCACAGAGACGTAATGGGAAGAGTCAGAAAAATAGCACAATCTCTTGACTATTTGTCTTGTGCTTTTCTTCAATGCACTCTCTTGCAAAGGAATTTAGAACTAATGGTTGAAAAAACAAGCAAATATGTAACTCTTTATCATCTTTTCAAACTATCGTCACAGATTTAGCCATAATCACAAAGCATATTGAAGGCTACAGGAACCAGCATCTCACTGTTCCAAATGCAGCTTGCTTTGTTTTTGCTTGGTTCCCAAAGTGTTTTTTTAAATATAACTATCATATTGTTCATTGCTATAATAATATTTGCAACTAGATTCAGACTTGCATCATTTAATTCATGACTCTAACAAGTGAAGCATTTTCCACCTCCCTTTCCCCAAATGCCCCCCTCTTCACACATGTACGCCTAGGGACACATATAAACCTCATCAGTGTTGACACCTTGATTGGACTATTAGATATGTATGAAAAATCCATACATTAATATATTTTCCAGTGACTAAGATCTATTTTATGAGATCTGTGTCCAGTGTGCAAATAATAATAACAGAAAGCTCAGCTCCAGAGATCAGAGGTGGGGAGGGCATGTTACCCCTACTGATGGCAAAAAGCACCACCCCCATCACATCAAAGACAGGGATTTCAGAGCTTGTCATTGTATTATTTATAATTAAACAAAAAATCTGATTTTACAAGGCTGAGGAGAGATAAAATTTGGGCTATTTTATTAAAATTTTAGATTAAGATATAGAACTACTAAACTCACAGGTTAAAATTCATAGAGTAAATACTCTTGTTCACTTTTTACTAGTTATCTAATAATAAGAAGAAATTTACTTTTCTGAGTTCCAGGGAACAACATTGAATGCTCTTAAACATTACTATCTAGATGTATAGTTCCTGCTGCTTTTTGATAAATTAATTTTATTTGCAAACTATGGTTATCTTAAAAGAAATTTCATCAAACCTATTTTACATTGCTTTACTTTTTAGTCACCAATATTCATGAAAATATAGTACCATTTTTGCTTTTTGGTACTGCATATATGGTGGGACTTATTTTGTCATTAAGTTTATTATGCTTTATTGCTATGTATGTACCAATATTTACGGATTTACTGACAAGAACATGTTTCTAGCCATGAAATTTTATAGCAGTTTTTCAGTTTTTGTATATTATTACTGTATAATCCGATTTAATGAATTCTCTGGTTTGAATAAACACACATATTTATGTATAAAACTATATGTGCATGAACATATATTCATGTGTATTTATTAATATTATGCTATTCTATTTTGAAACTACTTTAATATCACTATAATGCATGTAAATGAAAGGTCCTTAATATTTCATCAGACAATTTTCCTTCTGTAATTAAGAAATATCTTATACTTCAGCTAGTCTTAACCACTGGTAAACTGAGACTGTTAATAGCCTATAGCTTTACTAGTATGGTAACCATCAACCACATGTGGCTATCTAAACTTAAATGAATTAAAACTAAATAAAAATGAAAATTCAGCTCCTCAGTTGCACCAAGTACATTTCTAGTGTTCAATGGACACACGTAGCTAGTCATCTCTTTATTAGATTTTGCAGATATAAAGTGTGTCTATCACTGCACAAAGTCCAAGTGGGTAGTACTGGTCTCCAGCATTAAATGCTAGAACTAAAAGTTTTTTAAAAATAGCTTTTTCAAGAAGCATATGAATATGGCCAACTTATGTATTCCAAAGAATAAATTTTTAAGACTTTGTACAACAAATGTCAAAAGAGAAGGAAAAATAAAGGATCTATGTATTTTTGCATAAAGTACTAAATATCCAGATGTCCTACACCAAATTCCTTCTGTTTTATGTTGTGCCAAGAATTGGCATGCTTTCTACCACATGCCTAGCATGGGTGCCAGACTGCGATCATCCTTAGTTACATTGCTGAGAGGGTACATGTCAGTTAAGGGTTTAGCTAGCTTTCTGCCAACATCCTGATTTAATTCTAAATTGCATGGCAAATAAAATAATAACGTGAATTTTACGTATAACCTCTTTTCATTCATGATATAGGTAAGTGTCAGATAGATATATGGATAAAATATACATAATTTATATGGTAGCATTACACTTTAAAATACATATAAATTTTTAATTAATGTTTTACCATTATCGTATGATAATTAAAAATGTATATTAATTGTTAGATAAAGTTTGAACCTGCACCCTGAAGAAAGGAAGGGAAGACTAAGAAAATTCATGTAAAATACCTCTGCTAATGAAAAATAAATTATCAAAACTGATAGTAAAAAGAAGTAAATTGGGGCCCTAATTTAAATTTCCCCTTCTTGTCATTCATAATTTCTAGTTTTCAGTTTTACTATGACTGTTAGATAAGAAAAATGACCAAAGCATGCCATTGGTCTTTAATAATTCTTTAATAATATGTCACATACCGTGCTCAGGGGTCAGTGCTCAAACACCATAGAGAAGGCTGGCAGCTGCCCAGGAGCTTCTGCCTAACAAACGAAATAATAGTTTCAAAGATGCAGGGGTGCTCCAGCCAACAACAGGAAGAAAGGTTTTCTTATTTTTCACATAGATTAGTGTTGGAAAGGTGTGTGCTACTAGGAAAGAATTTGACTTCAATAGTGCAAGAAGCCTGTCAAAAACCCACAGCAACATCCCAGGACGTCTGGCAGCAGAGATGCAGTCTGTCTGGCAGTGGAGACACTACTCCCATCTCTTTTCCCAGTCATCAAAATGAAGAGTTTCATTTCACTATTTCTCAGCAGACAGTTCTTTCTCAGAAAAAAATTAAAATAGCATATAGAATATATTCAAACTGTAAATTTTATGAAAATTACATTAATTTAAGATGACACACTATGAAATGCCTAAATATTATGAGTGCTCATTTAACTATTACACACCAACCTACCATGGAAGAATCCTAGTGCTCACTGTGGCACAAGTAAAGATAAGCACAACTGATAAAAATAATAAGGAAAAGAAGAAGGATTCAATGAGTGTCAATTACTAATTCCTTTTGTTGTCTGTTGCCACTTTCGTTTTAATATCCTTTGGTTTTCTTGACTTCTTTAGCTATTTTGTCTGGAAAACTCAGGATAGGAAAAGAAAAATAATCAAGATAAGTAAAAAGAAAGTATGTGTCAAACACCACATGTTCTCGCTCACAAGTGGGAGTTGAACCGTGAGAACACATGGACACAGGGAGGGGAACATCACACACCAGGGCGTGTCAGGGGGTGGGGGGATAGGGGAGGGATAGCATTAGGAGAAACACCTAATGTAGATGACAGGTTGATGGGTGCAGCAAACCACCATGGCACGTGTGTACCTATGTAACAAACCCTACGTTCTGCATATGTATCCTAGAACTTAAAGTATAATTTAAAAAATTGTAAAAAAGAACGTGTGTATGTAGTTGATTGCAGTGTAAATTTTTTGTAATGAATAAATTGTACATTTGTGTATTAATATTTTACCATATCTCCAGTATCATGCTATGCCCTAAAAGAGACATTGGTTTCAGCAAGGTAAATCTAACTGCATAAGTACATATGTGACATGCCTTAAATAACTTCCAGAATCTAGTAGAGTGTTACTTAACTAATTAGAACACATACATAATTATATAACAAAAAGTATATGTAGTACCAGGTTGTCTAGTATAGACATGTCTTTATCACGTAATAATGGTTCAATTATAGTTCAGAGAAGGGAGAATGCTACAATTAGCTGAATTCACCTTGATGAAGGAAATGGAATTAATTTGGCCTTGATGAATTATTCAAATACATAGGGGAAGAAAGGAAGAAGAATGGTCCTCCTAGGGCTGCAAAGAAACTGAATCAAAAATGAGCATCTGAGTTCAGAAGGCAGTTCAGGCTTGACTGAACAGAATTTTTCACGTGCACTGTACCGTTATGAAAAGTCAGGGTGCAAAGATCAGATAGAGGCCCATATTAAGTACTCAAAGATACCTTAAAAAGCAGGCAAAACTCTCCGAGTTAAATGGCAGAGTAGACATATGCCCTTGCCACCTGTTTGCCATAAGCCTCCATGAAATAAAGCCTATAAGTACAATCCAGGTTCTCAAAGACAACGGTGTGGAGAGGGTCAACAGCAACGAACGAGTGATTTCAACAGATTTCTTTCTTTCTTTCTTTTTCCAGTGCATAGCATTGCACGCTACAGAGAAATCTTTCGTGAAAGGAAGAGTCAATCGATGCAGCAAGCTTCCCTGTTTTCTTATTTTAAGATTTCAACAGATTTCTGAAGGTCAGCCAGGAGGGCCTGCGCTGCGCTGCCACACCGTTGAGGAGCTGCAGAGAAGGCCAGAGACGCTCAGCCACGAGGTCAGGAAGGGCTCTCGGCTCGGAGTCAGAAGGCATTGGCTGAGGGCTGAGGTTGAGGCAGGCATGCTGCTGAAGAGAGAAACAGTGACTGAATCAGCACTTCCATCCCTCAATCCTTATCCAAAATGGAAAGCAAGTAACAGCTGATATTTCCCCAGTGCCAAACCCCAGAGGTTCTCCTCCAAGAAACTGAAAGGAATGTTGGGGAAAGCTGATGCTCCTAACTTGGAAGGTGGCATTCCAAATTAAAAATATTTGTTGTTGTTGTTGTTGTTACTATTTGAGGGACTTGCATCTCACAGCTAGCTCCTTACCCACTTCCTGTGAAGAAAGAGTCCTAAGCAGCGCTGTGTGCTGACCTCCATACACCTTCACGTGCTACTTTTTAAAAGTCTGGTAGGAGACCTAGCCAGCAAAGAGCCGCACACACTATCCCCCATCATCCATCCTCCGATTCTGTTTTGAGCAGCTGTGCAGAACTGCCTCTTAGGGCCTCAGCAACATTTCTGATTCTTTTGATTGCAAAGACTAGGCGCCTGGAAACGTTTCCTAGACTGACTCCGCGGAAGGCACCTGCACAAGCGCCGGATGGCAGAATGGCTGCAGCCGGCCCTGCGCATGCTCCCTGCGCCGCGCATGCTCCCTGCGCCACCCCTGCTCCGCAAGAGAGACCTGCTGGGCCCGGACTCACCTCCGCGCTTCCCATGGTTTTGTAGTTTCCAGTTCCCTTGGTTCAATTACCTCCTGCAAAGACATACCCAGAGTTGTTTCTCTTCTTGAATGAAATGCGACTCATTAGGCATGTATATAAGAGAAACTCAGCAAATAAAAAACGAATTTCAAAATATCAATGTGGAAGAATACCTGGCACTGGAGAAAAGAGAGAATTTAGAGAAGAGACAATCATTAAAAAAAAACTAAAAAGTTCAATTACTATGCTTCCACAAATTTTAAAATATGGTAAATCCATGAAACACAAACAAGATATTATAGAAAAAATTAGAGAACAAAGAATCTCTCAAATAATGAAATACAATATCTGAAATAAATGACTCCAGGCAAAGATTTAGGAACAACCGTGAGGAAATCTAAAACAAAAAGATAAACAGTTAATGAGATTGGAAAATATAAAAGATGACAAGAAATTTAAAGACATGAAATTATCAAATAAATGATAAAAGAAATAGCTGGGTGCAGTGGTGTGCACCTGTAATCCCACCTATTTGGGAGGCTGGGGCAGGAGGACTGCTTGAGCCCAGGAGTTAAGGCCAGTCTGGGCAACATACCAAGACACTGTCTCAAAAAAAAAAAAAGATATTAGAAAATGTCCAAGAACTAAAGAAATACATAAATATTTTGACTGAAAGAGAAAACTGATTCCCCAGCACATTTTTTTAAATTCACCTCTTGATTTTTTAAAAAAGTATCTTCATCTAATTATTGATCAGCTAGACATAAAGAATCATGATGTGATAACAGGGCATAAAACACAGTGTTTGTTTTATAAAAGAATTTTCTTGAACTAGAGATAAACTGTGTTACACAGTGGACCATGGAAATATTTAAGCAAAATGAATTTATGCAAGATGTAGAACTCTTTTCTATGTTGTTCATTAAGACATGGAATGGTTTCAATGTTTTCAAAATATCAAAATATACTCTTTAGTGGAAGATAAAATGATTTATAATTAAGGCTTGGGAACAAACTCAATCTGCTGCTTTTTACTTATTAGTGAAATGGAGCATATTATTTAGAACAGTTTCAGTGAACCAAAGGCAGAGGAAAAATGTTCTTTACCACTTTTGAGAGTCAGCTGCTAGGGAGAGAGACTTTCTGTTGTGGATGGTGCACAAGGTTCCTCCCACATGCCAGCTCCACACTATTTGTTGTGACAGTTTGGAAGGCTTTGCTGAAAAGGATTTTAAGGTTTCGTCCTGGCTCAGTGGGAAAGTGTCATTATGGGTTAGCAATTTATCCTTTGTGTTATTATATTAGTCCATTTGCACACTGCTGATAAAAACATATCTGAGACTGGGAAGAAAAAGATGTTTAATGGACTTACTGTTCCATGTGGCTGGAGAAGCCTCACAATCATGGCGGAAGGCAAGGAGGAGCAAGTCACATCTTACATGGATGGTGGCAGGCAAAGAGAGAGCTTGTGCAGGGAAACTCTCATTATTAAAACCATCAGATCTTGTGATACTTATTTACTATCATGAGAACAGCATGAGAAAGATCTGCCATTACCTCCCACCAGGTTCCTCCCACAACATGTGGGAATTCAAGATGAGATTTGGGTGAGGACACAGCCAAACCATATCAGTTATAGAATGGGAGATCACTACATATATTAGCCCTGCCTTTAACCATTTTGGTATACCCTGTTCTCAAAATTCCTTCCATATTCTCATATTAGGCTTGTTGCTAACATAATGAGAAGGTAACATTGGAAACATATGTGTATTGTCTTTATGTCATTTTTTCAGAATGATTTAGATCTTTTGATTGTAGGTTCCAGGCAACATGGACCTCATCCATTAAACAAAACAAAACAAAACAAAAGCTTTGAATGTATATACCTGGTGCTTTGCTAAGTAATAGGGATACCAGTATGAATCAAACATAATCCTTATCCTCAAGAAGGTGGCAGTCTAGTGCTAGAGAGATATAAATAAATTTAAAGTGAGAATGCAATGTGAGAAATATTTCCATTTTTATTGCACAGAACACTACACTATCACAATGAAGGGCAAGCCATCCTGGAGAGGGCAGGGGAAGGAATTCCTATAAAAGGGAGAACTTTAGAAAGAAAGCATAAAGAATAAGTCAATATTTGCCAGGTGGCCAAAGATGATGGGTGGTGAGAAAAGGCATTCTGTGTATAAATAAGAAGGAGAGAACATGTGTAAAAGCGGAGAGGTACTAAACAGTGCAGAATAATCTTGTCTGACAGTTGTGAGTGTGGGTGAAAGAGGTATGTGGAATGGATACAAAAAAAAAAAAAAAAAGAATGAGAAATTAGCCACAAAAACCAGGTTGGTTCAGACTGTGGAACACCTATTCTCTGCTAGAGGTTTGGGGCTTTCTCAAACAAAGCTATGGAATTTTGAAATTATACAGTCCCTTTGAGTCCTGGTTCATGGGTATTGGCTTCCAAAGCAGCCAAGGAGCTGACCACCTGTAAGGTCTCAGGGACAGTAAACAAAGTGTCATCTTGTGCATTCCAGGGATGCATCCAGGTATCTGTTACTCCAGTTCATAATCCATCCGGTACTGTTGCTTTTAACAGGTCCCTAAAAGACTTGTAAGGTTTTATTTTTCACTTGATCTTGACCACCTACACATGATCTTCCATTCCTTCCATAACCTCTCCCCTCAACACAAACCACCCCATAAGAATGATGCTAAATATCTATTATTCACTGTCACCAATAGTAGTTTCTCATCACCTCCACTATGTCTGTGCAATCTGGATTACATGTAATCACATCACTCCCTTAGTTATATTCTTATCTTTCTGTCCCTTTTCCTTTGTAATTCACCAGGTGAAACCACAACCTTGGGCCAACCTAAGCATTCTGCTTCTGTTTCTTCACTGTGCTGTAGAGGAAATCTCACAAGCCGGTATGGGTCAGTGATGCACTGGCCTAAGATTGTGTTTTCCTGACAGTCAGTGGTTAAATATGCAGAAATTTTTTGAGCCACTTCTTAAACCACCAGTGGTTTGTTATGAACCATGTTTGAATCAACAAAATTGGTGTTTGAACCAACAAAATTAGCAAACCCTCCAAATCAGAGCATTTGACTTTTTTTCCCCAAAAAAATGTGATTTACTACCTTGCCACCATCATTTTCTGTTCTCCAAACCCACCCAGGCTCTCGTCACTACCAGGAGATCTTTCTTAGTTTCATTATCCACTGTTCTCTCCATTCTCTGTGACACTTGTTTTTCAAAACATCACTCTACTCAAAGCTCTCATTCTACCTCCTCCTTCACTCTCCTCACACTTCACAAGGAAAATCAATACATCAGCATTCTGCCATTCCTCCCACATGGCAGTTTCTCCCATTCCTCCATTCTTATTTTTCACTCTTCCTTCTTGTTACAAGGTTGTCCTTTTTTGCCTCAATTTTACCCCCTTCTGCCTCCTGAGGGGCTTCTGTTCAACTGTCAATCTCTTTTTTAGCCTGTATATAGACGAGTTTATTGTTATTACCTTATCAACACTCCGAAATATCTCTAATTTTAAACAATGTCCCTTGGCTCCCTGTATCCCTCCAACAATTCCACACTCCTCTCCTTAGGACAAGCTGGCCTTTGTGAAGGCTATCTCTCCACAAATGGCCTTCCCCACTCTCCTACGGTGGCTCAGGAGCCTGATTCAGAATTGCCACCTACTGTCTATTGCTTTCTACCTCTGTGTCCTTAGACAAGTGCCTCAACCTCTCTTTGCCTCAGTTTCCTCATCTGACAACTAGGGAATATAATAATACTTAATGGAGGAGTTGATATAGCAAACATGGCAAAGCCTCATGAATGGAATCAGTATCTTTATAAGAGAGGCCCCAAAGGGCCACCTGACCCCTCATACCACATGAGGACGCAGGAGGTGGTGATGTCTCTGAACCAGGAAGGGGACCCTCATCAAACACTGAACCTGCCAGCATCTTGATCTCAAACTTCTCAGCTTCCAGAACTGTGAGAAACAAACAGCCGTTGTTTATAAGCCACCCAGTTTGTGGTGGTGTGTTATGTCAGTTGGAAGGGGCTAAGACATGGATGAACACAACATTTCTTTTTTTTTTGAGACGGAGTCTCGCTCTGTTGCCAGGCTGGAGTGCAGTGATGTGATCTCCATTCGCTGCAACCTCTGCCTGCCAGGTTCAAGCAATTCTCCTGCCTCAGCCTCCCGAGTAGCTGGGACTACAGGCGCCTGCCACCACGCCCAGCTAATTTTTGTATTTTTGGTAGAGACGGGGTTTCACCATGTTGGCCAGGATGGTCTCAATCTCTTGACCTAGTGATCCGCCCGCCTCAGCCTCCCAAGGTGCTGGGATTACAGGCATGAACCACCGCACCCGGCCAAACACACATTTCTGAGACAAATTATGCTAAGTAGTGGGCCTCTCTGGTGTCGAGTAAGCAAAAAAGCTGAAACACTTGCAGAAGCTGCTTCTGCAGAATTAGCTTCCTCATTATGTACTGGCTGAATACCCCTGATGCTCCTGGTTAGAGCAACCGACCATGCCAGTCTAACAATAGGTAATATCACACTGTCTGCAGTGAGACTTTGTAAAGTGAATGATGGGTATCATAACGGGGTCTTGTCATGTTCCTCTCTAAAGTGAATCATCCTTCTCCACAGTGAACCATTCATCTCCCCCTTCTCTTGGCAAAGCTGCATAAGCCTGACAGACCTCCATGGAGATATCGCTTCCTCTGAGAGGCCTCCTCACCTCCAATTAGCCCAGGAAGTTCCCCAACTCAGCCCTGCAGCGCTCAGCAGTAACATCATCACATTTTATTAAAATTGTTTATGTATGTATCTTTCTCTCTCTTACAAAACTGTAAGTTCCTTAAGATCAAGGACTGGGTTGTTCATCACCATTTTATTCCCCTGCGTCCGGTATCAAATAGGTGCTAAATGAGTAATCTTGGAATCACTGAAAGGGAACAAACCTAATAGCAGCTCATATGGGAAACTGGCTACTTTATTCACATTGAATAAATATTTTGAGTTCTTCTGATGTGAGAGCAAATGTGTTCTGACCTAGAAATGCAAAGTGAAATGAGTGCAAGACCCTGTTTCTGTGAATCCACATTCTAGTTAAGTCGATAGATACACAGCACAGGTGATTATCACAGAACAGGGGTGAACCCCACTTCTGGGGTGAAAGCTGACTGGTCAAAGCAATCTGGGTAATGCCATCCTCTTGTTCTTAACGTTAATCCAGTTATCCAGGCCTTACTCAAGCAGTTTTGACTATGCCCTGGTCAGACTTTGTTCTAGAAATGAGCACATATTTCAGGGCCAATGAGACACAAGAGAAGTTTTGCTATGATTTCTGGAAAATAAACTCTCACCCTTTTAGAGCTTACCCCTCCACACACATAAAAATATTTTGTCTTCTGCTGGTCTGTGCATGTACAGACCAAAGTCTGGAATTGCAATTTTTTGCTGTCAGGTAGGCAGCCAGTGTTAGGCCCAATCTAACCCATGGAAGGCAGAGAAGAGTGATAAAAAGAACCTGCTCCTTTATGCACAAGAATGAGCTGCTGAACTGAAGCAGCCCTGAAACTGCACCTCACATACGCTTTCCACTATCATTGAACTGTCCCTTATCTCAGCTTTCTCCCTCTATCCCATCACTTATATCTGAAAGTAATTAATTGTAGGTGTGAGAAACAGAACACACAACCCAGATTCCAAGTCTTGTATTTCATTTATTCCTCTGGATGTACTGATAAAAAAAGCTGCTGTGTTGATTAACATGGCCAGTCACTTGAATTAGATGAATTGTAATAAGTACACTCAGACACTAGAGTTTGTTTGGTGGAATTAACAAAACCACTAATGCTTTTGGCATCAGGGAAACATTAGATGTGATTTGAACTACCAAGTGTTCTCTTATAAGACAATTAAAGAAGAAGGAATCATGAGAGAAAGAAAATAATATTACATGAACCTTCAGGAGGAAATTCTAACAGAATAACCAGCCCTCATAGGCAGAATGTGGCCTTCCGTCACAAAATAAATTCCATGCAAGTCATAGAATGGAGCAGAAAAATTCAAGAATAACTTGAAAATCATTGCAAGATGATTAGAAGCAAAATTGTTTCAAGACAGAATTCAAACATTTCTACTTCAGAGACCTGTCATCAAATGCACGAGCCTTGGCTGAACTCCTTTGTACAACTTGAGGTCAAATAAAATACGTTTTTAAGTATTTTGAGAAATTTGAGCATATATTCTCACACTTTTTTTTGGAAAATTAAACAAACCAGTAGCATTCAGAAGTAAAATCCCAGCCCTACAACCTGCATTAAAAGAAGGAAAAACACTGGATCTCATTATTTCTGCTGCTCTGTTCTTTACCCAATTGAAAGTAACTGAAAAGAATTACATATCCATTTATTTCAATGTATTTCAAGAACATTTTGTACGTGATTGTTTTAGAATATTGGTGTTTGGCAATTACTCCACCCATAGTAGGGTTGTGTAGGGGAGTGGTCAGTGGAGACTTTCTGGAGAAAGACCTGAGGGTCTGTTGAAATTGACCACACTGATGGAGGTCAAGATGGGATGAGAGCAGGGAAGAAGAACAGACCTTGCAGCAGAAAGCTCCAAGGATTCAGAAATAAATGCCAGGATTTAAAAGACAGCACAGTTCAGCATGGCTAGAGGAGAGGGAGAAGGACTGGTCATGCTTCTGAACATGCCTTAGTGTAAAAGGACAAGCTGGGAACAAGATGGGTTATTTTCCAGGCGTCTCGCTCCATGTTGGGAAAAGCTTCAGCCTGTCTCCAAAATGTTAGCTGTGGTCTCCATTACTTGTGCTTCCAAGGGAATCCTAGTCTATGTCAGTGGGCCAGCAATGGTATTGGTTTGAGAACAGGATTAATGCTATGTCCTTGATTAAGAACTCGATATAGTTCGGATGTTTCTCTCCTTTAAATCTCGTGTTGAAATGTGACCCCCCCAGCGTTGGAAGTGGGGCCTGGTGAGAGGTGTTTGGGTCATGGGGACAGATCCCTCATGAATGTCTTGGTGCTGTCCTCCAGGTAAGGAATGAGCTCTCACTCTGTTAGTTCTCCTGAGATCTGAGTGTTAAAAACAGCCTGACACCTCCTGCCCTCTCTCTTGCTCCCTCTCTCACCATGTGATCTCTAAGGGTTACGCCAGCTGCCCTTCGCCTTCCATCATGAATGAAAGTTCCCTGTGGCCTCACCAGAGGCAGGTGCTGGTGTCATGCTTCTTGTACAGCTTGCAGAACCGTGAGCCAAATCTCTTTTCTTTATAAATTTCCCAGCCTCAGGTATACCTTCGTAGCAACACAAACAGACTAAGACAGGATTTAAAATGGAATAAGAATTAAATACTAGGATGAGAGACCACTTAAAGCTATTGAAAATAGGAAAGAGTAAGTACTCAATAAGTGTTAGTATTGTTATTTTATTTTATTAATGTAATTACTTATCTTTATATAGCTTTGCTGTTTTCAGAATATTCCCACATACACACACGAAAATCTAATGAAAATATATACCATTTCATCAAACCACAAAGGCTGCCTGAGAACTCTGTGCTGCTCGTGTTATTAAACAAGAAGCACGGGGGCTCGGAGTGTCTCCAGAGCCTGAGGGAATCGGCTCTCCAGGAGTGTCTGTTCACCCAGGAGCGGCTGAGTAAATGGTACTAAGACCGACCTTTGTCAAGCGTGCAAGTCCAGACATTTATCCACAATGCACTTCAATTCATGTGGAAGACATTACACATGTGTCCTATTTCCATCTAATTTCCTTCAGATGAGAGTGAAGAAAGCATTTACCAGGGTGTCAAGATATAAACGAGCCAAACCTTCTCTGTGGTGTTTTCTTCTTTGTCTTCAAGTTATACTCTCAAGCTGTGAACTTTATGATTATATTTAATGGATTTAAGAGTCTAAGGAGGCATAGTATGGTAAAAAAATAAAATTGCATTGGCATGACAGTTAGGTGATATAGATCTCTTGACACTTTATAAATAGCAAGATTGACATTGTGTTTCCATAGATAAGTCACATGAATTGATTGGCAGCCATCCCAACAACCTCACCAGGCTGTCCTGGAAATAAAAATAATGAAATCATAGAAAAGTGCTTTAAAAAGTGAGATGAGTAATGAAAATATCCTTAGGTGTGATGTTTGCATTTATGCTCCCAAATTCTAAGCATCTACATTTGAAAACATTTTAAAGATTCCTTTGCTTCCTTGAAAGAAAGAGAAAGATGACAAGAGTAGGACATTCAACAGGATGGTGAAGGAGATTCATTTTCTTCTATTCTTCTCTGGATTCTTCCCCCAAACTCAACTTCTCAGGAACCAGTCACCTTTTTTCTAATGGTCCCCACCCTCAGCCAACATCTATCCTCTCTATGAGATCAAAATCTTCACTATTTCAGTAACTACAGTCTCTCCCATATTTCAAAAGAAAAGATAATCTAAAACCCTTCTTTGGTTCCACTTTTCCCTTCACCTACAAACCTATATGTTTCTTCTTTATAGCCAAATATGCTTTAAAAGCTATTAATATACATGGTCCCTGTTTCTTCTCCTCCCATCAAGTTACAACCCACTTTAATCTGCCAAGGCTGCTCCTAGGCTTACTCACACCGTGTCACTAAACACCGAAGGTGTTTCTCACTTCTCAGCCCTCTCCTTCTTCATGCAGCAGGGCTGCCCACTCTCCTCCTCCAGGAGAGCTTTCTTCCCTTGGCTTCCACTGGACTTTCCTCCTACCTCTCAATTTTCCTTGCAGCTCATCCTCTTTCTTTCACCATTAGCTTTGGGAATTTTTCAAGGTTCTTTTCTTACCCAATTCTCTTTTTACATATAACCTTTCCCAAATGGATGCTACTGGTGACTACAATTCCAATGACCTCTGTGGCTGACTCTTCACTGACCTGCACTGCTGGTTTCTGCTGTCTTGATAGCCTGTGTATTTTCTTCATAATACATATCACAGTTTGCAATTATATATCTCAGTCATTTGTTGATGAACAACTGTATTCTCCACTCTATTCTAAAATGAATGTGAGAAAGGAGATATGTTTAACTAGCTGCTAAATTCCCAGTACTTAGCACAGTGCTTGGCACCTAATAGGCACTCAATAAAAATGCATAACTGAGTGAATAAAGGACTGAATATAAAATGAATGAATGGGAAAATTTTTAAAACTTTCAAATTTTAAGCTACAGTGGGACACCCAAGCTTTAAATTTTCTCTATATTTTTGTGATTATGAAAACAGTACATGTTTTCTCAATTTATTTAGGTCTCTATTTATATGTTACCTTTTGGAGACAGTGCACCTGACTGCTTGCACTCAGGAAAGATGGCTCACACACCATTGGTGGCCTGGTGTTGTAAGGCCTATGAGAACAGACTTTTTCTGTTGTGTTCATAGCTTGCCCCATATTAGATAAATAAAAAACCCATAATCAGCATTTTGAAAAATATATATGAACATGTAAAGAATAGGGGAAAATATACCCACTCGTAATTCCTTCACTGAAAGGTTTAAAATTTTTCTAAAATATTTTAATATGTCCTCTTCCTCTTTTAAATATATTTTTAACAAAAATAAGGTCATAAAATGTATTTGCCTATCTGCAATTCCAGTTTTTCCTTAATATTTTCCAAGTAGCTAAGGAGACACAATCTGCGAGTGGACTGTCATGGTTCCAATCCCTGATCAGTCCCTTTACTATTTTGTGAGCTTTCAAACCAGACACTTAACATTTTCGAGCCTCCACATCTTCATTTTTAAAATCAGATAATCCTATTAACTGACTCCTTGGCTTGTTATTAAGATTAAATGAGATTAGCTATGAGCCTGTCTTGTGGTGGATGTTAGTTTTGGGGGTGTGTAGCCATTAAAATGGTGCCCAGTGATCCTAGCCTCCTGGTATTCATGTTCTTATATAATCTCCTCCCTTTGAGTGTGTGCTGGACCTAGTGACTCTCTGCTAGGAAATAGAATATAGCAAAAGTAATAGGAATGTCACTTCTGAGATGTGGTTACAAAACCACAGTGCCTTCTGCCTTGTGCATGCTCCCTTGCACTCTCAGTCACTCGCTCTGAGGAAAGCCAGTTGCCATGTTGTGAGCTGCACTAGGAGACAATCCACACAGCAAGGGGCTGAGAAAGGCTGGAGGCCAATAGCCAGCAAGAAACTCAATTCTGCCACAACAACATGAGCGAGGTTGGAAACAAGTTCTCCCTCTATCAAGCCTTCAGATGAGACCACAGCTCTAGCCGAAACTTGATCGCAACCTATGAGAGAACTTGAGGTAGTTGCATTCAGCTAAGCCATGCCTGGATTCCTGACCCTCACAAACTATGAGATAATAAAAGTGTATTGATGTCAAATAACTGACATTTGGGACTAAGTTGTTATGTAGTTTTTATTAATGGTCAGTTTCTAATGTTGAAGTACCTGTGGAGTCTTTTAAAGTATAATGCTTTTCTTTCCCACCAAGTGTTTGAAAAATACAAATAAAAGAATGCTGGGAGATGGAAAATCAATGTATCACTTTTATTGATAAAGGCCATGCTGAAGTATGTGGCTTAGTGTGATAGCCAAATAATCCTCCCAGTTGAATCTCAGAAGTAGGCAGCATTAGCCCCTCTCTTGGTCAATGCTAGTTGGAACAATCTTTCCGATATGGGAGGAAAAAACATGCCTCTGGAGAAAGATTCTATCACCCAGGAGAAGAGGACAGATGCTCCCTACAAGCAGCTAGATTTCCAAAGGAAAAAGGGTAGAGTAGATCATGTTCAGTTATCCATCCCAAATTTACCCATCATACCAGGAAAGCATGGTGACAGGGCAGAGTATAGCCAGGGATCACACCTATGCACTCCCCTACACCCAGAGGAAACAGTGCTGGTTACATGGTCCAACCTTCAGTCATAAGTAGTTTTGACTTAAGGTCAAAACTCATTAATATCTCTACTTACCAATATTACTGCAATATTATACAATATCTAGCATCTAGTTGTACTCTCATTTATTGAACTAATTGCCTATTGTTAGAAAGTTAGATTATTTTCATTTGTGAATGTTATAAATACTGCTGCCATGAATGTCTTTATCTTTATTTCCTTAGGATAACTCCCCGGAAAAAGTTACTAACTCAAAGCTCTTGAGGATTTGTATGTTTTCTCTGGACATTGCTAAATTGCTTTCAGAGGGTTTGACTAATTTCTACTCCAATCAGCAGTGTATAAGAATGTGTGTCTGACCCTTCATGTCTTGGATTTTAGCCTTTATTTTATAATCTTTGCTAATTTGATAAATGAACCACATGTTACCCTTATCTGAATTTGCAAGTTCTTGATTAGCACTGAGGTTGAAAACTTTTCATTGCTAATTGGCTATCTGTATTTCCTTTTCTCTGAATTATCTGTTGTGTCCAGTGCCCATGAATCTGCTGGCATTTTTTACCTCAATTCACGGGGCAAATGCTCAATTGCCCTCTTGTCTGGAGCAGTATAGTCCCACAGAGACAAGGACCTGGGGAAAATGCCACTGGATGTTTCAGATTATTTTTGAATATTTGCATATCATTCTTTTTTAACTTAATTTTTTGGAAGTGTTTCATATTACGTAGCTCATAGTCACACCTAACATCAAGTTATAGAATGGTCACCTCTGCTAGGCATTGTTCCAAAGTCTTTGTGTTTATTAACGTCTTAAGTCTTTGTGAGATAGCTAGTACTTTTTTATCAACACTTATGGGAGAATAAACTAAAGAGAAAAGGCACAAAGTAATTTGCCCAAGGTCAAAGAGTAATAAGCCACAGAGCTGGGATCCGAACTCAAGCACTCCCACGCCACAGTCTTATGATCTTATCCCCAACCCACCCAGTGCTATGCCATGCTTAGCCCTAGAGGTCAAGAGGTCTTGGGAGTGGATTTTTCCAAACAAGTCATCCTTAATGAACAGTGTGTCTACAACAGTAAACAGGGCAAGGCTTCTCCCTCGTTCTGATAAGCTTTTAACAATAAAATGATGGTTTTCAAAATAAGACAGCTTTCTTTTTTTCTGATTATAAATAATATGTACATTTTGATGTTTAAAAAGTTCAGAGAGTACAAAATACAGAAAACAAAGATAATATAATTTCATCCTCCAGGACTGAGAAAAGCATAGTGTAAAAAAATGAGAATAAGCTCAAATTACATTTTCATATTGTTACAACTAAATTTGATAGGGTGCAGGAGAGAGATTAAATGTACAAAATTATTTCTTTTAATAGACTTTCGTACCCCACTTGGACAATATGTATTATACTGTAACATTTAGATATTACCAATGAAACATACATATTGGGAAAAATTTAATCATCCAGGCACAATCATTTTAATTTAATTATAGAAGGGAGATTTAACTAAGTAAAGAGAAGAAAAAAAGCATTTAAAAACAGCCCAGATAATCTGGAATATTTGCGTTGCTTCCTGTCTTTCCTATTCTATTTAGAACACTAATTTGTTCCATTTATATTAACAGGAAAGAGCTTACCATGCATTTAAGTTAATCAAATTTATGTAGTAAATCATGATTGAATACAATTTAGGTGTACACTGCATCCCGAAAGCTATACAATTAAAAACAGACAATTTCCATTTTACTGAATGCTCTTGAAATTGTGGTAAATATTTAAAATCATTTAAGATTTTTGGTTAATGAGACCATTCAAAAATAATGCAATCCAAAAACTAAAAGGAAATTCATACTGTTTTAAATATCATATATATTTAATTTTAAAAATTTAAACAACAGTAATTTTAAAGCCTAAAATAGTCTTTGTTTGAAAACCCTTTTAAACTAAACATTGATTATTCTTCTATAGTCATTAATTATCTTCTACCATAATTGTCAGTATTGCAAAGTGAGAATTGGTCCCAAATATATATTTTCTATTCTTAAATTAATACCTATTTCACTTATTGCAAAATGCTGTGAAAAATTATACTTTACAATGTATGGACATAACATACTCAAGTCAAGGCAAGTTCTCAGTCTATCCTCACATGTCACAACGAACTGGGTTAATAGGACACGCAACCAATAATTGCTGCATTCTGTCGTTGTTGTTTTGTTTAAAGATGGATAGGTTAACAAGGGCACATTTTCTGTTTTCATGCCAGCATACTACCAAACTTCTTCACTAAGTGTTTAAAATGCAGTCCTAAGAAAAACAAAAATTATAATTATTTTGACAAGACTCAAATGGCCCCTCTGTATTGACCACTTTTGATCCCCTTTGATTAAAAATCAAAATCAGATATTTGATTGAAATTGAACTAAATTCCTTTGTTCTTTTGTCTGTTTTGCTTTTTCTGTGTTTCTTCTCTCTATACCCCACTGAATGTGATGGGTATTGAGCTGCAGTAGAATTGCAAGACACTGAGAACAGGGCAGCATCTTGGAAAAAGGCACAGCTAAGCTACACCCTAACTTCCCCTCTTAATCACATGTAACTGAGCAAATTACCCACTTGCAAAACAATTAGACCTAATATTATTGTCTCAAAACACCTACCTAACAAAATCATGATACTTCCTAATGTAATAATATTTAATAACTGCCACAGTCCTTGTCTATTCTTAGGTACTCTGTGACTTCTTTTCAACATTGTTTTTATTTCCAATTATTCAAGGTAGCCAAAGATGTGCGTTTCAAAAATAGACTGCTACAAAAAATGGTGGGGACAATACTAGAAACACTGACTGGAAAAACCTGAAAAAGTAAACATTTTGGAAAAGGTTGAAAATGAGTTGAAATGTTCCAAAATAGATAACATAATGATGAAATGCCATGTGACATTCAGCAAGTCTCACCTTTTCTGTTTCTTATTTTGTTCTGGCCCAACCAGGAAATATAAGGGAATCAAGAACAAATGTGCTGTCACTCATTTTCACTCTATTCCTGGGTCTGATGGTCCTTTGATATGTTTCTTGCTACTTGGAGAAACTCTGTGTGTCCTAAACAGTTTCCAGCTAACCTGTACGTGTTGTGTGGTGGGGCTGATTCTGGCACTGGGGTGCCTGAGTTGCTGAAGCCTGGCCACAGAGAGCGGCCCTGCCCTGCCTGTCCTGTGCAATAAGGAGAGGCCAGGCGGCTGCCTGTACCCACTTCTTCTCTGTGCCTGTTTTCCCCATTCACCTTCTGTTAGAGCTACACCTTGTTTCTCTTAGTGGTGCTGCTGAAATTAGGTAGTATAAGCCCTAAGAACAGCTCTTTTTTTTTTTTTAAGCTGGCTGTGCACATTGCAACAAATCGTGATACTTTGCTGGATGAAAAATAAAACCTGGTCAATATATATGTTTTACCAATTCTTAAACTAAACGAATGTATTTTTTCTTTAAAAAAAAATCCCAAAAATAATGTAAGTAGAAGTAAAGCTATATTTATTCTAAAACTATTAGAGTCAGTCAAGATAGTGTTCAAAACAAAGCCAAACTAAATCTATATTGCACTTACTCTAAGTCCATAGATAACCCAAAGATAATACATAGACTAGAAGAGCTTTGCAAGAGAAGGTGGGCCTGCAGATTTGAGTGAAAAGCT
Organism: Homo sapiens; assembly: GCF_000001405.40. Taxonomy (NCBI): domain Eukaryota; kingdom Metazoa; phylum Chordata; class Mammalia; order Primates; family Hominidae; genus Homo; species Homo sapiens. The sequence goes on along the minus strand of NC_000004.12, from coordinate 187,142,858 downwards.
CTCCATTTCCACACTTCTCCTTTGTCCTCATTACACTGAGTCTTGAAATATTATTCATACCTGTGGAAGGGTCTACTAGCTCAGAACGGAACTCCCCCACACACCCTTTCCAGCCTCTCCATGCTCAAAGACTGAAACCCATCAAGTCCAGTGGGATGGATCCCTCCTCTATGAAGTTTACCATGACTTTTGCAATTGGAATTCTCTCTCTCATCTGGGAACTTATCAAACCGGCCTATCAGTGCCACTTGTGATACACTATAATATAGTAAAACAACATTAAAAACAGTCATTAACAATCCCTGCATTCCTAACAAGGTCAAGGTTCAAATACTAGAAAGTCTTACCAGCAGTCAACAGTCTTAAAACCAGAGGGATTTTCCCACCACAAAACAGTAATTCTGGAAATAAGCAGTTGCTGGTATTTCTCCAGGCATTGCCTTCCCCATCCCAAGACTGGCGAGGCAATCCCAAGCATCATCTTCTCAGTGGACAGAGTTCAGAGGCACGAAGCACGCAATGGCATGGAAGAAGTGTTTTCTTGCTCCTTCCCTCTTTGTAGGGAGACAAAACTTTCCAGCAGCCCCTAGAAGACTTTCCCCTATATCTCATTGCCCAACAAAGGCCACGCCCACCTATAGAACATACCTGCGGAACAGGTGCTGGTCTCACTTAGCCTAAGATCAAAGCACTTGGAGTAAATCAGAGTTCTGGCAGGAAAGGAGAGGACGAGGGGCAAGATGGTTTGGGGTAGGCAGTTACTGTATCTAACTTAGGTTAACTTATGCAGTACTCGCAACAAACCCACAAGCTCAGTGGGGATTTTAACCTTTAGAAAAAGAAAATATTCAAAAAAAATAAGGTTTAAACATGACGAGTAAGTAGTCCTGGAGCATATGACTAGTTAGGAGTGGAGCAAGATGAAAATTCCAGTTTCTTTCACTCTAAACAGTTTCACTCTTAATATGAAATTCATGGGTTATTTCCCCTTTTGGCCATTCAGTAATTTTACTGACATGGGTATGTTTGCTTCACCTTCATATGTGTACAAATTGATTGTATACATTTTTTGAAACTCCCTCGACTCTATTCGGTAAGATATTAATTTCCATAAAGATATTGAAAACTGTAAGTAGAATTTATAGTAGAAAGAATAAAGGAACACCATACAATCATAGACTTGTATATTAGGTAGATAGGGAGCCGTGGATCTTCTTATATTTTAAAATACAAGGCTACCTACGAGTGATATGGCAAGAAAATTATTTCTATTAATAATGCATAACAATAATACACAACAGCAGTTACCACAATTCCCACAAAGTCTTTTCCTTGAGCCTAAATGATGTAGGAAACGAGATATTGTTGATTCTAGCTTTGCTATTGCCTTCCACACTTCACTAGTGATGTGCCTACCAGGTGTTATGATCACCCACGATTCCTGAAGAAGCCGACACATCCCTAGAGCAGTGGGTGAGCTGGAGGTGTTTTACAATCAAATGTTTTGAGGCAGATTTGTTTTGCTTATGCTGATGTCAAAATGAGTGTGCTTTCTTAGAGCACATTCCAGTCGATCTAAATACAGGAGAGAGTCCACGAAGGAAGCCAGTATTATTTTTTTTCCCAGAAAAACCACAGATGTGATCACCTCCTCATAAAAAAATTGACTCTCTTTTGTATAGTTTTAAATTCTCGCGTTGACTGTTTGATTTTGCACTTTTTCTTTCTGCTTGGCCAGGGCGAGGAATTCTGTGCACTAAACATTACATTCAAAATCGGAACCGCTATTGATAACTGCAAGCATTTAGCCAACAATTATTTGTGTAAAGGCTTATATTTTTAAAATAGGGTCCGTTTCTCTGTTGAATGAGCACTTATGACTCAGACTTCATCATTAGAATTAATTAAACATCAAGAAAACCCAGCATGCAGCCATGAGGAATCAGTGTCTTTTTTTACTTACATCAAGTCTCATGTTCAAAGTCTGGATTTATGTAGAATCTCATTTAGCAATATATCTATAATCACTGTTTTTCTACCTTCAAATGGAGCATAAGTCTGCAGACTGTGCTCTCCTATACCCACACATCACAGCTGCTGTACTTCCTCCAACTCTCTTTTATTCTCTTCTTACCTTTAATTAAAATGCATTAAAGGAAGAAAAAAGAAACAAATGGTTGTAGAAAGTACCACTTACATGGAAACGATTGCTCTAAATGTTGCTGTTTAGGAAATCTATGGCATGGTGTGTAGCTTTGCAAGGCGTCAGAGTATACGGGAGATAACATAAGTATTATTTATTACGATGTGGAACAGAGTCAGAAGGACTGCTCCTGTGATCTGACTTCCAGATGGAACTTCTCAGAAAATGAGCTCAAACATCTGAATTTCTCACTTTTTGAAACTATTTGTGTTATAAAATTTAAAAATGCATATACCATGATATTGGTTTTCTATTGCTGCTATAAAAAATTAGCATGAAATTAGTGGTTTAAAGAATACAGCATCAGAACTCTGAAACAGGTCATACAGGGTGAAAATCAAGGAGCCAGCAGGCTTTCCTTCTTTCCTGGGGCTTTAGGGCACAGCCCATCTCCTTGCCTTTCCAGCCTCTAGGGCAGCTCTTCCTCCTTGGCTCACCCACTCCTTCCATCTTCAAAGCCAGCAACAGCTGTCAGTCCTTCTCACACCGTCTTCTTCTGATGCTGACTCTTCTGTCTATCTCTTCCTCTTCTGACGCCTTCTTCTTCCTCATTTAAAAGATTTGCCACTACGGTTTGCCCACCTAGATAATCCAGGATAATCTGCATGTTTAAAGTAAGTCGGTTAGCAAATTTAATTTCATCTGCTACTTTAATTCCCAGGTTGTGGGGATTAGGACACGGATACTTTTGGGAGGCCATTGTTCTGCCAACCACAAACATGCACAGATACACCCCACTTGAATGCAACTGTAAAACAGAGATTCAGAAGGTAATTATTTTTACCCACAGATGGAACGTATTTAAAGATCAGCGATTGTTGCTGTATTTGAGCACCTGCATCACCTATGGTATGCAAATGAACATCACTTTTTATAATAGATATAAAGGGATATTGAGCTCTAATAAAACCAGTCAGGTGTTATATACACAACTCTGCTGCTCACTGCCCCAGTTTCTGCCTTACTCCACATGAGGGGCTGACCAGCAAACCCTCTTCCAAAAAGCAAACGTAGACCATCATAGTGTGTACACACAAACCCACTTACAGACACACATCTACACACCTAATCAGGTCTCTGGTCCATCGTGGCTGAGGGAGAGAACGCTTTTTCATCCTGATTTCCAGGGATTTAGCTTTCAGTTGCTGCCACAGAATCCACTTCCATGTTGTTTCCTGGGCTGAAGCCCTTCTAATCCCTGTGATGCCTGATTTTGATAAGAAGGTTATGGCTAGACCCGCATTTCAACACTGATAAGAAGGTTATGGCTACACTCACATTTCAATTCCGATAAGAAAGTTATGGCTACATCCACATTTCAATTCTGATAAGAAGGTTATGGCTATACCCTCATTTCAAAGTCCAGGAACTCTCCTCTCTGCCACATGTGTACACACCACGCATCCTCATTCATGGTTGGTTTGCATTCTGAGACTCTCATGTCCCATCAGCCTCTGCATAGTGGGATCTGATGGCCTCTTATGATTGACGTCTTGTCCCCTCTTCTTCCTGGGCATGAGATTCATTTGATTCTAAAACTAAGCAGCTCCAGAATGAGGGTTCTACTCCCCATGAATACAATTCCCTATTGTGAATGCCTGGTTTGAACTATAAAATATCACCAGCTAAATATTCCATCACTTACCCTGACCTTCCCACTGAAGACCAGTTAGAATTTCTACTTTTGAGAAGCTTGGAAATGACAAGTTGATAGGAAAAGGGGCTTAGGGACCTGCTTTGAAGCTGCAGTGACAAGCACACGGTTGTCATGTAGATAATCTGCAGTGGCTTGGGAAAGAGGCCAGGGCCCTTCAGCAGCCCTCTCTCCTTCACTGTCTCTGCTTCCTTCTACCATCATAAGCCCCAGGCACCAAGAAATAGCCTAAACTCTTTTTAGTCTTTTTGGTCCACCATGATCTTAACTCTCACTGGATCTTAACTCTCAGACTTCAAGACATTCTGAAGATAATGAAATAATGATTACAACAATAGCAGTAGTTTAGGATACATGAGCAGTTCTACACGCACTAAGAAGTATTCCTAAAACCGACCCATGACATCTTGTCCGATCCTCACAAAACTCCACGAGATATGTGCTGTGTTTATCTCTAGATTAAAGGTGAAAAAACAGAATTAGATTAATTTGCCCAGCTAAAAAATGATGGAGATAGTATTTGAGGCCTGATCTCAGATTTCAGAACCCAGATTCTAAAATTGCTATGCAACACTGCCTCCAATGGCATCTTAATTACAGTCCCATTGGAAATAATCAGCCAAACTTTCTTGAGTCATAATAGGTGACAGTATCTGGATTATTCAAAGAAACACAATGTGTTTGGGGAGGAGTTTTTTTTTTTTATTTTAAGTTCTAGGGTACATGTGCCCAACATGCAGGTTTTTTACATATGTATACATGTGCCATGCTGGTGTGCTGCACCCGTTAACTCATCATTTAGCATTAGGTGTATCTCCTAATGCTATCCCTCCCCCCTCCCCCCACCCCACAACAGGCCCTGGTATGTGATGTTCCCCTTCCTGTGTCCATGTGTTCTCATTGTTCAATTCCCACCTATGAGTGAGAACATGCAGTGTTTGGTTTTTTGTCCTTGCGATAGTTTGCTAAGAATGATGGTTTCCAGGGGAGGAGTTTTTAAAAAGGCTGGCATGAGCAACTCCTCCTGCTCTTGCCTCCCAGGATGATCATTTCACCTCTTTGGGCTTCTCTTTGGGAGCAGAAGGATTGAGCCCCCTAATATTTGAAGTTCCCTTTAGTACTAACATTTTAAAATGTAATAAACCACTTTGATCAGCAAGTAATAACTACCTAATTTCTGCCTTTCATAAACTTACAATTTATTTTTTGAGACTACAGGGCTTTAAAAGAGACTCTCACGTTCCCCCAAAGAGGCTGCAGTGGCTGTGATCGTGAAGTGAGAAGCCTCTGGTCCTCCTGGTGTGGTGCTCTTGGAGCCGCACAGCTGCATGGCGGAACTAAACAGACTCAAGAAACCTGGGTTTATTTATGTGTAAGTGACGAGACTGATTTCTTCTTTGGATCATGGACATTTCTTTGGGGATCTCATAACAATATCTCAGATTTTGATTCTTAGAGTATTCTGGAGCACTTATTGCATTTTTAGTACATTGGTTTTGGGGCTTAATATCTTGCTTACATAAATGAATTTCTAGCATGGCTATTGGGAAGAAAATCATATTTATTACACAATGAGTTTTGTTCTTTTGGTAATACAAAAGGAGTTACACCAGCAGAATTTACTCTGTCTTAAATAACGTGCTAACCTTAAAACAGCTGAAAAATGTCAAACTCCTTAGGCAGGTAAATCCACTAAAAATTTTATCCATCTGAGAATTTAAGACACTGCCATAAATATGTACTAAACACAAATTATGTACCAGGCTTAGCTTTAGGCACCTGGGATGTATGTGAGTGTACAAAAGAGAAGAATGGCCCCTGTCTAATAAGTTTCATGTTTCAGGACAGAGCAACACATTCAGGCAGCCTTGGATGAAGGGGTGTGCCCTGCAGATGCTCTGTGTGGGAAGGAAGAGGTGGCAGGCTGCCCTTTCGCAGTCTCGCTCTTCCCTGAACCTGTTTCTCCCTTGCCTTCTATTGTACTTCGTAATAGATCTTTTCATGTGTTTGTTCATTATCAATCATCACACTAGCCTGTAAGCCTTAAAAACACAGGTAACTTATCTATGGTGGCCACTGATGCAAATTCATGTCCTAAAACACTGACTGGCACACCACAGATGCCCAAGAGTTATTTGTTGAAGAAATGAGTAGGCGCCTCTGCCTCTTTACCCACTACTGGCTGCTCTTCTTCTTGGCTTCAGCCATCCTCGGTGGTCCAAGTCTTCTTTAGAAGGTGATCAATGAGGGAAAGCTATTAGCATTTTGTACCTGTGGGTCTCATGGCCTTTATTTCTTCATCCATAAAATGAGAGTAATAATGGTTTTTATAGCAATCTACTGCCATGTAACAAATGCCTCCAAAATACAGAGGCTTCAATGATTAAAAAAAAAAAAAAACTTATTATTTCACATTGTTTCTATGGGTCTGGAATCTGGGAGTGGCTTAGCTGGATGGTTCCAGGATCTACTTGTCAGGTTCTCTCTTTGACATTGCCTTGAGGAAAGCGGTAAGCTGAAGTCACATGAAGGCTTGCCTGGGGATGGAGGATTTGCTTCCGGGTGGCTCCCTCACTGCTTGGCACGTTAGTGCGGGTGGTGGACAGGAAGCCTTGATTCCTCAACATGCGGTCTTCTTCACGGAACTGCTTGCGGGCCCTAGTGACATGGCACCTGGCCTCGCTCTGAGAGTTATCCAAGGGAAAGCAAGGCAAAAGCCATGACGGCTTTTATGACCTGGCATTGGAGGCCACGTGCCATCATTTCTACAAAATCCTACAGGTGAGAGAGGTCAGCCCTATTCACTGTGAGAGGCGACTATATCAAGGCACAAATACCAGGGGAAGGAGATCCCTGGGAGCCACCTTTGAGTCTGTCTATCGTAGATACTAAGTAGGAGGTTGTCTGTACTTAAACAAATAGTGTACGTGAAGTACCTGGCATGGTGCCGTAGGCAGTTAGGAAATGTTAGCTCCTCTTAGTTGCTCAGGTTTGTTGAGCTTTTTTCATTTTATTAAAAGATTATCTCCAAGTAATCTGTAGAAGTCGGCATTTGTCTATGGAGCTGATAGAGCTTTCTCATTCATTCATTCATTCATTCAACAAGTCTGCTGTCCTCAGATGTTGTGGAACAATGACAACCTTATCCACCTAAAATATAAATTCCTGGCACTAAGTACATGATGAAATAATGACCCCCAAATTTCTGGCCTATCCTTGTGGTCAGAATGCCCTATTTCTTCACACCTGTGCAATGATACTATCTCCTGGCATCCCAGAACAAATCTGGGGTGTGTCAATGGTAAATAAGTTGGGAACTTGACAACTTTAACCCTTTCAGCATTAATTAGTCAACGTTAGTTGCTGTCATGCCTCCAGTCTTTCTACATGCAGAGAGAAATCTCTCATGCCCTTAGCCTGGGTGCAGCGGGAGCAACGTGCTGTAGAGCACTCAGGTGGCCTGTGGGGATTGGGCATGACTAACATGGATTTGTGCAGAAATAAAAGGCATGAAGAAGACGATGTGAACAACTCTGTAACTGGGGACTGAAGACCAAGCTTGGGACATAGGAGGAATAAAACCCTTCTAAAATGAATTTTTCACTGAACCAGAAATAAATTAGTAGGAAAAGAAGAAATTTTGCAAACCTCATTTATCTTGTTTTTTTCACATTTTGGGCTGCTTAAGAGACTATTTCCTTTAAGCATTACTTTGCACATTGAAGAAAATAATCATAAGCTTCCCCCAAGGCCAGAACCTGTTCAATTCTGTATTGCCAGCAAGTAATGCCACAGGAGTAAAGGTCTCACTCTGGGGAGCTAGCAGACTAGACTTCCGCTGGAATGCTGGGAGAAGCAGGATGCTGAGTCAATAGCAAGTACCAAGTTTAATTTGATGTTTTCCACGCACAATCAAAATCGTGGTTTTTCCTAACTGTAAAGCTATTGCCTCCTCTGCTTTCTTTTATGGGTTCCCTGTAGAGTGTGTGTTATGCTTTGATATTTGAAATTGATCGTGTAGGTTCTATTTCAAGGGTAATAATAAACCTAGTGCAAAAGTTGGGATTAGCAAAGGGACTATTAACCTTTCTTCTAATACTGTCAATTTATTTTGCCTTGTGGCACAAACTGATTCCCAGTATGATCTGCTGATAACTTTGATTTAAATATAGCTATAGATAAAGAGTATAAAAGTGGAAGAAAAATTGTTGTCTGAATTTTTGTGAGGAAATATTCCACATTATGTCCAAATTATTAATGCAACATTTTTTTCATTAAATAATGTATATGCAAATAAATACTTTTCATTATTTGTCATTTAGGTATGAACACATATAGAATCTCCTACTTCTCATTTACATAAATATTCCATATTATGTCCAAATTATTAATGCAACATTTTTTCATTAAATAATGTATATGTAAACAAATACCTTTCATTATTTGTCATTTAGGTATGAACACATATAGAATCTCCTACTTCTCATTTACTTATGAGGGTAAACATCAACATACTAAGACATCTGAAGTAATTTTAAGATCAAAATGATTCTTACCATGGTATGGTAATAAGTTAAACTTAAGCTTTGGAATTAGGTAAACCAGATTTGCTGCCTTATCTTGGGCAAGTAACTTAATTTCAGCCTCAGTTTCTCTAACTGCAAAAAGAAATAAGAATCCCTGCCATTTAGTTCTGTGAAGGTTAAACTGGTTAATACCTACGACACCTAGAACAGTACTAGGTGAACGTTGACTAAAATGAGAATTCTCCTCTCTCTTTTCTTATACAGTTCTTACAAAATAACTGATGGTTTTGTTGTTGTTTAGTTCTAATTTTTTTCAATTCTGGATCTAAAGGAGGCCGGGTATATTCTTATTTGCTACAAAAGATTTCCTTCAAATGATACACTGGCAAGGTGACAGGTGAATGGTCTGGTTGGGAAACATGTCTCTCAACATTTTCTTGTCATTTTCAAATGTGGATGTAATTGGATTACAACTGGTTCCGCACTAACAAAATCATTTACAGCAATTATAACTGTTCTTTAATATGGCAGCTTTTACTGTGTTCCTCATGACCTGTAATTACCTCAACTAGAAGTCCAAGTAAATTTCATTATTATAATTTTAAAAGTCTTTATGTCCAGAATAATTGGTTAGTCATAAAAACCATAAATTACCTAACACAAGATTTTGGAAAGAATGAGATTTGACATTTCTTATACATTCTCCTACTGCATCACATATATGTGATGTAAGAATTGTGTCTTGATAAGTTGCAGCCGTTCTCAGTCATTATATACCTGGTGTTAAGTTTCCAAAATTAGGATTAAAAATGTATCCAACAGGGACCACATGGGAACATCAGACCCTGGAGCAGCTTGTCATTAGCATTACTTAGAAATCCCTAACTGGACAAGGTGCGGTGGCTCAACGCCTGTAATCCCAGCACTTTGGGAGGCCAAGGCAGGCAGATTGCCTGAGCTCAGGAGTTCGAGACCAGCTTGACCAACATGGTGAAACCCCATCTCTACTAAAACACAAAAAATCAGCCAGGCATGGTGGCGCGCATCTGTAATCCCAGCTACTCAGGAGGATGAGCCATGAGAATTGCTTAAACCTGGGAGGCAGAGGTTGCAGTGAGCCAAGATCGTGCCACTGCACTCCAGCCTGGCTGACAGCAAAATTCTGCAAAGAAGGAAGGAAGGAAGGAAGGAAGGAAGGAAGGAAGGAAGGAAGGAAGGAAGGAAGGAAGGAAGGAAAGAGGGAGGGAGGGAGGGTAGAAAGAAAGAAAGAAAGAAAGAAAGAAAGAAAGAAACAAAAAGAAAGAAAGAAAGAAGGAAAGAAGGAAATTTATATCTGAAGGGAACTTCGATTCTCATGGGTGGAAAATAGGTATACATGTAGGTAGGCTGGAGCAACCTTGCTGAAGTGAACAGATGCTATATCAGTCCTTTTTTGTGTCCAAATAGAATATCCAGTCATTCATTTCTTCATATTTTGCTCATTAGAGGAGAGAGAAATGCAATTCATTTAAAGATTTAAGAAAACAATTTTGAAAAAAACTCAAAGCTCCAGGAAACTCAGGTAATAGTGGTCCCTGAGAAAGAGAGAACAGAAGCATTATCTTTTCCTGAAAACTACTGAGGTGAATAACAATCCTTATTCACAATCATAAAAGACCTAAGCTTTGGAACACTTAATTAGCTTAAAAACATGAAGGACAGACACAATGAGGTTTTTTATTGAACAGTCTCTCTGTATGAAAGACAATAATATATATTGAGGGCTATAGCCTATGTGTGATGCTTTTGGCAATATCTTGATGGGAATGATTTAGAATGATGTCTTGATTTGGAATGCAAATTCTTATAGTAACATATTTAAAGCACTGTATGTATCTTGCCCATGGTACATATTTGGGTTAAGCAGTAAAAAAAGAAGGCCTGCAACGGAAATGAAGCATATAATTTTAACAATAAATTAATAAGTAGAAACTGCTGATGAACTCAACTCAGTAAAATGTCCTTTGATGTTAATCCCTGGTAGTCGTCTCCTTGAATTTGATGCCTTACAAGTGCTCAGAAGCTAATGGGAAATGGGGGCCTTCTTCATGACTATATTGGAGCTCCCATATGGAGTGCTAACATGGGTTTGACTTCCACCCAATCCTCTTGCTCAGCAGATTCTGTAATATCTCTTTCTCCCTAGATTTTCTGGCTTGTCTATGAAACACTTTTCTCCAAATATATAAAATTTTTTGCTTAAAAAACTAGAAAGTAAAAAGATAGTATTTTTGTTAAAGGAGTGGCTTAGGGAGCTGCAGGTGGGCTTAGTAAAATGTTGGCATAAACTAAAAAAAGTTTTCTTATTAGAAACTTATTTGACAACTCAAAAGTCTGGGTATGTGTGGACAGATTTTGTAAACTCAGGGTTGGGACTGCAAGAGAAAAGAATTTTGCTCCCTTGGGCTTGGTTACAGTGACAACATTCTTAGGTTTTTTCCTGTCCATGAGTATGGAATGTTCTTCCATCATCTGACAAAGGGCTAATATCCAGAATCTACAAAGAACTCAAACAAATTTACAAGAAAAAAACAACCCCATCAACAAGTGGGCGAAGGATATGAACAGACACTTCTCAAAAGAAGACATTTATGCAGCCAAAAGACACATGAAAAAATGTTCAACATCACTGGCCATCAGAGAAATGCAAATCAAAACCACAATGAGATATCATCTCACACCAGTTAGAATGGCGATCATTAAAAAGTCAGGAAACCACAGGTGCTGGAGAGGATGTGGAGAAATAGGAACGCTTTTACACTGTTGGTGGGACTGTAAACTAGTTCAACCATTGTGGAAGACAGTGTGGCGATTCCTCAGGGATCTAGAACTAGAAATACCATTTGACCCAGCCATCCTGTTACTTTGTGTACCAAAGGAATATAAATCATGCTGTTACAAATACACATACACACGTATGTTTATTGCGGCACTACTCACAATAGCAAAGACTTGGAACCAACCCAAATGTCCAACAATGATAGACTGGATTAAGAAAATGTGGCACATATACACCATGGAATACTATGCAGCCATAAAAAATGATGAGTTCATGTCCTTTGTAGGGACATGGATGAAGCTGGAAACCATCATTCTCAGCAAACTATCACAAGGACAAAAAAACAAACACTGCATATTCTCACTCTTGGTGGGAATTGAACAATGAGAACACTTGGACACAGGAAGGGGAACATCACACTCTGGGGCCTGTTGTGGGGTGGGGGGAGGGGGAAGGGATAGCATTAGGAGATATACCTAATGTTATGTACACATATGTAACAAACCTGCACGTTGCGCACATGTACCCTAGAACTCGAAGTATAATAAAAATATATGTATATATATAAAGAACATTCTTAGGTTTTTTATTGCATGAAAATGTCACAATTTTCTATGATTTATGAATACAGACTCATTGATTTCCTAGGAGCCAGAACTGACAGCGACTCCTGCTACTGCTGCTTAGTGTGTGACACCTTCCCTCTCTAAGCCTTAGTTTCTTCCTCTGGAAACTGAAGCCATAATATAGTACCTATGCTTCATGTTGTGAGAACCAGGTTGGATTTTCTCGCGCAGTGCAAAGCACAGTGCTTGGTGCATACTACGTGTGCAAAACTTCTTTGTTCTTTTTACTATTTGTCTTAATGCATTCTGGCGGCTGTAACAAAATACCTTTGACTGGGTAATTTATATACAACAGAAACTTATTGCTCACAGTTCTGGAGGCTGGGAAGTCCAAGATCAAGGTGCCAGAAGATTTGGTGTCTACTGAGAGCTAGTTCTTCATAGATGGCACCTTCTATGTGGTAAAAGGGCATATGCTCTGTCAGGCCTCTTTCATAAGAACACTAATCCTACCCATGAGGGCTCCACCCTCATGACCTACTCACCTCTCAAATTCCCCACCTCTTAATACCAACATGTTGGGAATTAGATTTCAGCACATGAATTTTGGGGGGACACAAACACTCAGAACATAGCACTGCTATTCTCAGGAGATGTTGGCTGTTTTCAGTTCTGTTCTGATGAACTCTGATAGTATTCTTACCTTCCCATTGGCAGCTTTAATCTGTGCACACTACTCTTCCCCACACTTGTAGAAACTCAACAAATAAGATCTGTGGCTTCCTAGAGCTCCCAATCTAGTGGGAGTTACAAAGGTAACTTCAAAACAACAATGTGGATGAGAATTATTGGAGCAGAGATATGAAATTGTTAACTTTAGGAGTACTGGAGGCAGGACTGGCTATATCGTTTGTGAGTCCAGTGCAAAATGAAAATGCTGGGCCCCTTCTTCAAATTTCAAGATGACAACAGCAGAGAAATAAACCATTCATCCGGTGGGCTCTTCTGAGCTTGAAGCCCTGTGTGACATCAGTCACACATCTGAGTGGCTCATCCTGATTGGATAGGCACATTTATTTCATGCAAAAAAATTAGAGAAGTTTTACCGTTTGAAGATGTAGGTGCTGAGCTAGACTTTGAAGGATGGAAAGAACTTTGAAAAGTTGGGTAGAGCAGCCCAGGCATATGATAAAACATGTGCCATTTTTAAATTCCCATACAATTAAAAAATTAAGTGAGATTTATTGGGTCAAAGTGATTTGACAATCAGGAAGGAAAGGGAGATGGAAAGACTGTACTACTGAACTTCAATTATCTATTAACAAGAAGCAATCCGAAGAATTTTAAGAATAGACACAAGATTAGATCAATTTAGGGAGATGTCTGTGGTGGCAGAAAGACAGATGGATTGATTCTTGTGTTGGAGTCACAGGCAGCAGGGACCACGGTGGGTGAAAGCAACGCATTCCTTAACTGGGAAGTGGCAGCAATCTTCTTTTTACCTCTATTTCTCTGTAGTCTATTAGTCTATGTATTTTTTTTTCCACATGAAACAAGGGTCTGTTTCTGCTTGGAAGACATCTTCAATTACACAACGCAGGCAAAAAAAAAAAACAACAACAACAAAAAAAAAACTGGAATAATGGAATTTTAACCAGAATTCTTTTTTTCTCTGTTGACAGCCTTTCAGGGACATCTCCATTCTGGTTATAGAAGGAGACCCTGAAGTCACCCAAATGTGCATTCAAAATGTATCACCTTTCCTTGGCCTTTCAAACAGACTAGTATTCCAGAAAAACCATGTCATTTTGCATTCCGGGCAACGCTTTGAAGACGTCATGAATGAAACACTTGCCCTATTCATCCCCGAAGAGAAGTGCAGGTCTGTGCACGCTCTGTCTGTCTGTCTCTCATCCTGACAAACTGTCTTCAACAGTGGGAAATTAAAACCTTCTTCCTTCCTTTTCTGTTTTTCTTATAATAACTCAGCCTTGAGTCAGAGGTACATGCTCAGCCTCCCGAAAGTGCTGCTGTCACGGAAAGGAAGATCCTTTTGTTCCCTAATTTATCATCTCTTAAAGGAAGCTACAAAGTTCAGGATGACGGGATAGAATCAGCCATCCACTTAAACTGGAGCATGCACGCAGGGAACTGGATTTTAATACCTGTAAGATGCAGAGATAGAATTTTATCCATGTCGCAGATTCTGAGAAAACAAGAAAAAGTGGTGAATGTACTTTAATGTTGTAAGAAAGCATAAAAATCCAAATTTTTTAAGGAACAATACTCCATAAAGTAAACATTTAGAACTTTTTTTTTGATCCCCAATTAAATTTTACTGTCTGTGTTAAACTACGTAAATGATGTAACCCTTTCCAGGTCTCAGAGTCCTTACCTGCGACAAGAACAGATGCTTGCTGAGACCCCTCCTGCAGTAGGGCACAGGGTTAGCACTCTCTGGCTGGGTGCATCTATGTATCAGATGCCCATATAGTAGTAGGATAAGAGGATCTACATTCCTGCCCAAATATGTGCCCACACAACACCAGTACCTTTGAGCGTGGCACTTATATCGCTAAATGTCTGTATTTCTCAGATGAAGGGAGTTGTCCTTGTTATTTTCTCCCGGATACTGTGCGGATGACACAGCATCCTCGGGTAATTAACATTCCTCTAACCCTGTGTAACCGGGGTAGGACGGAGTCAGCAGCTGCCAGGTCAAGTACAATCAGAGAGTGAGAGGGGCATCCTCAGAGGCATCAAGAAATGCGTGCATTTCCAGGGCTCCAAGAACGGGCCTGCACGGCTCTTTAGGAATTTCCTCTGTAGGTCTAATTAATACGTCTAACCAGATCTTAATATACTCTCTTCATTTTTGTTGATTTTTTTTTTTTTTCAGACGGAGTCTCGCTCTGTCGCCCAGGCTGCAGTGCAGTGGCATGATCTCGGTTCACTGCAACCTCCGCCTCCCTGGTTCAAGTGATTCTCCTGCCTCAGCCTCCTGAGTAGCTGGGATTACAGGGACACGCCACCATCCCCAGCTAATTTTTGTATTTGTAGCAGAGACGGGGTTTCACTATGTTGGCCAAGATGTTCTCTATCTCCTGACCTCGTGATCTGTCCACCTTGGCCTCCCATAGTGCTAGGATTACAGGCATGAGCCACCGCATACGGCCCATTTTCATTGCTTTTTAAAAATATGACCATTCACTTTTTACATTTCTTATGTCACACACACACACACACACATCAAAAAGTGTCTCATATTTGCACTGAAATGATTTTTGTTTAGGAATACACACGGCAAGGGAACCAAATAGGATGGGCTCTGGGAAATGTCTGCTATCTAGAGTCTGGATTGTGGAAAAGGGTCTGCACCAAGACTCAGATTGTGCCAGACAGGGAAGTTAGTGAGTCATGTAGCAGGTGCCCTCCCATGGCCTGGGAGCAAAGCCCTCTCGGGTGACCACAGGCCCAGCAGGGGCAGGTCGTGAGAGTGAGTGCAAGTATAGAGAGTTGTTAGCATTTGCTGCTTCCTGGTGAAGGGTTATCAGGTGAGGATGAGTGGGTCCCTTAGAGCACCAGTGACTTTTGGGAATTACCTGCAAGAAGGTACCAAGAATAACCCCCAACTTCTGTCACTGAACTACAGGAAAGTAGCAAGAAGTTGCACCAGTAAGGGGCAAGAATGCTATAACGAGGTGTTTGAGCATGTTGACAACCATGGCGCCGGGGATGTCTTTTCTGAAGATTTTCCGGTTACTGAAACATGAGAGTTCAGATTTCTAACACCAAGAATAATAGAACTGCACATAAGCAATATGCCTCACAGTCGACACCCTTGCCTGGGTCACTTCCCTCCTTTTCCATGAATACTGAAAACAAGGTTCTCAAGGAGGCTTAGTGACCTGCCCTGAGTCACTGAGATACAGGATGCAGAGCTAACAGACCCCATAGCTTAGAAGGTAAGAGTCTCGTTGTTTCCATTTACCACTCACGTAACTGTGGTTTTCTTAGAGGACACATCTTTCCATTTTCTTTAAACCACTCACTTGGTTTGTAAAAATAACATAGATCACTTGTAACATGCTTTAGTTAGAATATCGTGCGTGTATAGAAACACGATGGAGGGAAATCCCTCTTGTTTCTTCTCTTTGTAATTTCCTTTGAAGATAATAATACATTTGGGCCTGTAATTATTTCTGTTTTTATTTCTTTTACCTCTTACTATTTATAGCATGGCTAAGTGGAAAGAGGGAGAAGGAGAGAGAGAGAGACAAAAGAAAGAAGGAAGGAAGGAAGGAAAGAAAGAAAGAGAGAGAGAGAGGGAGGGAGGGGGGAAAGAAGGGAGGAAGGAAAAGAGAAAGGAAGGGAAGGAAGAAGGAAATGAAGGAATTTGTATAATTTAGGAATTTATAGTAGAAGGGATAAAACAGTTCAATTCAAAGAGTTGCTTGTATTTGGTGATTTAAGCAAAATGTATAAATCACTAGTCATGAGTTTTAATTTCAACTCCGTGACCAATTCAATATGGCAATCATTTGCATTAGAGCCATTGTGTACATTTTAATTGAAGAACCAGCAAAGTTGTTTTGTGTTGTGTTGTTTTCTCATGTTGTTGCATATCTGTACACTCCCATTTTTTAAAAAAACTAATACTCCTTTTTTCTCGTTTAATATTTGCATTTCTTTAAAACACACGGGCTATGTAGCATCCTTCTCTCCTTTGCACCTTTGCTGTCTTGCTGGAGAAGGTCATACTCCTTACAGTGTTTGTCTCTCTCTTGAGATTTGATTCCAACTGGGCAGCAGGACTGAGCCAAGCCCGGGGTGTCTGACAACCTCTGCGAGCAGGAGAGGCTGCGGATGCTGGCAGGCTCAGAAAAGCGTGGACTGGTGCGTATTGGCATATGCAGCCACTAACGGATACGCCTTGGGTTTCTCCTCCTTTTCTGATACGGTGCTTTATAGTCCTTTCAATTTCGTGACCTGCTTGGGCTCATTCAGGCTTGGTGTGGAGCTGGCTCAGAAACATTCAGACACACCCACGGTCAAGTCCAAGCGGAAAGCTTTAGAAGAAACTGTTCTAAATCGGTTTCTTTGGCGGTCACTGTGGCTCTTCTTCATCAAAGAGGAAGAACATTTTCAATCAACACATTTCAAACATACGAAACATTGCAGGGATATAAAAACAGCCCTCTCGGTCCTGGGTCTACTATTTATTAATGCTGTGAAGAAGGACAAATGGCCACTCCTCTCCGAGTCGGCTTTCTCTTCCGTAATGGTGAGTGACAAGAACACCCCAGCAAGATTATATAATCATTTTATAAAACGACACATAACATTTGGGGTACACAGTAAAGTACTGGGACATTATTGAAGTATTAGGATATTAGACATTTGTAAGTATCCACATTAGGATTTTTTTACTTTTAACAATGGCAGCTTTGATATCATTTGAACACTTTTAAAATAATACCATAAGAAAAGCCATCTTCTACAAAAATATAGTTAATGCCAAGTGGTTCTTATAAATGCCATTTCTCTTCTGAGATGACCTCTCATCTCTATTGCTTAAATCATGTTGTTTACACTTTTGTTGACATGTGTGAAACTGTTAAATCAAGGTTAGCCCTGAGCTGCCTCCTTACACATTTAAGTTCGGCCTAAAGGCTTTTCTGCACCTCGTGAACGATAACAGGTGGAGGCGTAACCGACCGTAGCCGACACCTGTGCCAGTCACCGAGTTTCGGCCAATCAAATGTAGCCAGCCGTTGAAACCGTGTTCGCAGAAGGCAAACGCCGAGCTGCCACCCATCCAGCTGTTTCTGTACCTCACTTCTGTTTTCTGTTCCTCATGTTCCTTTTTCCATAAATCTTCCCCCGCATGGCTGCGCTGGGGTCTCTGAGCTTACCATGGCTGAGAAGGCCGCCCGATTCACAAATTGTTCATCACTCAATTAGACGCCTTTAAAGTTAATCCAGCTGAAGTTTTTCTTTTATCAAAACCAAGGCTAATTTTTTGTCTAATTTAAAATATATGGAATCAAAAGTATGTAAAATCAATTTAATGCTAATTAGCTTGATTGTGGTGATTATTTTACAATGTATACATATATCAAAATATCACGTTGCACACGTTAAATACATTTTTATTTGTCAATTATACCTCAATAAAGCTTAAAAAAGAATTCAAAAAGGAAACATAATAAGAATAATAAAATATACAACAGTAGTGCAGAATACTTATTTATGCATATTTCTGGTCAATCAGGTGTGTTTAAAAGAACCATCTTAGTTTTTGATCCTTGCTGTTACCAGAAAACTCGAAACAGAAATATAGCCCCAGGGGGTAGATATTCAAATGGATCTGTTTGTGTAGCTCCCATTAGTGATCTGAAGTATATAAAATATGTATTAAAAGGTTTCCCTGTGCTCACTCACCCCTCCACGACCTCTGCTCAAGCAGCATACAACAGCTGGCTGCCCTGTGGGCCAAGCAGTTAAGCTACAGAAAGAAAGCGTTTTTTCTGAAGGCTAAAACAAGCTGCGGAGCGCAGGCTCTCGGGGACCGCCACTTCCAGCTGAGACTTCTGTGTGCAGGAGGTGGACGGCGCTGTCCTCCCTGCTTTCATGACTCTGCAGGCACCAGTGAGAATAACCCAACAAGAACCGCTTTTCTATCGCCAGCAAATGCTACCGTGGGTCCAGAGAAGCCAGAAGTCACAGGGACACCCTGAGTGCAGGAACGGCCCTCTCTGTTACAGGAATGATTCTGTTTTCACCAGCATTGGCCGGGCCTCCTTCCCCATACTGATGGGATCTGAGGGGGGACAATGGGGCAAAGAGTCTGATGAGGCAGACAAAAGGTTGATTCGCCCGCTGTGGCCTGTTACTACTTGGTGCAAACGAGCTATTGAAGCCATCACCCTGAGGTGCAAGAAAAAACAAAGCAGAAAAACCGAGCAAATAGGCTTAGATGGGATGCTAAAATGATGTTTAACACACACACACATCCGAATAGAATTGATTGGTGCATTTTATTTTCAGACATTTTAAATGTTCAAACTGACCTTCGTTTAACCCTCAGAAATTCGATTTATTTCCCACGCGCAACATTTGGACATTTGCATTCCACGTGCGGCTAGGAGAACTTGCTTCCTGCTCCTGTGAATATTAAAATAAAGACACATAAAAAGGAAGACAGGAAAAAGAGAAACAGAGGGAGTGACAAGGGAAGGAAAAAGGAAAAAAAGAGAAGCATTCTTGAAACCAAATAAAATCCTTAATGTCAAGTGGAGTAATTCTACTGTGGGAAGGTCTCCAGGCTGGGGGAGAGTAGGAGGTAGAAGGAAATGAGGAAAGGCAGAGACCACAGGATGTTAGGCTGAGATTTTTCAATCTAAGTAAAACAGTATTTGGCAGTTGATATATGCTATTAAATGCTACCACAGTCAGAATCTTCATAGCGCTCTCTATAGTTCTTTAGCCCCAAACCCACTAAACTTCCATGTATAGTTGACTCTTGAACAATGGTGGGGAGGTGCCAGGGTAGGAGCACCAGCCCCCTGTGTGGTAGAAAGTCCACATATGACTTTTAACACCTTAAAACCTTAGTTACTCATAGCCCACTGTTGACTGGAAGCCTTATCAACGATATAAACAGTCAATTAACACATATTTTATATGTTATATGTGTTGTATACAGCATTATTATAATAAAGCAAGCTAGAGAAAAGAAAATGTTATTTTAAAAATCATAAGGAAGAGAAAATGTATTCACTGTTCATTAAGTGGAAGTGGATCAACATAAAGTTTTCATCCTTGTCATCTTCATGTTAAGTAGACTGAGGAGGAGGAAGGAGAGGGGTTGGTCTTGCTGTCTCAGGGGTGGCAGGGGAAGAGGAAAATTTGCATATAAGGTCACCTGTGCGGTTCAAACCTGCGTTGTTCAAGGGTCAGCTGTATAGAGAAAAGTCATGGAGAAAAAGGTGAGTGCTGTCTAAACACTCTCTTCCTTATTAAAACCTCACTTTTGGAGAAGCCTACATGAGAGCGGATATGTAAACATCTGGAATGGGTGATTAAATGAATATCTCTGATTTTAATCCAAATGCGCAGCCTCGTGTAGTCCTCCAAAAGTGTCTATTGGCAGCAACTCTGCAGCACAGGAAACAAATTTTCTCTTTGGAAAAGAACATACATCTTGTTCTTTGATTTTTGGAGACCCAAGCTTTAGAACTTGTTTATGATCATGACTTAGAAAAGCTCCTCAAGACACTAACAGCCTTGTTACTACCCCCAGGTCTGGCACAAAGCTCAGTGCCAGTTAGATTAGTAAGGTTCGCTCAGCACTGCAGGAGTAAAACTAGAGAGGCCGTGGGTATGGCCTGAGGCCTACCATGCGGGCAGCTCTTCAGGTTGGGTCTCGGGTGTCTGGTAAGGATCTGGAGCAGAGCTGAGCAGAATCTTGTAGAGTTTGCTTGAAGCCCACTATGTAAACACACCCCCGATACACACAATGGGCATGGGATTCTTCCAGGATGTAAAACAAAATATGTGTATTCCTCAGTGCTTAATTTACTACTGAAGGGTGATTTGGCTTCCGGTAGGAATTTAGTTCCGTAACAAGGGAATCATGTTCAGGACAAAGATAGTGTGTAATTTGGGGTTAGACTCCATGACCCAACATAGCAATATCTCTTTATCATTTTTGTTTCCGATCTTGAAGTGGATAGAGTACAAGTGTAAGAAAACAAATGACCTTTTGTTTCCTTCCAACATTCTAAATACTTCGTCTGGGTTTGGGTAAATCTTTCCATTTTCATTGTGTTAGGAAAGATGTTATTATCTTAAATCACTTCACTGTCTCTAAGCCTGATCATCAGATCCACAGTCTCCACATTCTCTTATCATTTCATAAACATATCATGTTCATGTATAAATATATGAACTATTCGTATTTATTTAGCACTCATATTGACTACTATAGTACACTGAAAGGCTTAAAACT
Organism: Homo sapiens; assembly: GCF_000001405.40. Classification (NCBI taxonomy): domain Eukaryota; kingdom Metazoa; phylum Chordata; class Mammalia; order Primates; family Hominidae; genus Homo; species Homo sapiens. The sequence continues at coordinate 187,122,078 of NC_000004.12, read as the reverse complement.
TTATATGTGGGCAATATCACATTAAGTATAAGATGGATATCTAGCACGTATGATAGCAGACATACAAACATCTGGAATGGGCGAGTAAATGAATATCCTGGATTAAATGAATATCCAGCATGCTCCTTGTTCTCCACGACTTTTCGCTATACGGTTGACCCTTGAACAATGCAGGTTTGACCTGCACAGGTGCCCTTATAAGCAAATTTTCTTCTGCCTCTGCCACGCTGAGACAGCAAGACAAACCCCTCCTCTTCCTCCTTCTACTTAGTCTACTCAACATGAAGACAAGGATACAGACCTTATGATGATCCACTTCCACTTAATGAATAGTGAATATATTTTCTCTTCCTTATGATTTTTTAAATAACATTTTCTTTTCTCTAGCTTACTTTATTGTAATAATGCCATATATAACACATATAACATACAAAATATGTGTTAATTTACTGTTTATATCATTGATAAGGCTTCCAGTCAACAGTGGGCTATGAGTAGTAAAGTTTTTAAGAAGTTAAAAGTCATATGCGGACTTTTTTATTTTTTCTTGAGATGGAATCTTGCTCTGTCACCCAGGCTAGAGGGCAGTGGCATGATCTCGGCTCACTGCAACCTCCACCTCCTGGGTTCAAGTGATTATTCTGCTTTAGCCTCCTGAGTAGCTGGGATTACAGGCTCACACCACCATGCCCTGCTAATTTTTGTAGTTTTGGTAGAGACAGGGTTTCACCATGTTAGCCAGGCTGGTCTCAAACTCCTGACCTCAGGTGATCCACCTGCCTTGGCCTCCCAAAGTGCTGGGATTACAGGCGTGAGCCATGGGGCCCGGCCCATAGGTCGACTTTCTACTGCACAGAGGGCTACTGCTCCTACCTGCCACAATGATTACTGGTTCATTTTTGCTAAAGAGAATATGGAAAAAGTCAAGTGAGTCTTTGATAGGGACAAGAGTGCTTTGTTCATGAACATAGAAGGACTTCATAAAATCAACTTAGGCTCAGAGGCCAAAAGGTTGTGTTATTGCTATTTGTATTCTTATCTAACATACTGAGAACTTTTCATCACTGTATTAAGTATCGATACAGTTGTAAAACAGCCAATCTTTAGAAAATGTTAAATTGCAGAATAATAATCATCCAATAAATTATATATTATTTTAGGTTGAGAGTGGAAATAAAAAGTACAATTTGTAACAGCTACCTGCAAATTTGCCAACCATCATACAATCATAAAATGTTATTAACTACTTGAAAAGAAGCACTTCAAAGATTAAAGAAATAACTAAAGTAAGTTATTCTCCAAGAAAATAAAGATAGTTGTATGTATTTGTATTATACAGAATCATATTGACGTCTTATTTTCTATATAGTATGAGTGACTTATGGAAGTTAATGACCCTTATCCTTTAGCTCCTCAAACACACACACACACACACACACACACACACACACGCACACACATAATTTTTCCTGGAGACATGCATGGGGCTGTAAGGATTTTTCTTAATCGATATGGAAAGATTCAAATGTGTAGAATCACATTTTCTCTCCCCTCACTTAGAAACCTTTGCATTTTGTGAAGTTAGCAGTTTTATTGATCAAGTTGTTTGTCAGCATAATGAAACAGTTGGTTTATTGAGTTCTTTGGGTAATGAAACCATCATTAACTGTACCAGGGAAGGAAAACTAGACTACAAACTTTCATTACCACATATATTTGATTAAAAAAAGATTTTTTAAACTATATTTTTTCATAGTAAAGATGGTACCAAATGCAGTCATAGAAATATTAATATGGCATAGTATCATGGTATTGGAAAGAAACACAAAATTTATAAAAGTTATTCTCTTTATTTCAGGAAAAACTCTGTCTAACCATGATAGTTTTTACCAGTCTTTAATGAAAGAAGCTGAGCATTTTCCTTGATAATTACCCCTAAAGTCTAACAATATCTCTATTCAAGAGCTCCTATTACATGTAATTTTTTTAAAGTCCAATTTTTACCAGTTTCTCCCAGAAGAGAAATAATTGGTTTCCATTCTCTGAACGACTTAGAAGTCTTCCAATGAAGTGTTTATTCTTATAAGTGTGAGGGTAGGTCTCCAATCACGGCCTGGCCTCCAAGCAGAGACTCCATTCAACTGGGTCATGCCTGTTAGTCTCTTGCGATGGGGTAGGAGAAAGAATCCCATATAAATAACTAATCATCGTTAAATCAGTCACATATAACATGAAATAATTCGACAGATGAAAAATTTAATGAATTGTGTGTCAGTCTAGTTTTTTTGGTTCTATAATTATATCAATTATACATCAATTATAATTACATCTATATATATAAAACTATAACCAACGTATATTTTTGTTGTTGGCCCCATTGATAGGAAAGCATTTAAGGCTTTAAAGAGTGGCTTCAAAAGCAGTAAGATGTTGTTTTGTGCAGAATTCTAACAGACACCCAAATCTTGTCTTGGCACAGCCACCCTTCTCTAATGGAATGCCTAAGGGATACAGATGAAAGGTAAATCCAAATGCCAGTTCATTATTAATTGGGCTAGACCCCAAATTCTAACTATTTGTAAATCAAACTGGAACAGGTTGCTTAGATTAGACCTAATAATCTAATCCTTCTCCCAAGAACGAATCTTACCACAAGATGACAACAAAATGAAAGCAGCCAGCATTCACATGTAAAGAAAAGAAGAGAGCAAGGACAGATACCTGCTGGCTTTCTTTCCGAGCCTGTCCCATGAAGTAGGAAGCCAATGAGACTTACTTATTTAGTAAGTAAATGTAGCCAGTCTTCTACTGCAGTCTTCTTCTTCTGAGCCAATTAGGTTAGTATTCCATTCACTCAGAGAAAAACAAGGAAAGTAGTAGATACAGGAGCAGGAACCTCACCTCGTCCCTTGCAGGATTGTTGAGTGCTGGAAAATGCAGGCCTATTCTCTCACCCTGCACCTAGAATACTCTGCTGAAGCAGAGGAAGGCATCAGCTCCCATCCAGGATAGTTCACCTAAGACCATCTCACATGCCTTGCACACAACAACCAAAGGCAGAATCAGGAAACCTTCAGACAGAGTCCTAACCATCTGGGGATGATCTCCAACAGAGAAATTCCAGGGCAATGATCTAGAGTTGTGATTCTTTGCTCTGTAGATAAAAATTCTACTAAAAGAAAACAATTTTGTCATTATTTCCTACTGCTGTCAATTAGACTGTGCATTCCTTGGAAGGAAGATCTATTCTTACTGTTATCTGTGTGCCTGGCAATAAATGTTTGATGAATGAATGGAGCAGTCAGAGGAGATACCCAATTAATTTTCACAGTAAGGGTCATGGAGAGGAGAGGCATTTGAAGAAAGCTGCACAACCAAACACATTAAATACAACAATTTTTCATTCTGATTTGTAAGCTGAAGATAATGATACAAAATATTTGCATATTTTATTAATTACACATAGACGGCTGTTATTCAGCTTCATGTTATGAGGTAATAGGAAGATGCAAAAGAGGAGAGAATCCATCAAGTAGAGTTACAAGGGGTTCTGCATATTACTAAGCATGTTTTTTAAGTTTCTAAGCTACAGAAGGTATGTAAGTTATTAGAGGAATAATTTTAAGGGGAGACATCACGGCTTCCATCTTTAACATGAAGTCTGTAGATATGCGTCCTGTCCTTCAATACAATGTCAGGCATACGCCTGGCATTGTGCCAGACACCAAAGATGAGAGATAAATAGAGCACAACTCCTGGCCTCACAGAGGTCCCATTCTAGCTAGGTTTCAAACAAATCCATGGGAACGTGGGAAAGGAAGTATTGTTTTTATGTGTGCATCTAGATGACTAGGAGGAGAAAACATTTTTATAAGATCTGAAGTATAATGAAAATATTTCCCCATGTTAACTTTGGCTGGAGGGATGTATGTTAGGCCAAAGTTAGATGGTATGGTCCAAATGCTGGTGGCCCCCAAAGTCTGTATGTTGTAACCTAATACTTGATACAATGGTATTAAGAGGTGAGCCATTTGGAAGAGATTAAGTCGTGAAGGTCCCAACCTCACAAATGAGATTAGTTCCCTTCTGGTGGGAGGGGGGGCATCCTTACCTCTTCCACCCTGGAAGGACACTGCAAGATGATGCCATTTCTGAGGAACAGGCCCACATCAGACACTGTATCTGCTGGTGCTTTGATCTTGGGTTTCCCAGCCACCAGAGCTATAGACAATAAATCTATTTTCTTCATTAATTACCCAGTCTCAGATATCTTGTTATGCAGCCCAAAGGGACTAAGAATTAGGGCAAGAGAGTAGATTTGGGGAGGGGAGTTAAAAGGGAAGAAGATGGATACCATGGCATAACACAAGGATGAAAGTGTGTGGTGTTCCTTGGAGACTTGGCTCTCTGGTAGTTAAAGCAGAACGTGTAGGTGTGGAAAGGACTGAGAATCCGTGGAGAAGAGAGTGGTGGGAAGAGGCTTTAAGATAGACTGGGGCAGAGTGTGAGTACTCCTGGCTCTGTGCTGAAGAGCTGACCTGTCAGTCCCTCAAAGTTCCTCTGTGATTGACCCTACTTCCAGATCGGTGTTCTCTGCTACTCTCCTCAGGGACCCTGATTCCAAGCTCTTTGCTTGTTCTCTGGGATCATACTTGATGAATTATCTCCTTTATCATCAATCTCTCCTTTTTTCTCATGTTTTCCCTTTAGTCTAAAAAAAGCTTGAAATGTCTTACATAATTAAAAGAACTAAACACATGGGTGCCCCTCACCAGCCACCATGCTTTCTTTTCTACCCTTCCCTTCATGAAGACTGATCCATGTTCCTAGAATTACTTCATCTCCCTTCCTCCTGCCTAATCCCACTGCAGTCCCGATTCTGTCCCACCATTATATTCTCCCTGCTCTGACAAACATCACTGACCCTGTTATTGCCAGTTCCCTGGGACCCTTTTGCATCCTTATCTCAGTGGATCTCCTGTTGCATTTGCGTGTCATGCGTGTTCTCCTTCTGGGTCCTTTCCACTTCCCTGGCTTCCCATGCGTTCACTTCCCTCATTTACCACTCATTCTCTGTCTCGGAACACAGACCCTCCTCTACCTGCCATTTAATGTTGATGTCTTTCAAAATTCAGCTCTTGTTCTACTTTTCTTCTCTTTCTATATTCTTTTCATGAGTAATTTTATATTCACTCATGATTTGAACTGCCAAATATATATATGATGATGTCTTTCACATTTGTCTCTCTAGCTTGCTCTTCTCTGAATTTTAGATTTCTACATCCAACTTCCATCTACCCATAACCACTTGCCTATTCCACAATATCTCAAACTCTCAGAATTCAAGGGATAGTGTAATGATCTCCTCCAAATCTTCCCTTTTCTTGTGTTATCTAATACCAGCTCATGGTATTATTATTCACCATGTCATAAAAAACAACTCTTCTTCTAAACTACTTTCTCTCTTTTATTAGATTCACTCTTTCAGATAATTAATCACAACATTTGGTGATTTTATCTCTAACATTTTTTTTGTTTTGTTTTGTTTTTTTTGAGATGGAGTTTCACCCTTGCTGCCCAGGCTGGAGTGCAATGGTGCAATCTCGGCTCACTGCAACCTCCACCTCCCAGGTTCAAGTGATTCTCCTGCTTCAGCCTCCTGAGTAGCTGGAATTACAGGCATGTGCAACCATGCCCGGCCAATTTTGTATTTTTTTAGTAGAAACAGGTTTCTGCATGTTGGTCAGGCTGGTCTCAAACTCTCGACCTCAGGTGATCTGCCCGCCTCAGCCTCCCAAAGTGCTGGGATTACAGGCATGAGCCACTGCACCCAGCCTAAAATGTTTTTTAATTGTATCCTTTTCTCTGTACAAATACCAGCTCAACATCTGTTGCCTGCATAACTACAATGTCCTCCCGATCAATACATTTTACCCCACTCTTATTTCACATTTATAACACTCTTCATCCAACCTCTACAGTGAATCAAATTAGATGTGATTATGAACTTCCCTGATTAAAACCTGTTATTGATTCCCCATTACTCAAGATATACAAACTCCATACCATGGTGTATGCTTGCTTGTTTAGCTTGTTTAAGATCATTGAAAGGTTTCTCACTGAACTTGAAATGAAATCCATATAATTTACCATGATCTCCAGGGCCTTGCAAGGATGGTCCCTCATCAGCTCATCAATCTCATTTCTAGCTGCTTCCCCCACCCCCACTTGCTTTGATAGGCACAGTGGTCTTCCTTTGCTTCTTCAAGAAGTCAAGCTCTTTCTTAGCACAGGGCCCTTGCAATAGAACCTTCTCCAATTTTTGCATGTGCTAGTTTCTTCTCGTTTTCAAATGAGACCCACCCAGAGAGCCCATCCCTGGCCATCACATTTAAAATAGATCTATCCTCTCACTTTTTATATCAATAACTTACATTTTCCTTCATAGCATTATCAGAACTTGCACTGCTTTTATGTATTTGGCCCTTAAACTATAGATTGCTAACTCCAGAGAAGCTGGGTGAGCTTCTTTTCTGGTTTATTCTGTATCCTCAGCAGAGTACTCAATCAGTAGAGGTTAAAGGGCTTCATGAACCCTTCAATCCTACTTCCTTCTCCATCCCTCTGAGCTTCAGCTTCCTACGTCATTGTTTATGTTTTCATAATACTGAACTGTTTGCCGTTATTGAGAAACTTTATGTACCTTTTTTCCTGCTTTTATAACTGCCTGGATAATAATCTACACTTCTTTTTCTTCTGAGCCTAGGTGACTTTTTGAGCCTCAACTTGGCATCTTTCCTCCAGGAAGCCTTTCTGAAAACAGAGGCAATGCTAAGTTCTATCCCTTTGAGCTTCGTTGTACTGGTCCTTATCTGTAATAAGCTTTCCGTGAAGATGGCTGCCTTTGGATATCACCCCACCCTCCCAATCACACAACCTTATGCAAATTCCTTACAGGAAGGCCCATATTTCATCTTTCCTTGTACCCTATAGTACCTAACAAATATCTATAATGCCTAACAAATAAATACTTCTCTAAGGACCCTATTTTTGAACTTTATTCTTCAGGTAACAGATATTTCAAGAGTATTAAGCATAAACGTGGTGCAATTCAGTGTGTTCTTTTAAATAACCCTTTGCAGCTCTATGTAGGCTGGACTATAATAGACAGAGCCTGATGCACGAAGATGAGACCCTGAGATTGGACAAGGAAGACACACTGTGCCAGGGCAGCGTTCAGCCATGGTTGTTTTAGAGACATAAGCTCTAAGACAAGAGAGCCAATTTGAAATGGTAAAGACAGGGAAGGTGAACAAAAGGAGTGGGGAATCTAAGATGACCAAGTTTTCTGATTTGATTAAGTGAGTGAACAGTATAACCATCTATAAAAAGCAAAATGGTATTTGACGAGGCCGCCAATGTGGTGCAATTAGTATTCCAATAACCTGTGAATTCTATCAGCCTCTCCCATCAATCACAGAACATTTCAGTTAGTTCGCTCTCATTTCTGAATTAACTAATGTTCCTTTTGCTTATTTGTACACTCGAATATTTACCAATAGTGTAAAGTGAGAATGGGCGTATTTTTCTTTTTTATTAACCCATAAGTCCGTTTGTCTTTCATGTTCAATCTTTGTAATTTAGAATGCAGCCAATATAGAGGAGATACATTTTTTGTTTTACTTTCCTGAAAGCTAGTGCTCTCTCGTGGTAAAGTACCCAATTTTGCACATTTACTTTAATTGTGAGTATCAACTACTAAATTTCATTAATCCTTCTCTTGACACCCGTATAATTTTACATAATTTCCAATTTCTGTCAATTCTTAATTTACTGAACTTCATTCCATTGACTAAATAATGAGCTTTGAGAAAAAAAATACATAATCCAAAGCATTATCTTAAAGTAATATGGTTTTTTCCTGCGTGAATTTTGTATATACACTAAGAGAAAAAAAAATCTAATAAAATGTTTTTAAAGTGGAAAAAATTTAAATATCATCAAAATAATTAAAACGCTAGTCCATATTAGACCTATGCTATTTACCAAAGAAAGGCTTGCTCAAATATTTCCTCCCTGGCAAGTGTCTTAACTTTAAGACACTTTTCATTTTCCCCAATTATAAAATAAGAATAGTAATCGAATTAGTCAAGGGTTTGTGGAATGCAATTCAAATTAGTTTAGGTACAAAAAGGCTTATTACCACAGCTTCGTGAAAAGTGCCAAAGATAGCACCGGTTCACTCAGGCGGTGTCCGTGAGCTCAGACGAGGGTGCTCTCCATCACTCACGCCCGCTCTCCAACGCTCACGCCCGCTCTCCATCACTCACGCCTCTTTTCCCGGGATGAGCTTCATTTCCAGGCAGAGGCCGTAATATGTGAGGTCCTATTTAAACATGAACCTGTCAGAAAAAAACATTGCAATTTCCCTGCTCTTTCCAACAAGCTTTCCAAAGAGGAACAATTAGTCATATTTGGATCATGTGACCATCCCTGAACCAATTAATGGTTTCCAGGCAGAAGGCGAACCCTGACTGTCCAGCTGGTGGGTCCAGCATTTGGTCCAGGGAAGCAAGATCAATTCCACCAGACCTGGAGGTGCCAGAGAGCTGCACAGAATCAGGAAAGGGCAGTCCCCTTACGAAGGGGAAAACATACAGCAAAAACTAGATTTCCAGTAATACACATTCCAAGGTGGTTGACAGGGTAAATTAGAGAGTGGATAAAAGCACATGAAAAAACTCCATAAATTATGGCTTTATTAATTACTAGAGTAAAATATTAATACAGTCATGGCCATGTTTTACCTTCTGTGTGCAGAGGAGACGTCTGTCTCTGCTCAACCAATCCTTGGGCCTTTAATGTGCAGGTTAAATGTAAAGGTAAGAGATGCAGAGTTGGAGAATCTAGGAAAGTAAAAGGGATCATACATTGATCTAACATTTACTGACTCTCTATCCTGTTCTAGACATAGTTCTAGGTGCTGGAATACCACAGAGGACCTAAACAGATGAGGTCTCCACTCTTGTGTACTTGTGTAAATAAAATAATTTCAGTTATGACTAAAGACTAGAAGTCTATAATACAGAAAAATAATATTAAGATAATACAGAATAGTCTTATTAATAATATTAAAATAATTCAGAATAATAATATTAAAACTTGACTAGGATTGAATTACTTTAAATTGAGTGGTCTGTGGATGCCTTGGCAGGGAGGTGATACGGAAATGATCCAAGTCAACTAGTACCTACTAGTTAGATTGCAGTGACCAAGACTGACAATAGTAGAGACAAAGATGGAGAGAAAACAAGGTCCTGTATGCTCTGATGAAGGATTTCAGTTTGATTCATTTGAATCAAAAGGCACTAGAAGCCGTTGAAAGATTTTGAGCAGAGAAATAACATAATGTGATCTGCTTCAGGCTATTTAAAAGCATTATGCTAGCTTGCAAAAACAAAATAGAAGATAAAGCAGATTAATGGGAGCGAGAGTGGAAACAAGGCACTGATTAGGAAGCTTTTGCATTCCATGTGGTGATGATGATGACATGGAGTATGGAGGTTGCCATAGAGATGAAAAGTAGACCAATACCAGATACATCTTGGTGATAGAATTAGCAAGACTCAACGTTGGGTTAGATGTGGAATCTGAGGGTAAAAGAGATCAAGGATGGTTTCTAGATTTTAGTCTTTAATAACTGGGTGGATAGAAAGACAGGAGGAGTAATCAATTTAGGGATTTTAAAAAATCGACAAGAGTTTCCTTTTGCGCAAGTTAACTGAGCTGTCTATTAGACATCTAAGCAACAGTGTCAAATAGGCAGGCAGCCACATGAGTTTGAATGGGTTAGGCTGAGGGTATAAATATTAACATTATTAGCATATACATAGTATTAAGAGCTCCATATTGGATGAGCTATCCTAGTGAGAGAGTTTGGATACTGAAGACTACAGGACCTAGAACTAAACTCTGAGACCCAAATATTTAGGTGCTCAGCACAAAAAGAGGTGACAACAATTTGACTTAGAAGAATGCAGTGATCAGTGAAGTACAGAAAAGGAAAGCATAGAATTGCAATGTGGTGGAAAAGAATCTTTGGAATTGAATTGATGTCAAATGCGTCTGAGAGGCAAAGTATGACCAGGAGAGAGAAGTGATCCTTGGATTGGCCAACACCACAGGTGCCTTTGGCATCTTTGGTACCACTGGTGACCTGGACAAGAGCAGTTTCAGTGGAGTGGTGTAATGGAAGCTCAGACACTGTGGGTTGTAAAGAAAATGTGAAGCAAAGAATTGGAGAAATGGGCCAGTAGCTATAGGAAGACATGGGTCAGTGTGCTCAAGGGAGAGTTTTCTTAAGCCAGGAATCTACAGAACAAGCTGAAAATAATAATTCAGAAGAGGATGGGAAACTGAGATGCAGAAAAGGGAGCATTATTTGCTGAGTCAAAGTCCCTAGAAGTGGAGAAGGGCAACATACGGAGCACCAGCCAGGAACTGCCTTTGATGGGAGCCGGGGATCCTCATCCACCATCACAGAAGAGAAGACAAAGTGTGTGGGTAGAAGTAGAAGTATTTAGACAGATTTGATGGTGAACAAAGAGAAAGTTTCATTCTGAGAACTTCCATTCTCTCAATTACATATGTGACAAGATAATTCGCTGAAATTTTAAACCATTGGAAATATCTGAAAAAAAAAGGGCAGAAAATTGTATCAAAAAGTGAGCAAGTTAAACTGTACAGGCAAAGATGTCTGGATTGTAGGGTCATGGAAACTGCCACTGGAGACTTATGGATGGTTTTAGACAGAATGCAGCCAGCCAGGGCGTGCGTTGTTCTCCAGCCACGATTAATACACAGACAGTTGGGTTTGACCAAGTTACGTATTTTGCTGGCGAAAATGACATTGAGAAAGTGGCAAGGGAGGTTTGGGTGTTTGAAAACAATTAACTGTATGTATGGTTCATGTAAACTAAAATAGGGAAGGAGAAAAAGGGGACATGTTGAGGACTGGGCATCATTCAAAAAGCAGTGGACTCAGTGAACACTGAAAACTCCTGGTATAAAGGGAAACAATAGATTCCAAAGACTTAATGGGTACAATAATTAAAGTCCACCTGGGCTGGATTTGGTGAGTGTGGGGAAGTTTGGAGAGAGGAAGCAAGATCTAGGCGACATGCAACACTATTCACAATAGCCAAGAAATGGAATCTACCTCAGTAGCCATCAACAGATGAATGGACAAAGAAAATGTGATACATATACACAATGGAGTACTATTCAGCCATAAAAAAGAATGAAGTCTTATAATGTACAGCAGCATGGATGGAACTAGAGGTCATTATATTAAGTGAAATAAGCCAAGTGCAGAAAAATAAATATCACATGCTCTTACTCGTGGAGGAGCTAAAAAAATAATAATCTCACGGAGCTAGAGAGTAGACGGATGGCTACCAGAGACTGGAAAGGGTGTGGAGTGGAGCAGATAAAGAGATATGATTAATGGGCACAAAAATACAAAGAGATAGAGGAAATCAGTTCTAATATTCAATAGTACAGGAGGGAAATTATGGTAATTTTTTGTATATTTTTAAATAGCTAAAAGGAAGGATTTTGAATGTTACCAACACAAGGGAAAGATCAATGTTTGAGGTGATGGAGATCCTAATTACCCTGATTCGATCATTATACATTGTATTGTGTATGATTATACATATTTTTGGAGTACATGTGATATTTTAATACAATATATTGTATATTAATATATTAATACATTGATATCAATCAATATCACATATCAATAACAAATAAGTTAAAACTGAAGAAAAGAGCTAGGCGACAGCTCTGTCTGTATGTGAAATAAGTGAAAAACGTAATAAACAAGTATTTCAGGAAGGCTTGTTTATTATGAATGGGAGCCTTTGTTGGCATTTTTTTGAGGTACCTCCATACAGATTTACAACAACTTTACAAGGACGTTGTGGTGTGAGGTTGGCGTTTCTTTGAACTTGACCCCGCACTGAGAGCTCTGCCTGAACTGCACAGGGAATGTGCACTCTTCACGGTTATCATATCATCATCATATTTCCATAAAGGCCGGGTTATCTTTTAAAGAGATTTAATATTAAAATTTAAAAATAAAATTCCCAGTTTATTGTTCCAATAAATTAGGCTGTGTTCGCAGACACCATGCCCATTCATTTCCACGTCGCCTGTGGCTGCTTTTGCATCACAGCTGCAGAACTGAGTAGTCACCATGGCGACCACACAGTCCACCAAGTCCAAAACATCTGCTTTCTGGCTCTTTAGAGAGAAAGTGTGTCTACCTCTGATTTAGGACATAAACCATGTGGCCCCTTTCTAAAACTCTTCTACCTTTCCATTCCCATTTTTCCCACTCTTCTTCAAGCTCACTCACGGTTCCACAGCCACATGGACATCCTTTCTGCTTCTTAAATGAAGCAAGTGCTTTTCAACCACAATGCTTTTGCCCCAACTGCTCCTGGGACCCAGAACATTCCTGCCCAGATCCTCATAAGGCCAGCTTGTCTCAGCATTTAAGCTTCAGCCTCCACATCTCCTCTCCAAGGATGGATCTCAGGCACTGCATGCCACACTTTCCCTCCGAGCACTAATTACTGTTGCATACTTACTTGCTTGCTTGCTTGCTAGTGTGCTTATGGGCTGCTTCCCTCCCTGAGAATGTAAGCTCTGTTGGGATGGGGCCCACGTCCACTTCTTGCTCACTGCTTATATCTCCAGAACCTCAGGCCTGGCACCAAGGAGGTGGTCAGTGGATAGTTGTTGAATGAATAAAAGCAAGAGAAGAGTTATAAAGAGCTAAGCACTTTGTAATATTGCATGTTTTCCTTCATGATACCCCTTTGAGGTCCATCCTTTAAAGAATTTGCAGTCTAGTTGAACACATGGCGAAATGGCCTTGAATATAATCCAATAGAACACACTTGCAAAGCAGCATGCAAGATTAATGGTACAGGCAGGCTGCAGCTTATTCAAATGCTTGGCCTGTGCTTTGGAAGTACATCTTGGAGCCTTATTTCTGTGGTTATGATTGCTCTTCATGAATCACTGGGGTTTAGCTAGACCACATAGAACACTAATAATAAATGCGCATGTGAAGAGAATTGGATCAATTATCCAAATACTATAATTCAGTCAAAACAGGATTTATTGCTAAAGGATAAAAAGAGTTTTCCCGTAGCTTAAGCCTGAGCTTCAGTGTGACTGCTCATTACATTCACTGGGTACATGTTTTGCTGTTTACTTTGCCTTTTAGGATGAGACTAATTTGTATTTGCATGACGCTTTTCCAGTGCCTTGTGAGAAAGCACATGTGACTGAGAGTGAAAAGCCTAGGTTGAACTTCCAGAACTGTTATTTCAGTGAAACCCATGTCCAATTTATTTAATAATTATTTCAAGTTTTAATTGTTTCTAAGTTATCATTTTCTTATCCATAAAAATGTTCTTACACAATTTGAGGAAAATAAATCAGAATCATTTATTTTCTTAAATTTTTTAAGGTGCATTGCACTTTAGAAAAAATAGTCACCATCATTATTATTAATAAATGGCTAATGTTTAAAATATATGTGATCACTATTGATATTACAAGTATTTACTGTGGTAATATCATCAGCAAACTGTCACTCCTAAATCTTGTCAGCCCCATAGAGGAGATATAAAAACTGTCTCTGGTAGTATTTTTGAATCACTTGGGAAAGATTTTTGGTTTTCACTGTTAATGGAGATCTCCATGCAGTGGGTTCTAGGTCATGTGGGGAATACGGGGCATGGAGCTAAGAACCAAGTTCAGAGTCAAACAGTCCCATGTTCAGTTTGACTACAGCAGGTAGTCACGGTATTAACCATATACCTTTGGGCAAGTGACTTCTCTGTGCCCCTGTTTTCTCCTTTATAAAATGGGAATTGAAAGTAGAACTTATTGCGTTAGATTATCTTAAGGATTAAGTGATATAAATGAGATAAAAAGCACTTATAACCATGCCTAACTCATAGTAAGAGCTAAGCAGGGATTCGCTCTTATCAATAATTACTTTAATTAGGCAATCTCCTCTGATTTACATATAAAAAAGAAAAGGGAGAAACATTTAATCGACTAAAAGCTTTGCAGGGAACAGCAGGTATGCAGCCAGGTGCCCATCCCACGACACTCTCGCCTTCTCCAATCTCTACTCCTCACATGTGTTAGCTTCCTTCTCTCTGACGAGCTTCCTCAGCCTAGCAGGAAATATGGCCTGACAGAATTGTGGTGGACATCTCTCACCCTGCCCATCAGAAACATACTTCATTCTCTAGATTCTGTTTGAAAAATTCCAGGAAATAGCTCCTGTTGGCCTGGCTTATGTCCCGTGCCCAACTTTGGGCCAATAATTGTCCTCAGATTGTCCTAACTGTATGCCTGCTATGTAGTGCACAGATGCTGGAGCCACACTGAATTACAGCCCTGCCCCTACCATATGTGTGGGCTTCAGTAAAGTACTTACTTCCATTTCAGGCTCTTCATTTGGAAAATAGAGATGATAGTGGTATCTATCCCAAAGCATATCGTCGTGAGGGTTAAACAAACTCACACATATTAAGGATTTCAAAGACTATGGCTTATGGGAAGCACTCAACATTGTTGGCTCTCTTGATCATCCCTGGAATTACTGCGCCATCAGTATCCCTAGTTAATCTACTACTGCCAGGGAGGCAAGGTCCTGTTGGAACATGGAAGTTTTTGCCAAACTCCAAGTCATAAGTAAGGTTGGAGTGGGATTTGAACAGAGGAGGCAGGGTGCATAATTATGATTTTCGATCTTCCCTGAAAGCTAAAAAAGGATACATTCAACAGGAAGAGAACTTTCCAGAGCTGTGCAGATGTGGGCACATCATTGTACGTATATTGATTTTAATTTCCTCATTCGTAAAATAGATTATTTCTAAGATCTTTCCAGTTCTAAAAGTTTATAATTATTTTATAACCACAAATCCCCATGTAATAAAAACAGAGAAATAAAACAAGCTACAAATTAATTTGCTACTTAATTTTCCACAAATTCTAACTTTTGAAGGTCTAAGACATAAGCCAGAGTTTTTATTTTCTTCCTAATTTGTATTATCAATATTTCCAGGTCTCACAAAATTCTTGTGCTATAAATTAAATAATATTGTACCCTACTTCATGAATAGGGGAAAGAATGTTAAACGATTTATTTTCAAGGTGGTTATAACGACTGTTTTAGGAAAATCTGGGATTAAAGTAAAATGCCACGGGTATTGTATGTTTCCTGTCATTTCACTGAGTGCGCCTCCACGCTCTCCCTAGCACTTGTAGAGCAGCGAACTTGGTCACATTCTCCTTCGAAGAAGTGCAGTCCTCAATGAAGTAACCACATGTCTCCCCAAAAGAGTTTCAAAGTATCAAGAACATTTCCTGGATTATAAACTCCTAGGAGAATGTATTTTATATAAACCACAAAGTAGATTCAAATTAGCTAATAAAGAGCCAAACATTATTTTCACACTGGAATTAGACAGGTTCAAAGGGGAACTATAAAACATACACATAGAGCAGCCTCTTGCTTCGCATTCAATGGCTGCTGCTCCTGGCAATTCCTCATGTAAATAATGGCTTAAGAGGCTGGAGGCACTTTTCTTGAGATAACTGTTCTAGATTTTTTACATTTAAATTCTCCTTTAAATCTCAACTAGCATCAAGAAAAAAGACATTTAAAAACAGCTAACAAGAGATTATTTTCATATGCCAGAAATCACATATATAAAAGTAACATTTATCAAATATTATATTTGTGCTGCTTTAAAAACAGTAAATTTTAAAAGGCAGAAAAAAACTAACTTTTGATTATTTCTTTTCAACCACTAAAAAAAAAAGGCTAAGACAAAGATACATACTTTGAGTTATCACATGAGTAAGTTCTGGAGATCTACTGTATAGCATGGTCACTATAGTTAGTAATAATGTATTGTACACTTACATTGCTAAGAAAGTAGATCTCAAGTGTTCTCACTACACCAGAAAAAGGCAACTGTGTGAGGTGATGAATATGTTAGTTGGCTTGATTGTGTAATTATTTCACAATCTATACATACATCAAAATATCATGTTGTATACATTAAATACATAAAATGGCAATTATGCCTCAGTAAAGCTGAAAAAACGTATATACATATATATGGTATGAGCTTTTTTAAAAAGACTAAAAACAACAGCTTTACATATATGAATACCTTTTTAATTAGCATCATTTTTAATTTGTGATGAGGAAGATGATGAATAGTATCAGTATGTGGATTATTTTCATGAGCTTCATTGTCCTTTAATGAAAATGAGAATAACATTGGTTTTTAAGGTATAGTGAAGTTTATTATCACTATTTCCTGGCTCCTGGTTATTTTCTCCCTCTGAAACTGGGTGGGAAAATAAAGAATAAATCCTTTTTGGGTTGTGTGTATCACTCATGTATCATACATGGCAATAGTTCAAGGCCCAGATAATTTATGGAACATTACACTTGGCTAAACAACCACCCATCCCCAGTGGAATTCACCGATTATCTCTCCTTTGGAAAAACCAAATCAAATCGAAACAAAATAAAACCCATATTTTCCAATTCTTCAGCCAGAATGTATCAAAGGAACATTTTCTTAGAAGGAAAAAAAAGATCAATAGGTATCTATTCTGCAGCATGTAAATCACAAAACTCTAAATTTTCTACCATCTCTCAAGGTCCTGCAAGGGATGTTTGTCAAGGTCACAGTTACGAGGCTTTTCAGATAGAGACGTGCTCCAGAGTCCTCCAGGAGACAGATTTCAATAGGAAACCTGCCCAGCTGGGGGAAAAGCCATAAGCTCGTGGGGGTTTGCTAAAAGAAAAGAGGGTGCTCTGGGTCTCCCCATAGCCTAATTAGCTGCTACTTCACCTTAGCCAAGAGTGGATAATACCCTTCAGAAATGTCCTGTTCCTGTTTCCATTCCACTCTCTCCTCTTCTCTGTTCTTTTCCTCCCTATTTTCGCAGTTTCCTTTCTTCCTACATTTATTCCCTCCCTTTTCATACTTCCAGCAGAAAATAAGAGTATAGGGTTTAGAGGCGGTGAATATGAATTGGCAAAGAAATACCATTCAAATGCCTTTCTTTTTTCTGACTTCTGACTGGATCATCTCTCTGACAAGAGCCTCACACACAGTCCATGGGAGTTATATGGGGAATCCATTGCATTGATAGGGAAGTGTTTGCTCCGATCAAGTTTGTATCACACCTTGAGGAATTTGTAAAATAAGAGGCTTATCTTTTATTTGTAACTTTTCTAGAGAAACCCCACAGTTTCCCTAACATGCTAAGATTAGAACTAAAACAAACAAACAAACAAAAAAACAAATTATGTTCTTAAATTTAAGCCATGTGGGCTAATTTGTGAAGGCAAAAGTTTGGATTAACCAACGGTCTCTGTGTTGGAATGTGAAAATCCAGCAAGGAGGTATCACAGAAGAATTCATTAGGAATGCTGGAAGAATAGATTTAACTTTATAATTTTTACTTTCTGTATTTGTGTAATGCATGAATGAAATGTATGAATTGAAACGTGTACTTGAAGTTCTTGAAAACTACTGGATAAAAGCACCTTCTGTACCAAAAACATTCTTTTTAGCCATATTTAATAAGCTTTTCTATAAAGTTCTCTTTTCAAAATTTTGGAAAGGTAATTGGCAATTTGGATTAAGCTTTAACTATTTAGGGGCTTGTCATTATTTAATACTTGTGTTGATCAGGGTTATCCTTCCAAAGCCAAGCATAGATGACTATAGATGGTCTACCATTATAGTGAGATGAATAGCCTAACCACAAAACAGATGGTATTTTCATTTGTTTTAATCTAAATTCATATCATTGCCCTCAGAGCTGGTTATCCACGTGAATGGTACCTACAACCTGCTAGTCTATGGAATTTCTGGAGGACAAAGCTCTGCCTGAAAAGCATTTTCTGAACAATGCTTATGTGGAAATCCAGAGAAGATCCCCTCAAGATGTGCAGTGGGAACCACATTGGAAAGATAGATTTTAAAGCATAAGGGTGTGTGTGTGTGTGTGTGTGTTTGTGTGTGTGTGGCAAGATTTAGATCTTCTTAATTTACTGGTGAGATGTTTGATAAAAGACATTGGATCTTCAAAATCCTCCTTTTACAAAGAATAACTACTGATTTCAAAATCATTTCAGTAGTCATCATTATGACTTTTGATAGACCAAACAAAATCTTAACACAATAATTGCAACACCAAAGACCAACATTAGAACAGAATACTACAGATTACGCATTCCTAATCAGAAAATCTAAAATTCAGAATGCTCCAAAATTCATGCCAACATCACACCACAAGCGGGAATTTCACAGCTGACCTCATGTGATGGGTAGCAGTCAAAACACAGGTGCACAACACACCGTTTATTCACAGTTCCCAAGGGAGTTACTGTACGGTGTGCTTAATCAAGCACAGCATTGTAGCTGAAGAACAGACACCTGCCATTGTTTGTTGTTGCTGTTGGTTAGCAGCTGATACAGGTATCTGGTGATGCTTCTGTGCTGCTTAGCTAGCCTGCACACATTGTTTTTACACTATATTAACAGTATGTCATATTTGTGACTGTGAAGTACTGATGTGTGAATCAGCATACACAAAATTGCTTATAGGTAGCACATAAATTCAGTCATGAAAGACGGTGATGCCAAACAACCACAGATTATCCACATGGGTGGCTCAGGTCGTGGCATTTTTGTTTTCTGATGGCTCAATGTACACCAACTTTGTTTCATGCACATTATTTAAAATATT